>NC_000011.10:78934483-79237514 GCF_000001405.40 Homo sapiens
TCTTTCACGGGTTAGACTGGCGGACCTGGAAGGTCCTTCCAGTACTAAAGCCTTGACTCTCTGAGTCTATGAAATCCACAGTGCTATTAGGAGTGCTTATGTACATCACAGAAAGGCATTCTCTCTTCCCAGAGTGAATTTAAAACAATTGCTTCACACGAGGTCAAATTTCATATACTTCAGGGATTCAGCCATTACCTAGAGCAAGCTCACCTGACCTGCTTTTATATTAGTTCATAAAGTAGGCGGTGGGAGATGTGTTAATAGTTTTCATGAGGTGCTATGGCCCAAGATCTGGAGATGATATGAATTATGCTTTGTGTTAAAGCTGTCTTTATTCTCCTGGGAGGAAGAAACTAGACATACTATATGCAAGTTTTTTTTATTTTTTATTTTTTTAGAGTAGAGGAACTTTTGATTTACTATGCAGGAGGGGGTTGTGTTTCATGACCAACACTTATTTTGGTTCTACTTCATTATTTCTGTGCATTTTGTGAGTGAGGAAGTATGCAACTTTTTTTTTTTTTTTTTTTTTTTTTGAGACGGAGTCTCGCTCTGTCGCCCAGGCCGGACTGCGGACTGCAGTGGCGCAATCTCGGCTCACTGCAAGCTCCGCTTCCCGGGTTCACGCCATTCTCCTGCCTCAGCCTCCCGAGTAGCTGGGACTACAGGCGCCCGCCAGCGCGCCCAGCTAATTTTCTGTATTTTTAGTAGAGACGGGGTTTCACCTTGTTAGCCAGGATGGTCTCGATCTCCTGACCTCATGATCCACCCGCCTCGGCCTCCCAAAGTGCTGGGATTACAGGCGTGAGCCACCGCGCCTGGCCGGAGGTATGCAACTTTTAAGAGTTTCTTGAACACTTGGAAAAAAGGAAGGGGAAGAAGGGCGCTAAACACCTATTAAGTTCCAGGCACCTTTTATTCCTTGTACTCCAATAACTTTACTCCAATAACTTATGAGATAGGTTATTGTACTCTGCCCATTTTACAGGTGAGGAAATGGGCTCAGAGAAATAAAGTAATTGTACCAAAGCTAATCGGCCAAATGAATCTGTTTAACTATACAGTTCCCACAGTTTGTGCAATTTTGGGTTGGGTTGGAAATGACCTAATGAGCTTGGGTAACAGGAAGCTGTCTGGGCCACAGAGTAAGGAACAGAGTATCAAATACACATTTAAGAAAGTTCAAAGTCATTGCTATGTTCTAGTGCTGTGTTATAATGCTGATAACAATTATACCAAGACATGCAGAAAAATATGAGGTAGGAACCATCAACTTGACATAAATTCCAAAGAAATATGTACTCTATTGAAGAAAATGGTTAACTTATTTTTAAAATCCCAGGCAGGAAGTTGAAGGAGCTGGATTCTAGTTTCGGTTTTGCAACCGTTGAATGGAGCCACCTTGAGCAGATCACCCAGTGTCCCTGAGCTAGCATTTCTTCCCCTTGAAATAATAGGGTTGTACAGTGAGATCTGTAAGGGCCCTCTGAGTGAAAGCTTCGTGATTCCATCTGTAAAATTCACTTAATGTAACAGTTCATTCCCCAGTGAGGGATAAATGAGGTGTTACAGGTCTGCCTTGTAAGTTTCATGCACACGTTTCATCTCCTTCAACTAGAAGGTGAGTTCTTGCAGGGCTGGAATGCATCTTATGGCACCCAGCACATGTCAATAACTGTTGAGTTAACTGGAAGAGTGAAAGAAGGAATGAGTCTTATCATTCCTTGTGCTAAAGAACATGGACTTGGGAAACAGGAAGATGTGCATTTTAATATAGCTTGAGTCTGAGCCTCACTTTCTTCATTTATAAAATGGGAGCAATATCACCTACCTCACTGGGTTGTTTACAGTTTATTATCATTGCCAAGTTCAGTGTTTTTATTGAAAGAAAGGCAAAAGAGAAAGAATAAATAAAGATCTTAAAGGGTGCAATTAACTCCTTAACTAATATCTTTATTAGACTAATGGCAGCTGTGTGCATGTACCTGTGTTCACTCAAGTATTTCTGAGGAACTGTTAACTGCAAAGTATAATGCTAATCACTGGAAAAGGGGCCATCAGAAAGAGTATTTACCAAGTACCTAAATATACTATGTGCCTAGCACTTTTCTGCACTAGCTATGGGAAGTAGGAACTGCTCTTCCCATACTGAGGATAAGAAAAGCAATGCTCAGAGAGGTTAACTAGCTAGCTGATGGTCAAACAACTTGTAGAAACCAGCAGATGTGACAAGATCAGAGGGTTTAATGAACTAAAATAAAATAGTGAATAACTTGTACATTTCAATAATCATCCTGTACTATTGCTAACGACAAGGTAGTGTGTTAGAATGAGAAGGTGGGTGGGGAAGGAGGAGAGGCTGCCCTAAGTAATTATAGCACATAGGTCAAAATCAAGGTGGGGTTCACTTATAAGGGGGGTAAGGAACTTAAAACTACATGTATTTGTACTGAAATGCAAAAAAGGGTTAATTAAGGAACTTGATTGAAAAGTGACACTTAAAGAATCCTTCAAAAATGCTTCCCTTCTCAGAAACACATCAAATTATTTATCATTATTGCAATTAAAAAAAATTGGGTTGGAAATTTGTCCTAGGCATCTGTGATGTTATTGTTTCTTTGCTGTTAACAAACCCACAGAAGAGCCTTCTGTGCATGGGGAAGGGCAGTGATCCTGGAGGTTCAGAAAGCTGGGGAAGGAAAGAGAGGGTCTGGTAGATACCCACTCTCCCAGTGCAAAGGGTTCCATATGCATTTAGGCCATGGTTTCTAGTTTGCAGGATATAGAAAGAGAGATCGTGCTACAAATACCTCTCCATTTCAGTGCCAGCATGTGTTTCCCAGAGGGTGCTTTTCTGAACACAAGTCCTGTGAGAAGTTCCTGAGAAGGTTCCATGTTCAAAAAGGTTTGGGAAACCCTGCATATCGTCTCTTCTGCTTAGACAATCACAGTGCACATTAGCTAACAAGTTAATGCTGCTGAGAACTCCTGTAGCAAGGAATCTCTTCCACCTTAACATTTCCCAAATGTATTTGTCCATGGAACCCCTATTTCAAATAGCTCCTATTAACAACCTGCAGAGCTAGTTCTCTTAGGTGTTAAATAAAATTTATAGGAGGCCATTGGTTTGGACTGAGCTCTTGCACTAGGCCCAACAGAGCAAACCAAAATGGAGTCACTCATGCAGAAATTCCACTACCAAGCCAAAACGAAGCTGTTCATCTGGCCTTCTAAGAAATCAGGAGAGAGAGATGATAGTCATATTCCCAAACAGGCCAGTTTTAGCCAGCATGATAAGGAAGCCCCCTCTGCTGTAATTTAAACAACGAATGCACTTTTTGGTCTCTGTTTCTGTTTTCCTTTTCTGTCTACAAAGCTAACCTCCTCTGCTCAGCTTATTGGAAAATGAGTATTGCCCAATTCTAGAATCCCAAAAAAAGCCAATTAAGATCTAAATTTGTTGTAATTTCATCTTTTGACATAGGGATACTTTTAAAGATCATCCTTTCCCACCGAGGTTATTTTAACAACCCCCAGGCTCACTTCTCTATAATCATCCTTCACCCTGATAATTGAGTGATTGTTCTAGTAGGAAATCTGACTATGTTTGGGTCTTAATCAAAAACTTTCCATGGCTTCACACTATCTACAGAATAAAGTGTGAACTCTTTAGCCTGATATTCAAGATTCTTCCTGCTGCAGCTTTAAATGACAACCCCATGCTACTCCTTTCTATATTCTGCCTGCTGGCACCCTGCCATTCACCCTAGGTGCTGGCCTTTTTTATTTTGAAATAATTTTAGATTCACCTAAAACTTGCAAAAATAGTACAAAGAGTTCCTATGCACTTTTCACCCAGCATCTCTCAGTGATAACATCCAGCCTTTTCCAAATGATAATCATCATTTACCACTCAGAGCATCTATCTTAAGGAACACGTCCATGTTTGATTCTTCTCTGCATTCCTCCTAGCACCTGGCACTAAGTACAGATCAACAAAGTATAGGCTCCGTGGTGCCCAGATTTGCATTTCATAGTCAATTTTTTTTTAAGTTGAGAACAAAAATAACAAAAGAAAAATATGCCCTCTACTTATCATTACTTCATTGAAAAAATAATATTTTAATAGGAAGGGCAATGTTAGAGTAAGAAACAATCCTGATGAACAAGTGCCTACATTATTCTGCTCGTCTCATTTGTTGCAAGCAGAACCCTTGTGGCCAAGCAGAGCAGACCATCATCTGGTAGGCCAAAAGCTTGGCAAACAAACCAAGGAGGGTTACATTGGCTTTCTAGCACTTTGTCAGATTTATGGTGAGGGGTTTGGGGACTTGTATACTAAATGCAACTCCAAACAAGCTTGGAGTATAAGCACTTATAGCATGGTCACACAAGACTTTCCTTTGTTCTTACAGCAAAAACAGAAGAGATTTGGACTAACGAAGCCCAGAAATTGCATGCAAGACCAAAAGTCCATTTGGAATTCCCAAATCTCTCTTCTGGTGGTAACACCTTTTCTTGGTCTGGGTAGTAAACACATTTCTGTGCACATACAGCTCCCATCTGGGGGCTTGATTCCACACGGCTGCAGTGACTTTCTACAAGCAGATAAGGGTAATGGAAATCACACATTTCTGTGGCCTCCCGTTGTTTCCTTTCTCCTTCTCTGCTACTTCAGCTGGAACGGAGATGAATTTTCCTGCAACACTCAGTCTCCCGAGGAACACTTCTCTCTCCACATACGGCTGAGCTTTTCACAGTGTTTCAGAAGCCCAGAATGATCTTTCTCCAAGGCAGAGCTGACCATGTCAGAGCTCCTTGATGGCTCACTGCTGCCTAATATAATCACGCTCAAACTTTACAGCGTGATCTTCTATGCCCTTCATAAACTGGCCCCGAAGGCCCTTCTAGCTTCTCACTGGGGAGGAAGGAACATGGTATTAGCAATTTCACAACAATGTCTTGTTCTTTCATTCCTTGATATCTTTGTGCATGGTATTGCCTGTACCCAAAAAACTCTTTCTTGCTCTGTCCACTTGGAGAACTCACATTTATCCTGAAAGAATTAGCAGATGTACCAATTCTTCGCTGCAGCCTTCTTGACCCCCACATAGAGAATTAATCTCTCCATTCTCTATGTTCCCATAGCAGCCTGTACAAACTATTAGTAAAATGGGTTAAAAGCCACCTACTTCATGGAACTGCAATGTTTAAGTGCAAGTACACATAAAGCCCTTAGAACAATCCATAGCACTTAACAAATGTGTAGGTATAATCACTGTTATTGTTGTTAAAAACAACGTATTTTTGTTATCTGCTTGTATATTTTTAAACAAGTTAGGCTATGAGCTCATGAAGGACAGAGACTAGGTTCTTCAGATAAATCTCTTATCCCCAGCACCTAGCACAATGCTAGCTATATAGTAGGAGTGAAATAAATTAATTTGTAAGAAATTAATTTCCTCTAGACTCTAAAGTAACATGTTTTCCCTAGAAAATATATAGAAGAAAAAAGTACAAAGGAAAAAAATGTATAAAAGAAAAAAGTACAAAGGAAAAAAAACAAAACCCAGTCACAGCTACAACAGTAATAACTGCTGTTAATGCTCCCTGGTATATATACATTTCCTCCTAGTCTTTTCTTTTACATATTTAAGCATATGTTTATCAAATTAGGTTCATACTGTATATACAGTTTATATCCAATCTCCACTTAACATTATACTATGAGAATTTTATCTTTCAAATATTATTTGAAAACATGATTTTAATGACTACCTAAAATTTCATCAAATGGACAGAAGATGTTATTTTACCAACCTCCTACTATTAGACATCTAAGTCATTTTCAGTTTTTCTGTTTTTGGAAATATTTCTTGACTTGAATCATAAGTTCTGCCAAGGGGTAGGCTAAGTCCCACATTAAACAGAGGACCCCCATCCCCACTTAGGAGTGATGATGGTCTGGTCTAGAAGAGCAGAGGACGAATTCCTCTTTCCTGGGGATGGTTTAAGTGTCTCTTGGAAGGACTAGCAGACATTCACGGATGAGCTCACTCAAGAGGCTGACAGGGCAGCAGGCTCAGACTGAAGTCAGTCTCTTCTTCCTCCCAGCCCCCCTCCATTCTCCATCCCATTAACATTCCTCCTGGGAGATGGCAGTACCAAAGGACAAACAGGCATTGTTGGGACTCAAGGACCCTGAGAATGGGCCCTGTAACCTGAGCCCCACTGGCTTGGATATGCTTGGGCAGGTCACCCTGGGGATGCCATGGTGACAGATGAAAGTGCATCTCAGGGCCTGGATTGTGTTTCCAGGGCACAGGTGTGGGGAGATTATCTTTCTGACAAGCCAAGCACTTATCCCAATCTCTACAGCTGCTTTCTCTTCTCTCCCTGGTCCTAGGCCTACCAGAAATAGCACCCTCAAGCCATTCTCTGTTAAAGCCAAGAGCTGTCTTCACCTGAGCCTTTTTGCCTGAAAAGTTACCAAAAGAACCTGACAAATTGCCTCACTTTGTCAAGTGAAAGAGTGAACAAACATCCTGCATTTTGAATGCCCAGGCAGGCATGTCCCCCGCAAGCCAATGGAGCCTTAAAGCTCTTCCAGGGAGCTCACAGCCTGGCGGGTGCAAAGACTGTCAGCTCTAGCACCGGATCCCCGTGGGCTTGACACTTGCTAGCTGCCTGACCTTTGGCAAATTGCATGATCTCTCTGAGCCTCGGTTGCCTCACTTGTGAAAAGAGGACAATGCTGGTGTCTTAGAACTGCTGTGAAGATGAAATGAGACCAGAGACATAAAAGCACTTAGCACCTTACGTGCTTAGCAAAGGTGTTCCTGTGGAAAACTGCAGAGCTGTGAAGGCACCAGGTGTGTTTGAGAAACAGAAAGTGGCACATGGGGCTGGTGGGTGGGCCTATAGGTGAAGGCCTAGGGACTTGCCTAAAGCATTTGGCCAAGCTGCCGAGGGAGGGTGGGGGAAGGGGTGCCCAAGTAGGGAAAGGCTGTTCTGTTCAGGCCTCAGCAACACCCATTCAGATGTGACTTGGAAGCAGCCTGACCTCTAGGCTCGGAGGCAGGAAGGCAAGCCCTGGCACGGCGCCGGGGCGGGGTGGGGTTGGGGGGGTGTCCCACAAGCAGCAGGTGCTGGGGCAGGGCAGATGTGGGAACAGGAACCCCTTGGCTCTCAGCGCCCACCCCAGCGTGTTGTAGAATCCAGAGCAGACTCTCCCTGCAGCCCGAGGCTGCCTGGACTCACTCTCACCTCACAAAGCTGTCCCTGAAATGGGCAGAGAGCTGACTCTGACACAACACAGGCTGCATTCTTGGCCTGTCTGTAATCAGATTTCTCTTTTGTAAGATTCAACATTTTCTGAGCACCTACTGTGTGCCAGGCACTTTTGTACACAGGCTCTCTTTGGCTCCCATGACAGTCCTGGGGAACTATGGGGCTAGACACACTGAGGACAGCATGTAGTGCTGTGGTGGACCAGGGCTCACTGCTGGCTTTCCTCTGGGGCAGGGGTGTCCAATCTTTTGGCTTTCCCTGGGCCATACTGGAAGAAAAATTGTCTTGGGCCACACATAAAATACATTAACACTAATGATAGCTGATGAGCTAAAAAAAAAAAAAAAAAATCACTTCTGGGTGTGGTGGCTCATGCCTGTAATCCCAGCACTTTGGGAGGCCAAGTTGGGTAGATGGCCTGAGCTCAGGAGTTTGAGACCAGCCTGGTGCAACATGGTGAAACCCATCTCTACAAAATACACCAAAAAAAAAAAAAAAAAAAAAAAAAAAAAAAAAAAAAAAAAGCTGGGCATGGTGGCATGCGCCTGTAGTTCTAATAATTGGATGGCTGAGTGGGAGGATCACCTGAGCCTGGGAGGTCAAGGCTGCAGTGAGCTGAGATCATGCCACTGCACTCCAGCCTGGGTGATAGCACAAGACCCTGTCTCAAAAAAAAAAAAAAAAATTGCAAATAAGGTCTCATAATTTTTTAAGAAAGTTGACTAATTTGTGTTGGGCCACATTCAAAAGCCGTCCGGGGCTGCAGGCGGCCTGTGGGCCAAGGGTTGGACAAGTTTGCTCTAGGGCAAAGGCTGACCGACCTCCCACTCCTCTGAGCCCGTAGTCATTCCTAAGTGCAAGCTCTGTGGGCAACACGAGACAGAATCTATCCCAGAGGAGCCAGTGGGCAAAAGGATGGTCTTGTTCTTGTGCCTTGTATGTGCCAGGCTTCCTGCTTAACTTTTCACAAATACTACCTCATTTGCCTCCCTCTCCCCCTCCTACGTAAAATTTATTATCCTTATTTCATGACAGACAAAAAAAAAAAAAAAAAGGCTCAGTGAGGGAGGTAAATTGCCCAAATGCTCTGCGGTCACAAATTGGAGAAATGGTGATCTGAAGCCAGTTCTGGCTGACTCCAAAGCCTGTGCCCTTCCACGGTACTGTGTCTTTCCAAGAGAAGCCCTGTCAGGCCGGAAGTGCTCAGATTTTCAAATCCAATGAAACTCTCCCTCAAGAGTCGGTGCATGGTCCTGCGAGGGTCTTTAGGACAGACTCTTTCTCCCTAGCCCAGAAATGTGCATCTGCTATTAGCTCCAGAGAAGAGGACTTCAACTCGATATCCTTAATGAATGTGCACCTTTGAGACAAGACGTGCTGAGTTTGCTCAGACAGCAAACGCAGTCTGTAGGTGGCAACCCCCAAGCTAGGGCAGGAGGCCCTGGAGGAAGGGGGAGATTTCACACCCCAACTTCTAGGAAATTTTCCAGTCCTAAAGGAAGTATGTTCTGAAGCTTGAGTTATGTTCCAAGAAGGATCTTGACTCTTGGAAGAAGTGAGACAGAAGAAAAAAAGGACGCCTTGGTGTGGGGGCAAGGGGTGGGCGTCAGTGTGAGCAGCAGACTCTTATCCTGAGGAATGTGGAGAGTGGAAATGTCTGACCCATTGTGCAAATGAGCAGGAAACAAGTCTGGTCCCTTCCTACCCTCTGCCCCTCTTTATATATTACTTTCTCTGCTTCACCAGGAGAAATTCACATTCAACAAATACACATACATCATTTAATTGCCTGTCATAAATTCTCATCTGTCCAGAGGGATAGAAATTTTCAAGGCATATTTAAAAACCATTTTTTTTTCTAGTAGGGAAATGTACCTAGATCTTTAGTGATACTGTAGACAACCTGTTTGAAAATCTTTATAATCCAGGTGTGCTACTTTAATGTGCAAAAATACACCGTCAAGAATCTTGATGACAAAATCAGAATAAATTAAAAGTAGTATGTGGTAAATAAATGTTAGTTTTCTCCATCTCCTATTCTGTACTTAAAATGCTTCTATTTATTAAAGATTCTATTTACCATGTATTTTAGTAACAACAAATTCTGTTTGGGTATAGCCTTTTGGGAAAACGCCTGTTGCACAAAGGTGTGTGTATAACGTGCCTGCCTCACTGCAGAGTGCGTGGTGAGGACTGCGTTTCTGTTCCCCACCTTGGGAGCACTCATACTTTCACATGCCTTATCTCACAGAGGCCATATGACAGGCTAAAGAGGCCACCAGAGCAGCTGGTTTTCTTCTTTCCTTAGAGATAAGCAAAGTGAGGGCCAAGAAGGCAGAGTGACTCTCCAGTGTCATCACTAGTGAGAGGCAGAACTGGGACTGGAAGCAGAAATCTGCCTGGGATGAACTAGCTGACATGTGGTGACTCCAGTGAAAATGCTCAACCTCTGCAGAAGCAGTTTGGGGTTCGTAGTCCTGACTCAGGCAGAAAAAAAAAACAAAGAACCTGATTCTGGTCCACACTTTCCTACCCATCCCTAGTACGTTTGCCAAAAGAAAAAGGCAATGATGAAGATCATTTTCCCTACCTGACCACATGTCTGGGAACCTAGGCTCTGAAAAAACCAGGTTGCCTTATCTGAAGGAGCTGCCTTACTTTGAAACAACAAATTGAAGTTTCTTCTCATCCTCAGTGTCCTCCCAGCCCATCAAATCCCTAGTAGCTTGAAGGGCTAGGCTAAGAGACAGCTTCAAAAGGGCAGAAATCACAGTGCATTTTTATCATCTATTTGAAGATCTGCAGGGCAAGGCTTTTGATGTCAGCTGGCTTCCCTTGGTCTGTCATTCCTGGTGCCCAAGAACAATACTTGAGAGACAGGTCTGGATATCAGGAGCGTTCCTGCTCTTCTCAGATTCGGTACTAATTGTAGCTCTGTTCATTAAATGCTTTCTATTTGCTAGGTACTGGGCTAAGAGCTTTTCACAAAGCACACTGTATCTTCACTTCCCTTTGCTGGGTCAGTATTATTATGCCTTATTTTACAGATGAAACCACTGAGGCTCAGAATGGATTACTAATCTGTCTGGGTCACTCTGCCAGTAAGTGGCATGGCTGGGATTTGAATTGAGGTCTGTCTGACTTCAAAGCTTCTCCCGCCCTTCTACTAAAAACTCTTAATAAAAGGATAAAATCAAATTATTTTCCTGTGATTTTCCACATTATTTCTCTTCTATTAAGGACTGTACTTTGGCTATCTTTTAGATGAAAGCAAGAGTAATTTTGGAAAAACTTCTGTTCATAATCAAAACAACGATTCTCTATAGAGATCTACGTAAGGGCATTCCTTGTTTTATTTCACTTTGCTGTAGCGCATTTTGCAGATACCATATTTTTACAAATTGAAGGTTTGTGGCAATCCTGAGTCAAGCAAGCCCATTGGTGCCATTTTTCCAACAGCACATGCCCACCTCATGTTTCTGTTTCTCATTTTGGTAATTGTTGTAACATTTCAAATGTTTAAACTATTACTATCTCTGTTATGGTGATCTGTGATCAGTGATCTTTGGTGTTACTATTGTAATTGTTCTGAGATGCCACAAACTGTGTCTGGTGTAAGATGGCAAACCTAGTGATAAAGGTTTGTGTTCTGACTGCTCCACTGACTGGCCATTCCCTGTCTTTCTTCCTCTCCTCCGGCCTTTCTATTCCCTGAGACATAATGATATTGAAATTAGGCCAATTAATAACCCTACAATGGCCAAGTGAAAGAAAGAGTTGTGTGCCTCTCACTTTAAATCTAAAGCTAGAAATAATTAAATTCAGTGAGGAAGTCATGTCAGAAGCTGAGACAGGCTGAAGGCTAGGTCTCTTGAGCCAAAGAGTTAGCCACATTGTGAATGCAAAGGAAAAGTTCTTGAAGGAAATGAAAATTGCGACTCCATTGAACACACAAATGATAAGAAGGCAAAACAGCCTTTTTGCTGTTTTATGTTTTATGGAGAAAGTTTTAGTGGTCTGGATAAAAGACCAAACCAGCCACAACACTCCCTTAAACCAAAGCCTAATCCAGAGCAAAGGCCCTAACTCTTTTCAATTCTGTGAAGTCTGAGAGAGACAAGGAAGCTGTCTAAGAAAAGTTTCAAGCAAGCAGAGGTTGGTTCATGAGGTTTAAGGAAAGAAGCAGCCTCCATAACATAAAAGTGCAAGGTGAAGCAGCACGTGCTGATGGGAGAAACTGCAGCAAGTTATCCAGAAAATCTAGCTAAGATTGTTGATGAAGGTGGCTACACTAAACAGCAGTTTTTCAACATAGACAAAACAGCCTTCTATTGGAAGAAGATGTCATCTAGGACTTTCATAGTTAGAGAGGAAAAGTCAATGCTTGGCTTGAAGCTTCAAAGGATAGGCTGACTCTCTTGTCAGGGGCTAATGCAGCTGGTGAGTTGAAGTTGAAGGCAGTGCTCATTTATCATTCCCAAAATCCCAGTGCCCTTAAGAATGATGCTAAATCTACTCTGCCTGTGCTCTTTAAATGTAATGACAAAGACTGGATGATGGCACATCTGTTTACAGCATGGTTTACTGAATGTTTTAAGCCCATTGTTGAGAGCTACTGCTCAGAAGAAAAGACTTCTTTTAAAATATTACCACTTACTGACAATGTACCTGGTCACCCAAGAGCTCTGATGGAGATAACTAAGGAGATGAATGTTGTTTTCATGCCTGCTCATGTAACACCCATTCTTCAGCTCGTGGATCAAAAAGTAATTTTGACTTTCAAATCGTATTGTTTAAGAAACACATTTTATAAGACTATAGCTGCCATAGATAGTGATTCCTCTGATGGATCTGGGCAAAGCAAATTGAAAACTTTCTGGAAAGGATTTACCAATCTAAATACCATTAAGAATGCTCAAGATTCATAGGAGAGGGGTGAAATATTAACAAGAGTTTGGAAGAAACTGATTCCAGCTCTCACGGGTGACTTTGAGAAATTCAGGACTTCAGTGGAGGAAGTAACTGCAGGTGTGTTGGTAGTAGCAAGAAAAATAGAAGTGGAGCCTCAAGATGTAACTGAATTGCTGCCATCTCATGATAAAACTTTTATGGATGAGGAGTTGCTTCTTATGGATGAGCAAAGAGAGTGGTTTCTTGTGATGGAAACTACTCTTGATGAAGATGCTGTGAACATTGTTGAAATGACTGCAAAGAATTTAGAATATCATATCAACATAGTTGATAAGGCAGAAGCAGGGTTTGAGAGGACCGACTCCAGTTTTGAAAGAAATTCTACTGTGGGTAAAATGCTGTCAAACAACATTCCATTGTACAGAGAAATCTTTCAGGAAAGGAAGAATCGATACATGAGGCAAACTTCATTGTTTACAGAGTACCCACCGTGTGCACTGGTCTCACGTACACAGTGACCACACACCTGTATGGTCTGGATAACCCTGTAATAAATATTGTCTATAAATAACCAAGAGGCTGAAGCTTAGAGAGGGGACTCAACTTGCCCAAGGCCAGACAGCTTCAAGGCTCAGTTTCAGAAACCAAGACTCCCTGGTCACAACAGAACCCTCCAACTACAGGATGCAGCAGCTTCTGTGTGTGACTGGATTGTGGTCTAGGCTTGAGGTAGGGAGTGAGGTGGGGACAGGGTGTGTGGGGACCTGGAAAAGCAGAAGGAGACAGACAAGACTTTATTCCCAAACACTGCCTCCTCAGAAAACTTTAAAAAGAGAAGTTTACCTTTGCAATCTGGAGGAGGTTTTCATGTTTCAGCTCATGCTGAATTGTTTTATGCCTTAGCTATAAACCTCCGACAGAGAGAGTGCGGGGGCAAGGCTGACCCAACTTTAAGTATGGCTGTGCTGCTGTAAAGCTCAGGTTACGAGGATCACTTCTGGTGCCAAGGCAGTTTAACAAGTATGAATGTGCATAATTCATTCCAGTTGTCCTGCCTCGGCACAGAAGGGCTATTTCTGGGGTGGAGCTCCCTACACTTCTGCCAATGTGGTTCCCATTACTGGATCCGGTGCCTTGCTGAAGTTCCCTCCATGCCCAGGAAGGGCCTGTTTTATCACAACTGCCAAACCATCGGTTCTCTGTAAAGGTTTGGAGGGGTTCTGTATTCCAAGAGGCGAAGTCAATGCTTGGTGTAAAGCATTGCTTGGTTGTGAGGGTGGGCTCTCATGAAAAAAAGCACCCAATCTCACCCGTCCCAAGAAATCTTTCCAAAACCCAATTGCTATTGTCCAGTCTCTAGCCAATCTAAGTACAGGCACTCCCATTTTCTATTTTGAAAAATCTCAACCCTAAGGAAAAGTTGAAAGAATAGTGCAGAAAAGCCCATATACTCTTCATCTAAATCTGTCAGTTAATATATTGCCACATTACTTCATCTCGATGCATAAAAAGTTTTTCTGAATCATCTGAAAGTTGTAGACTTCAGTACACTTTATATCAGCACACATCTCCTAAGAATAAGAGCATTCTATCATCTAACCACAATATGACTATTAATGAATAATTATTCCATATCACCTAACATACATACTATAGTTTAAAATTTCTCCAATTCTTCCCAACTGTCTTTTTTTTTTTTTTTTTGAGACGGAGTCTTGCTCTGTTGCCCAGGCTGGAATGCAGTGGCAGTGATCTCGGCTCACTGCAAGCTCCGTCTCCCGGGTTCATGCCAGTCTCCTGCCTTAGCCTCCCAGTAGCTGGACTACAGGCACCCGCCACCGCGCCTGGCTAATTTTTGTATTTTTAGTAGAGATGGGGTCTCACAGTGTTAGCCAGGATGGTCTCGATCTCCTGACCTCGTGATCTGCCTGCCTTGGCCTCCCAAAGTGCTGGGATTACAGGCGTGAGCCACTGCGCCCGGCCCCCAACTGTCTTTTTTATAGCATTTAGAAAAACAGGATTCAATCACTTGTAAGAGTCAAGTTTTTGGCTGATTTCTTTAGTCTCTTTTAATCTACCAGAGCCTCCTACCCACCCAAATACTCATCAGTCCTTTTGTTCATGGTATTAGCCTTTTTGAAAGTCCAGGCCAGTTATTCTGTAAAATGTCCTGCATTCTGGATGTGTCTGATTGTTTTCTCATAATTGGATTCAGGTTACATGTTTTTGGCAAGTGTACCTCATGTGTGATGAGACGTACATCTTACTGCGTCATATTAGGATGGCTCACTAATGGAGTGCTAAGTTTGGTCACTTGGTTAAGGTGGTGATTCCTAATCTCCCCACTATAAAGTAACTCTTTTCCCTTTGTAATTAGTAAGTAATTTGTGACACAAAGCCCAGTCTCTTTAGATCATTTACTTAAACTGCCTCTGCCAGCTCCCCTCCCATCTATCCTCCTCTGGTTTTAGCCTCCACATTCTGAAAATGCCCTTACCAAAGTCGCCAGTGGTCACATGGATGCCAAACTCAATAGGCATTTTCATATTTGCGTTTTGAACCCTCAGCAGGACTGGATGTTAATGCTCAGGCCCTTCCTTGAGGGCAGGAGCACTGTCTTATATATGTCAGTACTCTAGGGACCAGCTCAGTATTTGACACACAGTAGGTGTGCTAGAAATCTTTGTGTAATGAATAAATGAATACATACATTGAGAGGAAGTCAAGATTGGGAATCAGAAGGCGTGGATTTGAATCCCAGCTCTGCAACTTTCCATAAAATAAAAGGGTTGATCTAAATCAGTGGGTTTCAAACTTGGAAAAAATCCTAATATTAGAAGTTATCTTTAAATAGGATCTTTATTCAGAAGCAAATGTAGGAAACTGATCAAAGGGAGCAAGCTGCTTTTGTTGAAGCAGGCAGCAGAGGCTAAATGGTGTTGCTCACAAGACTAGGGGCTTGGGGAAGGATCAGAGGGGCTCAAGAAGTAGGGAAAGGGTGAATTCTGGTAGGCCATGGCTGCCAGGTGAAGTTGGAACTGAAATCTGCAGCATTAGGTTTCAGCAATGAAAGGAACAGCTGGGAAAAACAGCCTGGTCTGGTTAGTTGTGGGCCTGCTGCATTTGGAGAAAGAAACAAGCCAAGCTAGGAAAGCACAGTACAGAACTGGGTGCAGGGGGAGGTGGGAAGTCAGGAATGATCACTGTCCTCTCTCTGTCTCGGTTTCCTCCTCTGAAGTCCTTTGTCATTTGAATGCTCTTTGATTCTCTCTCTCCATTATTCCAGTGTTCCCCTTTGGTTGGCGGGGCGGGGGGTGCATCAATGGATGATGAGCAGGGTCAGCAGAGGCCTCCTGTGTTCTGAGGGGGCTCTAAGGGACTCAGGGCCATTCCACTGAGTGATTTGATGACCTGAGAAGCCTGCCCATTGTCCAGGCCTTAAAGGGCCACTGCCCCTTACCATTAACCCACCTCAGGACAAAGGCCATCACCAGCTCAGACAAATAAGCTGCTTAGCCAGACCTCATGCATCATCTTGTCATCCACACAGGGCCCAATAGAGGCATCTGAACAGAGCAGAGAGCCGGAGTGCAACTCAGCGGTTTCCATTCAGGGGCCTCTGGCCAGGGGTCATAAACTGCTCCCAAAATGTGCATGCAGCTTGATCCTCTGTGCAGCAGGGTAGGGTATAGTGCAGGGCGGGGGGAGAATAAATCCCTGATCTGCTTTAGAGGTTCCCTTAGACCCTATGGCTGCCTGAGGGTTGTCAAGAAAGGGAGAGATGGCTGTTAGATAAGGGAGGCAGTCTGGTGGGAGTGAGAAAAGATTGTGAAGAGCCAGGCACACCTGGGATGCAAAAATGCCACTTACTATCTCTGTGACCTTGGGCAAGTTATTGTATCTTTCTTAGGCTCTGTTGAGTAAAACACTAACCAGAAAAATGACAACAATGATAGAAATTTCCATTTATTAAGACTGTACGATAACTGGGCACTTTGCTAAGTACTTCACATATATTATTTCACATTGAATTCTAATACCACCAATGATGTAGGTATTATTAATATTATCCCTGTTTTACACATAAGGGAAAAATGAAAACTCCGAGGTTAAAAGCATTTGCTAAAGATCACAGCTAATAATGACAGAGCCAACATTCAAACCCACACTCTTAGCTCTTCTGCTCTAGAGCCTCCCAGCTGAGCAGACTCAATGGAATGAGAAAGGCGAAGCCCCTGGCACACTGTAGGTGCTCAGGAATGGGATTTGCTCATCTGTTCTGCTGTCCAAAGGTGTGATCAGGCCCTCTTTGATTCCAGCACACCTGCCTGCAGGTTATGTTGCTTGTCTCCTCCCACATCAAACCCCGGGAAAATGCAGCGTGCTCAAGGGCTGCTCCCTGAGAGCTGGAAGGGGATGGATGGAGAGTGGGCTGTAAAGCTGGCCTTTGCCATGGCAGCCCTTCCTTCCTAGAAAGGAAGAGAGCCTTGCCTTGTCCCCCTGTCTGCGCAGAGGACTGCAGTGCTTCCTTCATGTGTGCCCAATGCACATGGCTGCCCATGGTGGGCACAGATGAGGTCTGACCAGAGTTCACTCTCCAGCACAGGACCCCACACAGAGCACACACCAGGAAGAGTCTGCTAAATGAATGGACAGATGAATGAATGAATGGAGGAAATAAACACTTCCAGACCCCACAATTAGGTTGGGAGCATTTGGTTACACACAAATAACAGACATGCAAAGTCTGTATGTCTAGGCTCATCCTTATACCAGAGCTCTGGTCTTAGTCGGCTTAGGCTGCTGTACCAAAATTCCATAGACTAGGTTGCTTAAATAATAGAAATTTATTTTCCCATAGTTCTGAAGGCTGGGAAGTCCAAGATCAAGGTTCTGATGGGATTCGGTTTCTGGTGAGGGCTCTCTTCGTGGCTTGTAGATGGTCACTTTCTTGCTGTGTCTCACATGGAGGAGAGAGAGCTCTTTGGGGTCTCTTCCTCTTTTATAAGGACACTGGTTCTATCTGATCAGGGCTCTACCCTTATGACCTTATTTAATCTTAATCACCTCCTTAAAGGCCTTATCTCTGATGCCATCACATAGAGAGTTAGAGCTTCAACACATGAATTTGAGGGTGGTGAATGTTGATGGTGAACACAATTCAGTCCATAGGAGCCCTATAGATACATAAAAGTAAAGTTCACTTCCAGATAAGCCTGAATGTGCAAACTTGCCTGTGTTCCTCAGTAGTTAGCACCTTTCTCTAGGAAGTTCCCCCAACCTCCCAGTTTGCATTACACCTCTGTAGCCCCACACACCCTGGCACACTCCGTCACCAGTTCCCCTTACTAGTGGCTGCTTCAGGGCAAACTGTTTAGTGTGTTTCTGTCTCCCCAACAGGGGTGAGCTGACTGCTTTCTATCCTCCATGGACCCTGGCACACAGTAGGTCCTTAACAAAAAATTTGCTGAGTTGAATTGGTTCTGAGGGTCAACAAGCCTCATTTTTCCTCCATATCACTCGAAATCAGAAAGACCTTCCCTATTTTCACTCTGATTAGTGAGGCTTTGGTCTTTTCTGCCGACATCACCAGACACTGACCAGAGGCTGTGTTGAATCTGCATGAAAGTAATAAACTCGAGGAAGGATAGGGCTCTGGGAAGAAGGGCTGGGGCTGCCCTGCTAAGGATCAGGACCCGAGCTGCCAGCAGCGGGAAACCCAGGGAGGGCACTAGCAGGGGCTCTTTGAGAGGTAACAGCTGGAACAACGTGAGGGATGGATTAAAGGGAGAGACAGGGGCAGGGAGGCCAGAAGGATGCTACTGAAGCGGTCCAGGAGAAAGGAGACATAGTAGGAATGTTTTGGCTAAGAGGAGCAGCATTTTGTAAAACTAGCAAATAGACAGGGATCATCTCCACTTCCATTTTTGCTCCTTCTCAGGATAATAGCAGACCGGTGATCACAACTTTAGTTTTGATGAGATAACCTCCTTATCTCCTAAAAATGGTCTCTATTATTTTCCAAGAGAAGACCAGTAAACACTAAACACCTGCCTTGATCTCAGTGTCTTAGATGTTTTCCTGTTTCTCCTTTATCCTAGCAAACTCCCCAGGTTGCTATTCTTATTCCCATTTTATAGATGGGCAACTGGGTAAGAGAGGTAAGCTTGGTGAGGTCACTGAGATAGTGGGGAAAGGAGCTTGGTTCACATCAGGTATGCATTCCCCCAAGGTTCCACTGGGGCATCTGAAGAAGGGTTTCTGGAAGTGCAAATATAGGTACTGTTGTTGTTAGCTGGTTAGCAGCTTCCCAGAGTTATTTATAGAAATAGGATCCACCAGGAAAGAGGGAGTGGAGCATAAATGAATTACCAGTCATTTTCCTTTCCTTTCAACTCTGGGGGAAGGCCAGCTGACCAGAAGGAAAAAGCATCACAGCGTTTCATCTGGTACCAAACATCAGCACTCCATCGCTGGAACTATGGGGACTGGAAACAGCATACGGGCTCCAGCAAGAGCATCTGAAGCTTTGTCTCTGAGACTACATGCTATGTTTGTTTAGCTGGTGCCTTGGGCTTACTGTCCCACCCGAAATCTCTGGAAATCACCCAGGAGGGGGAGGGGGATTAAAGATCATGACTCCCAGGCTGAGCTGTTAATTGCTGGGGCTCTTCCAAGCCAGGAGGGGTAAGAGTGTAGGAATCTGCTTGCCTCCCAGGAGTATCTGGCCAAAAACTTTTGGGGTCCAGAAAGGGAATAAGGAAACTGACATTCACTGGGCATCTATTATATAGCAATCACTGTGAGAGAAGCCTTATCCATATTTTCTCATTTATACCACAATTTTGTGAAGTACAACTGCCCCTCCAAATCCATGGACTCAACCAATGGTTGACTGAATATCAAAAATAGTCAGAAAAAAAAGTATAAAATTTAAAAATACAATATAACAACTATTTACATAGCATTCACATTGTTAAGTATTATAAGTAATATAGAGATGATTAAATTATACAAGAGGATGTCTGTAAGTTATATGCAAATACTATGCCATTTTATATCAGGGCTTGAGCATCTAGATTTTAGTATCCCTGGAGGTTGCTGTTGCGGGGAGGGTCCTGGAACCAATCCCCTGTGGATCAAGAGAGAAGACTGTACTATTCTCCATTTTACAGACGAGACTGAGGCCCAGAGAGGTGAAGCAAATTGCCCAAGACTACACAGCACAGACCTGTAAACCTCCACAACCTATTTTTCCCTGCCATTGCTCCACATTGTGCCATTTCTGTTTTTCTTCTGGCTTCAGTCCTTTTAGGCCTTATAAAGCAGAGGGAATTTTTTTTAGTTGTTTAATCTCAAACACCTATATAAATAATGGCAGTTCAGAAGGAGAGGAAGGGAAGGGAGAAAAGGAAGCCACAAAGTTTCCTGGTTTAAACTGGGAGCCATTAACCAGTAATGGGGGATCCAGCTGAGCTCAAAGCACCCAGCTCAGACATGATGACAGGGGCAGAGGGCAGGGGGCTGCCTGGGGAAGGGTGGGAACAGATGGCTCCCAAAGACCACGTTTAGGAAATGGAAGAAGGATGGGCCTGAGAGCAGCGAGAGATGTTTATTCTCAAGGTGAGCAGGCTGTGTGGGGGCAGCATTAAAATCCTACAGAGTACTGGAAAAAGCCACAGAGCTGTGTACCCAAGGGATGTGATTTCAGGTGATTACAGTGAGAACAAACATTAAATAACACCGAGTCACATGCAGAATAGCTTCTATTTTCTTTCAACCCTTTGGATGATGTCAAAGAGGAAGTCTAAGTTGGGAACTAGTGTGTTTTCACCACCTATCAGTTGCCAATGTCCTTGTTTAATGCAGAGAGGCAAATCTCTCCTCACTGTCCTTGAGCAGACATTCTGTCACCAGAATGGGATAACCTGCTTTCATAGTATTTATTTTTACAGTTACCTTCTATTTATGGCAAGTCATACACTTGCCATATGGCAAGTGGAATGCAGCAGTAATATACAATTTCCTTTTGAAATAAAAAAATTCACTAAAGGAGAAAAAGTTTGGAAAAGGCAGCAGTTTAAAGGAACATAAATAACCATTTAGGTGGGCACACCGCTGTGGCACAGACTAAGACAGTGACACAGAAATGAATATGGTTTGGGAAATGCTGGTTTCATCCAGTTCTCTCACTGCTCAGACTAGAAAGCCGAAGAACCAACAGATGAGCCTTTTGCAAGGTGACACAGCAGGCTAGAGGCAGAACTGGGATCAAAGCAGATCTCCTGCTTCCAGGCCTGTGCCTCTCTGTAAGCAGGTTTTCATGATGAGGCTTCTCCAGATGAAGTTTGTAACTGGGAAACTGAGCTCACATGATAGCAGCGGGCCTCACATGATGGCAGTGAGCCTCACATGTTGGACTGACCATCCATGAACAAAGCCCAAACTAGTTCCAAGCCTTGTGGCCAAGGGGCAGCTCTGTGCTAAGCTGCATCTCCCTGAGCCTGTTTCTCACATGGACACAGTGTTCACCCTCCTTCACATTTCTCCAATCTCACAGGACTTTTCTGTGGATCCAGTGAGATGACAGAGGAGAACGAGCTTCGGGAATGAGAGGGTACACAAATGTTAGTTCTACTAATCTCCCACACTCTCCTTGGCCTCCTTCCAGGTGCCTCTTCAACGGTCTGGGCCCTAAAGTGTCAGGAGATGGTTTAAAATGTGGTCTGGTGTCCACAAGGGATCCATGGAGCAGACCATGACCATTTCAACAGGGTCACAAACTAGGCTTAGTTTCCAGATGGAGAAAGCCTGGACACATAGCTAATGTGCCTTCCTCGGGGAGTGGTGTAGGAATTCCTAGGTCCAATCAAGCCATACATGGAAAAGTGTTATTTTTGTACCTTTTAATGCAGTGGTATTTGGGGAAATTAGTGGAAAAGGAACTGCAAAGAGTCTACAATGAGTGACTAATTAGAGGGCCCTGGTTCTCCCAGGATGTTCAGTTACATTAATTCAAAACGTGACCTGTTTATTTTGCAAGGTCAGGAAGAAGCCTTACCTCCTAGAAAGCCAATGTGGCAATTAAATTAGAGTCACCAGAGTTTCCCAGAGGTAATGTATGAAAAAGGGCTTTGTCAACAGTATAAAAACAGAAGTGACCCCTGTGAGGTTGTCACCACTGCCCTCAATGCGGGGCCATAATGGTCTGCCCCAGGTGGAAGGCCATAGGTGAGAGCTTGTCTAATTAAGGGAGGCACCTGGTAGAGTGGAAAGAACACTGGAGTCTGGGGCCATGCTTTGCATCTTGACTCTGTACCTAGACAAATCGCTTCATCTCTGTGACTCTCCACAGCTGTATCATGTATGTGCCTCAGTGCCCCGTTCCTAGGGTTATTGCTGTGCATGTGTGTGGACGGGGTGCTGGTGGAAAGAAGGAAGAAAGGAAATCAGCACTTTTTTTTTCAATTTTGATTTTAGCACATACACATACACAGGGCACTGTGCTCAGCCCTGGAGATAGTGTACACAAGGCCTACCTCTAGGAACTGGGAGTTGCACGAGGGAACCAGAAATGTGAATAACTAGGTCCCAGACTGTTAGGGAGGAGTGAGTACAGAAGACAGTGGGGCATCAAAGAAAGGGGGCCCGACAGCAGACAGTCTATCAGGAAATGCTCCTTATCAACTCAGAGTTGCCAAGTTCTAGGCTTCTGACCACTTGGCTTCTTTCCTGCTGAATTTCCAGGCCTGACAGCCACCCAGCCTGCTGGTGTTGGCCTCCTGAACTCTCATTTCTATAGCAGAGCGGCTAGGCCTTTCTAAGCAGTGATTATGGATAAACAATAAGCACATCTATGGAGCTTCCTGGTCAGCAACTTGTACCTGTATCATGCTGTCTAGTTTTCAAGTTATCTAGTTATCTCTACAACCATGAGTAAGTTGCTAAGTCTTTCTGAGCTCCGCTTCCCTCATTTTTAAGAAGACACAATTCAGGATCACCATCTATTAGCCATCATTCTGAAACCCCAAAACTCTGAGACTAAATGTTTAACCAAAACTCATTTAGAGGCAAAACCTGACCTGAACTGACATGAGGCTTGGAGTCATTTTAAAATCCCATGAGTATAAGTATTCATGTTTCACGGCAGAAATAGTGATGTGTTTGATTACTGCAGGAGTGTTAGGAGAAATACAAAATATGCACTCCATTTTCTTTTTTAAATCTGAACATTTCCAAATTCTAAAGTGCTTCTGATTCCAAGGGTTTCATTTAAGGAATTTTAACCCAATAAATTAAATACCAATTTTAAAGGGTCTCTCTGTTTAGAATACCCTTCATCCCTCATCTCTCTGGAAAACATCCACAAACATTTAAAATGTCATCATGAATGAATGAATAAAGGAAGAAATCAATTTGTCTTGCCAACAGGAGTTAGGTACTTAACTTTGCTACATAGCTGGTGTAGTAAGAATTTATTTACCAACGAGGGTCTTTTGCTGCAAGAGAGTTGAGAGAAGTGGTGAACAACATTGCTGAAAACTTTACCTACCCCAGTGTTCTACACCCTCAGAACTAGGTAAAGAAGCACATCCAAGTAACTGCAGTTGGCATGAAACAACAACAACAACAACAACAAAATCCCAGGCTCCACGAAATTCATAGTGAAAGAAGACAAAAATCTCACTGGACCTTCCTTTCAACTGTTAGAAACAGGCACAATTTTGCTTTCTGATTTCATAAACTGACTTAAAAGGACCTTGGTTGACACCCCCAGGGACTCTGAATAGGTTCTCAATTAAGTTGAATTTTTTGTTTTAAGAAAACACTTTTAGAAGGAGCTTACAAACATGGCAGTGTTTCCCATTTAGAAAGAAAAATAAACACTCCTCCACTGGATTGGTAGTCAAAACAAAATAATCCCAGCTGCTTAAGACCTGAGAAAGTCAATGAAACTGCCAAACAACAGTGATGCTGACCAGTGAGAAATTTGTAAGGCAAGGCAGTAAGGACCCAGTGCTGAAAAAAGAAAAGACCCATGGACGGCCCAGCATCCAAAGTTTGGCTCTGAGGAAGCTGCACCAAAGTTTAGTGCCCGGTCATCTGGTCTGATTCATCTCATATAACAGGGGCTTCGTAAAGGTTTGTGAGGTAAAAGGAATCCAACAACTTGGAATTCTCTTAAAACCAGCTTTTCTTTGGTGGAATTCCTCTTATCTTCTTCAAACTCCTACTAAGGAGAAGACAAAAGTAACAGGATCTGATATTTGAAACAAAACAAAAAAAACAACAGAAGGAAAAAAAAATGGGGCTCTAGAGTCAAACAGGCTTGGGCCTGAATCTTTTCCATGCCCTTATGACCAATGACTAATGGGCAAGTCACTGCCCCTTATTGAGCTTCAGTTTCCTAAACAGTGAAAGGGACATAAATTGAGACACAAATACGATAATGCATGTTTTATAGAAAGACTTCGAGCACATAGAAAGTCCTTATTAAATGTCAATTCTCCCACCCACCCACTACCTTACCTAGGCTTTGAGAAACTGACACATCTCTCAGAGCTATTTATTCCCCGACCCTCTTAAATATTAACCACCAAGTTTTTAAAGCCCCTTTGCTTTAGAATTTAGATGAGAACAATTCACGAAACATTTAATATTTATTCTGAAAAGTTTCTATGGGGTAGGGACGAATACCTACTTAATCCTAACCACTTCCTTTGCTTTTTCAACTGTGACTAGTTGATATTTTAGTGAAATCTTTCTTTATATATATCAGTGATTTCTGGATGATTACCCTTGGGGAAGGATTAGGATTTTGATAAGAGAAAAAGCTACTTCCCCTGTTTTCTTCTCCACAGGGACAATGAGCTGTTCTGTGATACCCCACGGTCCTCTTTGCACTTTACATGGGGATTTTAGCAGGGCAGCTCTGAGGCCTACCAGATCTGGGATGGCAGCTCAGGCTGGAGTTGACACAGCTGTGGGCAGAGGGCCTCTGGGGTGATGCTGGAGAGTCCAGCGCAAGCTCCCGGGAAGGCTGGCTCCAACAGCCTCAGCTCCCACCATAGGAAACTGTCTCATTTTCACCCTTTAGGAGCCAAAGAGGCATTCTTTGTAATTTAAAATATAATCTGAATGCAGTCCCAGCTGGCCCTAAAGCAACTGCTCTGTTGAGGGTGGTCTCCAAGGTCTCAAATTGGTGGAAGGAGATGGGGGTGTGGAGATAGGGAAGAGAGATAGAAAAGTTTTATCAGCTTCAACTTTTTTAAATACCACAACAACCTTGGAAGGTTTTCTCCCATTTCACAGATGGAGCAACCAATGCTTTCAGAGGTTGGAAACATTGCCTAGAGTTGCACATCTGGGATCCAATTTCAGGCTTGTCTCTAGAGCAATGGCTATAGCTCTCTGCTACACTGTGGTCCTTAAGCATTGCTTGCTCATTGGTTCATTCACTCACTCATTCAATGAGCACTAAATTAAAAGTCTCTGAAAAACCATGCACCAAACTGTTAAACGTAGTTATATCTCGGAGGAAGGATTATAAGAGAACTTAACATTTTACCTTTCCATATTATTTGAATGTTAACAAGCATTGCTACTTTTATAATTGGCAGAAACAATAAAGATAATTCCATTAAAATAATTTCACATTTTTTCCATGAAAAAAATCAAATTAAAAACCATAAAAGCATTTATTAGGCCTGCTACATCTACGTACCAGGGCCCTCTAATCTTCACTCACTAGTGCTGAGTCCACACCAGTACCAGCATGTCCTTTGGCTCATAGAAGATCCCTGGTTTTGGGTTTCAGGAGAGAGGAAGGCAGTAGGCAGGGTCCAGATGGCAGAGACTCATTGAGCTCTCTCATGATCCCAACCCCAGAGGAACAGACCAGTAAGGACCCAGACTCTTCCTTCAGGCATGAGACATGCTTATTACCAACTTTTAGAGTGACATTCAGAGCAAGGGCCTGGGGAAGGGATCCAAAGTGACAAGGTCCCCTGGGGTGCAGGAGCATGGAGGAGCAGCAATGAGCAGACAGCTGCAGGCTAAAGTCCCCCATCTCCTTCCCTGCACATCAATAATGCAATAATGTCATCAATTTGCCTTAGAACTCGCAACAAAGTGATTGCTCTTGTTCACTAATTTGCAAAGGAAGAGATTAAGGACTTTAATCTCTTGCCTTCTCTTCTACGTGTAAGGCTTACTCAGAAATGAACAAAGAACATCATTACACATATACACACACACACATATATATATATTTCCCCCCTACCCCATAAGCTTAAGAAGGCTACTGGCAGGAATAACTTGTGACACTCCTAAAATCAGGGTACCTTAGAAATTGCTCCATCACTGGCAAAATGGGGAAACTGAGGCTTAGAAAGACAGTGATTTGCCAAGGATAAATAGCCAGTGAGCCACAAAGCTGGGTCTGGAACCAGGTCTCCTTGCTCCCAGCCCAGGGTTCCTGTGTTTCTGTGCATCATTTGAAACACAGGCAGCTAAAAGGCATAGAGGAGTAGGGACATTGAACCACCAAGAAAACAAGCCCACCCCAGGGAGCACTGAGAAAAAAGGAGGAGGTTTGGGTCTTGGTCATGGAGAATGCAGGGTGTAAAATCCTGTCAGAAGAGAATCATCAAGGACAAAGATCTCTCTGATTTCCAAAGACAGTGGAAGCGGGGAGGTCCTAGCTAGAAAAGGAGGGTAGGTAATGACCGCCCTTCATTGTCATTTGGTGGGGGAACTCAAGCCAGTTCTCAGAAGAGCTCAGGTGACTTTCACCACATGGCCTTCCATACCCTTCCAAGGTTCACACCTATTTACAGCCCAGGCTCTCAGGTTTAAAAGAGCTGGGGCAGGCTTCCCTTGTCCCCACCTCAAGTTCTTTGTCCATGTGTTCCCTCTGCCCAGAACACCCTTGGTAATCTCTGTCTGGCACACCTCACTAATTTCTTCAAGTCCTGTAAGTGCCTCCTTTAGGAGGCATTTCCTAATTCTCTTAGGCAGAGTAGAGGCTTCTTCCTCAGTCACAGAACATACTAGGTTCCTACCGCCTTTGCCACCTTCGGCTATAATGATGTACTCCCAAGAGAAAAGATGGCATCTGACATTTCTTGGAGCATCCCCAAGTGCCAAGCAGTGTGCTGGGAGCTTTCACAGACAGGCTGTCTGTAAATCCCCTAGAGGCAGGTGGAGGGGACCAGGCAATGACTAACAGTTACCACACTCCTTCTGTGTTCCAGGCACTGTGATGGGTGCTCATCATGAGGTGGGCACTACAATGGCCACTTGACCCTTGAAGAAATAAGCCTGGAGAGGCAATGTGACTTATCTAATGTCCCACAGCAATAAAGCTTGTATGTAATTCAAAGCTGTTTGGTTCCAGAGCCCATAGACTGTCTTATCCCTCTTTGAACCTCTGCCTCCTTTTTCAGAATCTGGCCTGGAATTTAGTACCACACAAGCACTTATAAATAAATGTTTGCCAAATCAACACAAAACCTACAGTGTTATTTGTGGGGAAACAGTTTCATTTCCTCTCTTCTCCAAACATCAGGAAATCCTGGGGCTATTAAGGTGATCCTAGGTTACCTCATGTACATCCTGCCCCACCTCTTAGAGGTTTGAATTCCTTCCTGGGTTTCCTTGCAAAGAAGCTGACTGGCCTCTGCTGGACAGAGAGGGCAAGCACCTTGGCTCAAGTCTAACAGCACCTGATCAGGGGATACAAGCTGGTCACCCTGGAGCTCTTCTGCCATACCCCACCTCCCACCTTAAGAACACCAGGACAGAGCTCAGAATAAGAGAGCTTGCAGATCCATGCTTAAACCCAGTGGCTCTCTCTGCAGCCGGCATTTAGCCCTGCAGCTGGCTGGGGCTTCAGGGCCGCCTGTCTCCAGGCTCTGTGAAACTGGAGAACTTTTAAAGCCAGCGCTGTTTTATGGGTAATGGGGTAATCCTTCTCAGTTTTTCCAGTGAAAATGGGGACACTAAAATACTGAGTCTCTGGGCATGGTTGTGACAGTGCCTGGCACAGTCCCTGGCACAGAGTAGGTAGTTGGTTGGTGTTGCCTATGTCTTAACCTTTTTTTTTTTTTTCTGTCTGTGTCAATCTTTGTCTCTACCTTTACCTGTCTGGGCCTTCACCTGATGTTTCCTTCTCGTGATGTCTGTCTGTGCATCTTTGTCGGTACATCTGCCTGTCCGATGTCTCTCATGGGGGTTGGGGACAGAAGCAGCCCTCCAACTCTTGCACACTCCAGCGGCGCCGCGGGGCAAGAGCGGGGCTGCCTGAGCCCGCGGAGCCACGTCAGGCCCCCAGCTCCCCCGGATCCCACCACGCACCAGGCCCCTCCGCCCGGCAAGTGGCCCAAGCAGGCATCCGCAACGGAAGGACAATTTTAAAAACAAACCCTCAAAAGTAGGAAGAGAGAGGGACTTACCGTTCGCCGCGACCCCCAGGCTGGCGGAGCCACTTTTAACTAAGAATGAATTAGGGACAAACTCTTCCTCAGAGTCTGAGTCCGGGGTTGGCTGGGCCACACCGTTGCCTAGCAACCGCCTCTGGCTCTCATTGGCCGGAGGGGAGGGGGGCGGGGAGGGGGACTGCTCAATAGGGGTTGATGAAGCAGGATGAACAATGCAAGGGAGCACCTGCGAACCACAAAGACAAACACAGACAGAAAAAATAATGAAAATTGATTTTGAGGCACACGGGGAGGGGGAGGGAGCAAAATAAAACACTCATCAACGGGAAGGGGGGGCTCCCAACACGGGGCGATCTACTGCACACGTGGGCCGGGGGCGGGGCTGATGCCTCCACAGAGAAAGTTGCTGCAAACTCCTTCTGAAGAGCTGGGGCCTCAGTGCAGGCTGGCAAAGAGGGAATCTCGGAAGCACACGGAAAGCCTTTTCTGTTCTGCCTGTTCTTTAAGACATACCTGAAAACCCGGGGTCTAGTCCTGACGGGGCTAGGTGATCTATCAAACAGCTGCCCCTCTCTGGCCTCAGTGGCCTCGCTGATAAAAGCAGCAGTGGGGACTGGGTGATCCCTGAGCCCCTATAAGCTGGCCATTCTGTGATGTCACCGAACTGATATGATGTTCCTATTACTGAGATTTTATTCCGACCTGCCTGGAACAGGCCCTAGGCCTCGTAAAAAGGTAGAGAGAGCTGGAGAGAATGATTCAAGGCTTCACCTTTGGCAGTCTAGGATTTCAACACAGCAATGTTTCATTTTTCTAAGAATCTCACATTTTATGATTCTTAAATTCTGACATTCTCTGGAACCTGCCTAAAAGCAAGACCCTTAGGAAATTTTGTTCATGTCTTTATATTCAGAATCTAACATAATGCCTGGCACATAGTAGGCATTGTAGAAGTATTTGTTGACTAGCTTAATTCTAGGGGGTCTCACATACTAGGATTCTTAAGTTCTGATGTTCAAAGATTAGAACATGCTATAATTTTAGGACACTCACATTCTGTGAGTTCCAAGATGTTGTAAATCAGTCAGTCTGACCCCAAGTTTCTATCATGCCACGGTTCTAAAACCCCAGCTTTCTATAGTTCTATGAGCAAACTCCCAACTCTTCAGAAGGAGGAGGCGATGGCTTGGGACAAGAACTTTGAGCTCAGACAATTTGCAGTCTTATCTGTGGCTGACCTTTCAACATGTGCAGTACATCGTCTATAAGAGAGCTAACATAAGCACAGACATATAAAAGTATACAGTACAAGACAATGCAACCACTTACAGCAAGGGCTGCTCATTTTCTCCCACCTTGAGTGACAGAAGGTTTATAACATAGTCATATCCATCCAGCTTTTCAAACAGACTGAACCTTAGGAAAAATAATGCAGACCCAGTGGGCCATCTTAAGGTTCAGCGGGGCTCTAAGGGGGAGGTGGCACAGAGAGCGGCTGATTATTTGCAGGGTAGGGTGGGAAGCTTTTTGTGGTCTGTCCACACAAGAGCAGCCCACTTGGTTCACAGTCACCAATTCCTATAGGATTTGGCAGGTTCCATGACTTTTTTTTTTTTTTTTTTGAGACAGAGTCTCACTCTGTCACCCAGGCTGGAGTGCAGTGGCACAATCTTGGCTCACTGCAACCTCTGCCTCCCAGGTCCAAGTGATTCTCCTGCCTCAGCCTCACAAGTAGCTGGGATTACAGGTGCCTGCCACCTGCCTATTTTTTTTTTCTTTTTTTGTATTTTTAGTTGAGATGGGGTTTCACTATGTTGGCCAGGCTGGTCTCGAACTCCTGACCTTGTGATCCACCCACCTCAGCCTCCCAAAGTGCTAGGATTACAGGTGTGAGCCACCACACCCAGACTTTTTTTTTTTTTTTTTTTTTCCCCTAGATGGAGTCTTGCTCTGTCGCCAGGCTGGAGTGCAGTGGTGTGATCTTGGCTCACTGCGTCGTCTGCCTTCCAGGTTCAAGCAATTCTCCTGCCTCAGCCTCCTGAGTAGCTGGGACTATAGGTGTGCACTACCACACCCAGCTAATTTTTGTATTTTTAGTAGAGACAGGGTTTCACCATGTTGGCCAGGATGGTCTCAATCTCTTGACCTCGTGATCTGCCTGCCTCGACCTCCCAAAGTGCTGGGATTACAGGTGTGAGCCACCGTGCCTGGCCCCAGGTTCCATGACTCTTAAGGTTAACCCCTGAGCTTAACTTTATGTGACAACATTTTACAGAGTTGATGTGTGTGCCACTTGGCTGGTTGATATTAGAAATTCAGCAAGAAGAATTGAAGCAGCAGAAATAAATGACCAAGGTACAACCTCTGGGTGGCTTCTTCCTCTGTGTTTTGGTTTCTTTACCTAAAAATTCAGGCTATGATTCACCGTACAATCTTTTAAGCCAGCATTCCCGATTCACCTTGAGAGCCTGCCTTCCCTGACACCACTGACCACCCAGTACTAGAGGGCTGAACATTCTGCATTCCTTTCTCTGAATTAACCTTGTCTTCAGTTCTGATATATCTGCTCTGCTATATTTCTATTTATCTGTATCTGTCTCCTACATGAAAGTATATAGTATATTCTTGGGGTACAGTGCACTTGTGGAATGAGCTTTGGAGTTCAACAGAATTGGGGTTTGTATCACAGACTTACCTCCTATTAGTTTTATGATATTAGGAAAAATACTTCCAGCTCCTCATTTGTAATTTTTAATTTTTTTTTGACAGGGTCTCTGTCACCCAGTCTGGAGTGCAGTAGTGTGATCTTGGCTCACTGCAACCTCCATCTCCCGGGTTCAAGAGATTCTCCTGCCTCAGCCTCCCCAGTAGCTGGGATTTCAGGTGTGCACTACCATGCCTGGCTAATTTTTGTATTTTTAGTAGAGACGGGGTTTCACCATTTTGGCCAGGCTGGTCTCGAACTCCTGACCTCAAAAGATCTGCTCGCTTAGGCCTCCCAAAGTGCAGGGATTACAGGGGTGAGCCACCACGCCCGGCCCCTCATTTGTAATTTGTCCACCCACCACCCCTACCTTTTATATAGCTGCTGTGAGGACTAAAGATAATGTATGTGAGTACACAATATGCATGAGCAGGTGGTTAGTGTTCACCAAATATCTATTAAAGGTAACAAAACCGCCCCACCAAGAACCACATTCATGACTCCCCCTACGGTTCCAGTTTTGGAAAAGTTCTGTCTACCAGGCCACATGTATTAAGCCAATATACGTTGATTTCCTCATCTTTTATTAACCAAAGACACAATATAATCTTCAATCGGAGCTTCTAATGAGCTTGAGATAACCAGTCCATGCTGAGTTGTTAGAATTTCAGACAAAAATTAAGAAACATGATATGTTGTTTCAGGGTGTTTGTTACAGCCTCTTCCTGAGTAAATCTGTCAAGCTTTACGAAATAAATAGTTCCAGAACTAAGTAAATTGTTCCGTCATAAACTTCAGAAGCCCTGGGGTGAGAACGGCAGAACGGCACTGAGCCCTCCCAGGCCTCGTCCCTGTCTCTTCTTTCTCCTACGCATTCCCTGGTCTCTCCTCTGGCCTCTGGGTTGCTCTGAATATTCATAGCTAACATACAGGAGCCCGTAACAAGTTGCCAGGCCCTTAGTAGGTGTGCAGAGTTTCTGTGAAGTACAGTTATTATTGGAAACAAGTTAATTTCCTTCCTCTTAGTCATTGGCAACTTTGAATTTAAGTGGTTTCCAAGGTAGGGTACACAGAACTATTTCCTAAGATGTAAGAAAACATTTTAACTCATCTATTTCAAATTTCTGTTTAGTATGTTTTTTAACATATGTAATACACGAGTGCTTGGAATATGTGTATGAAAATGCACTGCTGTACCAATCCAGCATGTACCGGAGCAGGGTAGGGTCACATTGAGAGTATGGCTCTGGAGCCAGATTGCCTACATTTGAAATCCGGTTCCATTACTTGCCAGCTCAGTGACTTTGGGTAAATTACTTTGCCCTTTGCACCTCCGTTTCTACACCTTTATAAAGGAAAATTAAAAAAAAAAAAAAAAAAGAAAGAAAAGAGTGCCTACTAATTTCTGGGTTGCTCTGAGGATGAAAGAAATTAAAATTAAAATAAGTAACATGTTGAGAACTGTGTGTGGCAGCCAGTAAATACCTATAATAAATGTTAGATGTTGCTATGCATAAATATGTACATGTAAAGTGAGGACTAGCTGTCTTCATGTTTTCTTTTTTATAAAACAGTGTATGATCACGAAAGTATGGCAAATCCTGTTTCATTCCACAAACATTTCCTAAACACTCAGTGATTGGGCTAGAAGGTGAGGGAGATACAATTAGGAAGCACAGCTGCAAGGGAGCTGGAAGGAGGGGAGGGAGAGTGCACAAGGAGGTCTCAGCAGGGCAGAGGTAGGACCTGTCAGAACAGAACCACAGCCCAGTGCAAGGAGCTGGGGGGCTCATTTCAACTGGAGGAACTGAGAAACGCTTCACTGAGCCTTGGAGGATTTCAATGAGAAAAGATAGGAGCATTAGTATCTGCGGCAGAGGGAGGATACTCTGGCCTAAAGCCTTCATCCTTCACCTGGTCTTCAGCAATCTGTCTCCCCACCTGTCCCCTTACCTCCCAAGTCTCATTGTTACCATTAGCTTCTCCTTACCAAGTCCACTGAGACTTGCTGAGACACGCTGGCCTGCTCTCATTTCCATGGACTCAGTGCTCTCTCTTTTGCCAAGTTTGCAGAGCTCTAGGGCACTTTTTGCATTAAATCTATCTGAACGGCAACCCATGGAGCACAACCACAAAAGTTTTGCCTCTGAGCTTTTGCACAAGCTTGTTCCTCCTCCCTGGGGCACTTCCTTTCCTCTTCCTTCCTCCTCACAACTACCACCCTATATGTCTCTTAGCTTCCACTCATCCTTAGGGTTTAATTTCATGACCTCCTCCCTCAAGAAGCTTTCCTGATGCTTCAAGCCTGCATTTGGCACCCCCTCTAGGTGCTCCCACAACTCCCTGGACTCTCCCTCTTGCAACATTTCTCTCCCTGCAGTATTTACTTGTCTGTGTCCACCCACTAGCTTGCCTTGCCATTACCATATGTGCCTAGTGCAGTGTCTTGCACATAGAACGCAGTAGTAAATATTTGTTAGGTGAATAAAGGATAGAAGGAAGGTAGGAAGGAAGGAGAGTACCTTGATTATGGCACAAAAGTCTATCTCAAGAGAGCAGTGAGAAATAAGACAGGAATGAGAACACTAGAAAAAGGAAATCAGACCTTAATTGGGGAGTCATGGAAATTTTTAAAGCAGGAAAGTGACAAGACCGGGGCTGTACTGTAGAAGGATCTGCTCTTTAAACATAAGGCTCCTGCTCAGTCACCTAGATCTCCTTTCTAATTGGCTCAGCTCGGGCAGGATGGTGAAAATCCAGATGATCTGAGCCTGCTTTTTGGGTGGGGCTCAGATGTATGTTCACGTGGGCAAATAAGGATGCCTGATTCCATGGGACTGGGGTGTAGGTGTGCCTTCCCACATGTCCTGGTTATCAGCTGAAGGGAACCTGGCATTGCAGATGCTTCTACTGTGTTTGTAGTAAAAAAGAGTGGGATGACTGAAATGAAACTCCTCACACCCGACTCCAACAACCAAGAGGACCAGTGAAGGTGGAGGGGAACCATCCAGGTTTCTAGAGAGGCAGTCTCAATGAGCCCAGCTCTGGCTTATAGGAGATGAAGATGGAGAAAGAAGGAAACAAAGTGAGTGATACAGTTTGGATACCTGTCCCCTCCAAATCTCATGTTGGAATGTGATCCGCAGTGTTGGAGGTGGCACCTGGTGGGAAGTGTTGGATCACATGGGTGGATCTTTATGAATGACGTGGTGCCCTCCCCCTGGAAATGAATCAGTTCTTGCTCTGTTAGTTCACTTGAGATCTGGTTGTTAAAGAGTCTGGGACCTCTCTCCTCTCTCTGGCTCTCTATACTCATGCTCTCTGTCTTGCCAGGTGACACACATGCTCTCCCTTTGCCTTCTGCGATAAGTAAAAGCTTCCTGGGGCCTCACCAGAAGCAGAGCAGTTGCTGGTGCTGTGCTTGTATAGCCTGTAGCACCATGAGCCAAATAAACCTATTTTCTTTTGTTTGAGATGGGGTCTTACTCTGTCACCCAGGCTGGAGTGTCATGGAACAATCTTGGCTCACTGCAACTTCCATCTCCTAGGCTCAAGCGATCCTCCCACCTTGGCCACCTGAGTAGCTGGGAGCACAGGTGTGTGCCACCATGCCTAGCTAATTTTTTGTATTTTGGGGACAGACGAGGTTTCGCCAGGTTGCCCAGACTGCTATTTTCTTTATAAAGAAACTCAGCCTCAGGAGTTCTTTTATAGCAATGCAAAATGGGCTAACACAGTTAGGGAGTGCAGACACCTGTATGGTGGAGATTGGCAGAGGGGTGGGGCATTTACAGAGCCTCTCCTGGAGGCCAGGAACGGGCCCAGATTCTTCACAAGATTTTTTCCTTAAAACATTCTCACTAGGAAAATTCATCTCCATTTTTCAGGTGAAGAAACAGAGGCTTAGAGAAGTGAAGTAAATTGTCTATGGTCGTAAGGCCCAGATGACAACCCATAACTTCAATGCTGTTTCCAAGTGGTGGTGAGAGTGAAATTCATCAGCTCTGGTTTGGATTTTCCACCAGGCATAGGGAAAGGGAGAGGCCTGTCTATCAGGGAAACACAGCTAAAGCAGAAAGACCATGAACTTCCTATTGGGCAAACCAAGGATCAAAGCCCAATGTCGCTGCTGGCTGTGTGACCTTTGATAAGTCACTTTACTTCTCTTAGTGTTAATTTTCTCCTTAGAAAAAAAGGAGTAATGATACCCACTGAAAACAGTTGCTGAAGGACTGGTGATCTTATGCTCACCACAAGCCCAGCAGTCTGCTTGCTCACTGTAAAGGCTCAGCCAATATTGATTTCGTCTGCCATCTCTCCAGCTGTAGGTCTGTCATAGAGAGAACATGGTGGTTTTGGGAAAGAAGCAATGACAGATTTGCAAGCCTGCCAATTACACTTTTATCAATGTGTTATTTGGTGATATCAAAAAAAGGGGCAATGTGTTAGGGAAACTGTCCTAATACATAAAGAGAACATAGGACAAGGGAATCCTAAGATCTGCAGAAACAATTTCTGTTACTCACATCCTTGTGTGAATCGGTGATGGTAACTTTCTCTTGCATTTGAAATCTAACCTATAAATAGAGCAAGCTAGTTGTCCAAGAAGAACATTCAACCATTCTGGATTCTTAGTGTATCTTTGGAATATACCACGAGACTAAAATTATGAGGGCTAGCTGATGAACAAGTTTATTACTCTGTCAAAAAGAAAGACCATTAACAAAATATACTTTTTAACACTTTGCTCAGCAGTCCTGAGAAATCCATCTAAATGCCCAAATGGAATCTTATTGGTCTATGATAAAACCCCATCTAGTCTATGGTAGGAAAATTCATGTGAGCTTACACAATGGAAAAGTGTGAGTCCTCAACAGTAACATGAGCACTAGCTGTGGGCTGCAGGGAAGGCACTTTTTTCCCTGGTAATTCCCTGGATTATCGGAAGAGCTTCCTAATAACCTTTTAACTGGCAGCCCTGTAATTTAGAGGCTTGTATGTAAAACACTTAGCCCAACACACAGCCATTACTCAATAAATGACACCTAGAAAGAAAATAAAACAAAATCCTTAGACCTAAGCAGGTACCTCATCTCAGTGGCACACTGCCCTGATGGATTCAACCTTTCCAGAAACATTTTAGTTTCTTCACTTAAAACCAAATGCATTCTTTTTCTTCTCATGTGCTAGCCATAGGGCATTCAGTTGCTTCACTGAATAAGTGAAATTATACTCAGTTCTGAGCAGAGGATGGGGCACTGAAGAAAACTGAAGTTTCCTTCTGATAGAAAGGTCTGCGGCTCGTGGAGGGTCAGGAATTCTAATGCAGTGGTATCATGCCCTGCTTTTTATTCCAGTGAGTTATGTTCTTGTCTACTGCTTGAATAGACTATCCTGCCAAAGAGGGACCACGTATTGCTCACCTATGTGTTCTGGTCTTACTCAGAGTCTCAGCTCAGCAAAGAGAGGCAGAGCTGGTTTCCCTAGTTATTTGAAATGGATTGGAATCCACTTTTGAAAGCATTTCAAAGAGCTGGAAATCTGAAAATCTAGAGTGACTATTCGTTCGGGTTTGTCAGTGACAGCCCCGATTTACATCTGTTATCCTGCATGGATTAATAATAGTTTCCCCTTACTGTAAAAATGTATTGATTTGGTCAATTAATTACATGGCCACCCTCTTTTAGGGCAGTAAAGTACATATTCAGTTCCACATCAGAGGATGCAGTCTGTAGCAATGGAATAGTGGTCCAGATAGCTGGGTGCAGGTCAACAAAGCAGTCCAAGATCGTGGGCAAAGCAGTCCAAGATCCTTTCCTCTCTGTTGGATGGATATTCTCTAAGGTTCCTTTATGGTCCAACAAAAGACAGCAGTAGCTGTAGTCTACACCTCAAGAGGTTGCTCTGAGGGTTAAAGGAGACTATGGAAAAAATGTAGGATATAAATGACTTAATTTACAATGGAGAGTCAGATTCCTCCAACATAGCAGATACTTAAAAATAGTTATGGAACAAATAAATTTGTATAAATGTACAGGAAAAAAGATTGGTTAAAAATAAACAAAAACCACATTAACAACGGTTATCACTGTTATGGGCAATAGAAAATTTTTAATATGCTTTTATATCTTCAAAATTTTCTATAATTAGCATATATAGTTCTTTTTATTTTATTTATTTATTTAAAAAATTTATTTTAGAGCTGAGATCTCTCTGTGTTGCCCAGGCTAGAATGTAGTGGCTATTCACAGGCACAATCACAGGGTACTGTGGCCTTGAACTCCCGGGTTGAGGTGATCCTCCCGACTCAGCCTCCCGAGTAGTCGGGATCATAGGTGTGAGCCAAGTTCTTTTTACACTTTTAAAGATTTTTTTAAAAACCTCATGAGAAAATGAAATAATAAATGTGAAAATATCTGGCATCTAGTAGGTATTCATAGATGTTGATTTTTAAATAAGATTTTTGTTTGTTTGTTTGTTTTGTTTTTACAGACGGAGTCTTGCTCTGTCACCCAGGCTGGAGTGCAGTGGCGCAATCTCGGCTCACTGCAACCTCTGCCTCCCAGGTTCAAGTGTTTCTCCTGCCTCAGTCTCCCAAGTAGCTGGGACTATAGGCACGCGCCACCATGCCTAGCTAATTTTTGTATTTTTAGTAGAGATGGGGTTTCACCATGTTGGCCAGGATAGTCTCAATCTCTTGACCTTATGATCCACCCACCTCGGCCTCCCAAAGTGCTGGGATTACAGGCATGAGCCACTGCACCTGGCCCCTTAAATAAGATTTTTTATACATTAATATTAGTAGTATAATTTAGTATAAACTGATTTTTAAAATGTGAAAGCTTTTCAATTGAGCAATTCCACTTTTAGGAATTTATCCCTAAAAGTATGATGTCTCAGAAGATTTACACTAAGGATATTTATCACAACATCATTTGTAATAGTAAAAAGTAAAACATTAAAAAAAATGTTAAAAAGGAAAAACATCCTAAATGTTAAAAATTAAATGCTTCCTTGTGTAATGAAGGGATAATGCTGATATCACACAGATATTGTAAGATAAGTTTATAAAGAATATTAAGTGACGTGGGAAATAGGATATAAAAAGAGCATGATGCAAAACTGCGTAAAAAGTAATTCTGACTTTTGTTGAATTACGTATGGGTGCAATCTGTATAAAAATGTTAAGACCAGTAATCTTAGGGCAGTAAATTAGAAATAATTGTTTTCCTGATTTTTTAAAATATATTCTAATTTTTTCAAGTAACACATTGTGAATATGAGATTTTTTAAAAAAACAATAAATGTTATTTTTAACAGAATTAGACACACATACAGAAAAGTCAGCCATGATGACAGTTTCTTCCTTGGGTCCCTAATGGGAGGAGCTCAGCAGACCCACAGCCTCCCAGGTCTTTTCCAGCCTATTAAATCTTGTGGGTCTTACTCCCCTGGTCCGGCAGCTCCCACTAAGTCAACTCTCCTCGACAATGGTTATTTTCAGGAGCGGGTCCCAGGCCATTTGTCTCTGTGAGTTATGTTGGAAAAATGGTCTTTAAAAAACAGGACGCAGTAAATTTCTCAGGCTCGTCATTTGATCTCTAGCTTTCCTCCTCACAGGTTTCTCGGGGACTTTAAAAAAATTTTTTTAAAAAGTGTTTGTCAGGAACAGACCTCTGTTTCACCCGCCTGCCTGGGAAGCTGGTCTCCTGAATATCAAGAAGAGAGCCCTTTAGGTTCCTCTGGTTTTCACACAGGGATGGCCTGCCAGCTAGTCTGCTTGTTTGACACAGGTATATTTGATGAGGACTTTCACTGAGTTTTTAAAAATATCAGCTTTATTGATGCATAATTCACACACCATACAGGCCACTCAACTAAAGTGTTCAATCCAATGGGTTTTAGTATATTCACAGAGTATTGCAACCATCACCACAATCCATTTTAGAACATTTCATCACCCTAAAGAGAAACTCCACACTCATTAGCAGTCACTCCCTATTGTCCTCCAATTCCCTGCAGCCTAGGCAATCACTCATCTACTTTCTGTCTCTATGGATTTGCCTATTCTGAGCATTTCATAAAAATGGGATCATATAATATGTGCTCTTTTGTGACTTCTTGCACTTAGCAAAATATTTTCTCAAGGGTTCATCCAAATTGAAGCAACGATTAGGATTTCATTTCATTTCACTGACAAATAACATTGCATTGTATGGATATGCCACATTTTGTTATCCATTATGAAACTTGGGTTGATTCAAACTTTGGTTGTTTTCACTTTTTGGCTATTATCCATAATGCTGCTGCAAACCTTTGTGTATACATTTCTGTGTGAGAGTATGTTTTTACCTCTTTTGGGTATACACCTAGGAGTGGAATTGCTGAATTGTATGCTTAACCTTTTAAGGAACTGCCAGATTGTCTTCCAAAGTGGCTATGTCATTTTAAATGCCCACTGGCAGTGTATGAGGGTGCCAATTTCTCCACATCCTTGTCAACACTTGTTATTATCTGACTTTTTTATTCCAGCCACTATAGTGGGTATGAAGCAGTATCTCACTGTGGTTTGATCTGCATTTCCCCTAATGGCAAATGATGCTTGGCATATTTTCATGTCCTTATTTGCCATTTGTACATCTTCTTTGGAGAAATGTCTATTCAGATCCATTGCCCAATTTTTAACTTGATTTATCTTTTTATTACTAAAGTGTAAGTACTGCTTTTTTTCCCCAAGAATTTGTTTTGTGCTTACTCTGTCAGGCAGTGTTCTAGGCATCACTGACAAAGAAGACAAAGCCCTTGCTCTCAGAAGCTTACATTCTAGTGAAAGAAAACATCAATGAACAAGTAAGCAAATAACTATATAGAACAAGATCAAGTATGATAAATATTAGGCTGGTGCAAAAGTAATTGTGGTTTTTGCCATTAAATATAATGGCAAAAACCATAATTACTTTTGCACCAACTTAATACAAAGTTGATGGCATGGGCGTGTTATTTTAAATAGCATGGTCAGGGAAGCCCTCCCTGAGGAGGTGACATTTAAGCAGAGATTTGAAGTAAGTGAGGGAGTGAGCCAAGCAGACACCCAGGGGAAGAGCTTTTAGGCAGAGGGCCCCACAACTGCAAAGTCCCTGCAGCAGGACCAAGTTCATCTAAGGGACAGCAAGGAAGCTAACAGGACTAGAGAAGCATAACAATGAGGTAAATGCTAGGAAATCAGCCTTGAGACATTGTCAGGGGCCAGGTTAAAGATGTGCAAATACTGCAAACTAAAGGTCAGGATGCCTGGGTGTTCTTGTTGGCAAGTTCCCTGAGGGTGGGGACTGGTTTATTCATATGGCCACAGGCCACATGGTAATTCCACATATAGTGGGTACTCACTACATATTACAACCGATTTTGACCTAATGACCTCCTAATAAAAACAACATTTACATGTGAGTAGTATTTATTCTACATTTTACACAGGATTTTCACAGCCATGATCTCATGTGATCCTTACCACATCCAGGAGGGTAATAGCCATCACCCTCATTTTATAGATAAAGAAACTGAGGCTAGGAGAGGTGATATGACTTGTGCAGGGACACACAACTTTTAAGGGGCCAAGTGGGGCTCCAACCCAGGAGACAGGCAGCAAGTAAGATCTGGATTTAAAACTGATTATTTTGATTTTAGGCAAATTGTTTGATCTTTTAGAGCTGGGGAGCCTCAGGATGTGGTCCTACCTTACAGGAGTCCTGTGCAGAGTAAATGCATAAAAGCATGCATGTCTGGGGCCTACCATGGGCCTGACATAGAGCAGGTACTCAAAAAGTGGAAGTGGTAGCTCTCCCACACCTCCCTTTCTTTCTTTTTCTTTTCTTTCTGTTTTTCTTTTCTTTTCTTTTTTTTTTTTTTTGAGACAGAGTCCCAGACTGGAGGGCAGTGACGTGAGCGCCTGGGCTCAAGTGATTCCTGTGCCTCAGCCACCCAAGTAGCTGGGATTATAGGCATGCCACCATGCCTGGCTAATTTTTATATTTTTAGTAGAGACTGGGTTTTGCCATTTTGGCCAGGCTAGTCTCGAACTCCTGACCTTATATAATCTGCCCACCTTGGCTTCCCAAAGTGCTGGGATTACAGTGGTGAGCAACCACGCCTGGCCTGCACCTCCCTTTCATCACCAGCCCCAGCTACACATCCAGGCAACCTCTCTGTGTGAAGCCCTAAGTGGGCACTAGAGACATAGAACTAAGTCTACTCCTTGCCCTGGAGAGGCATGCAGCCTCATGGGTGAAGGAGACAAGCAGGAATGGCTCAAGAGGGAGAAAAGCTGTGAGGGAGGTATTGGGGTATGGGGGTAGGGTGGGTGGGGCGACAACTGGAAGACTCACTGAGCTCCATGTGTCAGCTGCAGCTCCTGGTGTCTCACAGATTGTTCTAACCTTGCCCACGCGCTGCCTCCAGAGGGGTGTGAGATGGTTCATTCACACCTCTGGAGGCTGAAATTGGGCTGATGGAAAGGCCAGTTTCCATGGGATGTGGGAGAGAGGAAACGCACAAAGCAAGCTGGATTATCTCTGACTGTCAAAATCTGCTGGCCAACGTGACCAAGGAGTCACTGAAATTTATGGCAGACCTTGAATAATCTGTGGTCACAGAGTGCTCTCTTCAACAGGGAGGCTTGGGCTCTGCACTTTGGTACTGAGATTTGACTAAGAAAGTCCTTCCAAATAGCTGTTTTCAAGTCATTTATTACTTCCTTGGGATACACACACCCACACACACACACACACACATATATATATATATATGTTTTCCTCCCTCCATTCAATTTATACAGTGGCAAAATTCCAGGCCTCAAGATGGAGTAAGACCAGAATCTAATAGTCCAGCCTCCTACTCAGATACTGGAGGAATGATGGGGGTATTAGGTACAAAGGAAAGGGGCAAGAGATAGGAAGATTCTGAGGGAAACCAGCAACTGTGGGAGGGTGGGAGGGCAGGGATATTAATTGGGTACCTACTATGTGTCCAGCACTGTGGAAGGCCCTTGATGTAAATTATCTTAATCAACCCTCATGCCCCTTGAAAGTGTGAAGACTTCTCCAGCTGACAGATACAGACTTGGAGGCTCAAACAGAGGCGGCTTAAGGTCACCCAGCCGGTGGGTACCAGTCTGGGTGCTGAATCTTGGTCTGCTGAACCCTATGCCCACATGCTTCCGACTAAAATAACCTTAATAAATAATAGTAATAAACATAATAATGTACATTTGTAAATTTATGAGTTTACTTCCTTGATCTTTCATCAGCCCTGGGAAGAGGACAATAATGTTCAAAGTGAAGCCATTTGCTCAAAGCTACAGACCTAGTGAGGTGTGGATCTGGGCTTCCAGCCTAGGCCTCCTGAGCCTACAGCTAAAGCTCCTTCCATAGCATCTTAGAGTGACAGTCAGGGATTCGTGTAACCAATGAACCAGGCAAAAAACCAACCAGTGGGGAAGAAAACCCAAAGCATATAAAATAAAACCAGAGCTGTGTATTTATCATCTGTGGAGTTTCTGAATATCTGTTATATTTCAATAAAAAGTTTAAAAAAAAAACCAGAAAGCCATGTGGTGTGGATATAAGCATATACTAAGAGATATTTTTCTAAAACAGCTTTTCCCCAGTAAATGCCCTGATTCGAAACAGCTTTCCATGAACTTGATCACTGCGCCAAGGCCTCTTGCTTGCATTAGATTTCTATAAAGATTTGTGAAACTTTTTTGGGGAAAGCACAAACATAATGAGGACCAAGAGTTCTAGAAATTCCTCTACTGTCACTCCAAGAAATCTTGAAAATCGAGGAAGGCAGCTGGGGGAGAGTGGACATGTAGAGAAATGGCTTTCCAACCTTGCTCCTGAGTGACCAGGTCTGGTTCTTAAAGCAGGAACCCTTCAGGCAGCTTTAGGTCCAAATTGGAAGAAAAACAAACTTTTTTTTTGATCCTAAATTGCACTCTGTACAGAAAGGAACCTTTGAGATAAGTGAAGAGAAAGGAATAAGCATTTGCCAAATACCTTTTGTGTCTGGCACCGCACTAAGCACTTGCCACGTGCTTTCCAACATAGCTCCGTAACAGGAATCACTCTCGCACTCAGCAATATTACTTGACATTTAATATGCAACAGAAATTCATTGTCTCATGGTTCTGGAGGGCAGAAGTCTGAAATAATGATATGGACAAGGGCCATGCTCTCTCTGAACCCTGTAGGGGGATGCTTCTTTGCCTCTTCCTAGCGCTAGTGGGTTGCTGTCATCTCTGGCATTCCCTGGCTTGCAGCTGCATCACTCCAGTTTCTGCCTTTATCATCACATGTGTGCTCCCTGCGTGGCGCTGCCTTCTTCTGAGAACACCAGTCATAGTGGAGTAGGTTCCCACCCTCCTCTACTATGACCTCATCTCAATTAATTACATCTGCAACAACACTGTTTTCACATATGGTCACTGTCTGAGGTACTGGAGATTAGGACTTCAATATACCTTTCTGCAGGGCTGGGTGGTGGGTCAATAGTGCTCAACACATAACACTGTCCTTGTGGAACTTACACTATAAAAGTCCCCTTTTACAGATGAATACATTGAGGCACAGAGAGCCCAAGTGATTTGCTCAGGATCTACTGGCAGTAAACTGCAAATCCAGGTCTGACTCCAGAGCCCATTTTCTGTCTACTAGACTACCTTGTCTAGCCTACACAGGTTCTCCTCAGCAGGTGGTCATTTGTAGAAAAGGAGCTTTACTCATCATTACTGGTCATTAGAGAAATGCAAATCAAAACCACAATGAAATACCATCTCACGCCAGTTAGAATGGCGATCATTAAAAAGTCAGGAAACAACAGATGCTGGAGAGGATGTGGAGAAAGAGGAAGGCTTTTACACTGTTGGTGGAAGCGTAAATTAGTTCAACGATTGTGGAAGACAGAATGGTGATTCCTCAAGGATCTAGAACCAGAAATACCATTTGACCCAACAATTCCATTACTGGATATATACCCAAAGGATTATAAATCATTCTACTATAAAGACACATGCATACATATGTTTATTGCAGCACGGTTCACAATAGCAAAGACTTGGAGCCAACCCAAATGCTCATCAATGATAGACTGGATAAAGATAATGTGGCACATATACACCATGGAATACTATGCAGCCATGAAAAAGGATGAGTTCATGTCCTTCTCAGGGACATGGATGAAGCTGGAAATCGTCTTTCTCAGCAAACTAACACAGGAACAGAAAACCAAACACCCATATTCTCACTCATAAGTGGGGGTTGAACAATGAGAACACATGGACACAGGGAGGGGAAAAACATACACTGCAGCCTGTTGGCGGATGGGGGGCTAGGGGAGGGATAGCATTAGGAGAAATACCTAATGTAGATGACATGTTGATAAGTGCAGTAAACCACCATGGCACATGCATACCTATGTAACAAACCTGCACGTTCTACACATGTACCCCAGAACTTAAAGTAAGAAAAGAAAAGAAAAGAAAAGAAAAGAAAAGAAAAGAAAAGAAAAGAAAAGGAGCCTTAGCATAAATGATCCATTTAGTCCTTGCAACACTTTTACAAGGTAGGTATTATTGTTTCCATTTTACTGATGAAATGAGCTCCAGACAGACTAAAGTTAGTTGGTTCATAAGAGGAGAAGCAGGAATGAACCAAAGTGGGCAGGCTCTCTACCCATCCTTTTTTTTCCTGCAACCACACCAAACGGACTAATGGCATTGTCAAAGGGGAAGTGGACACCAGGACGGAACGAGAAATCAACTAATAAGAAGGCTGGTCACTCTGACCAAGGGCACTAGATTGGGAAAAAAAATTAGAGGTTTGAATGTTTTTGTTTCTTGTAACCAAAAAAGCTTATCTGGAGAGAAAAGAGTTCATACTTTGGAGGTTAAGGGTATTCACCATTCAAAGCTCAGAAGTTCAGATCTTGCCCTACTCTGGAGAGCAGAGTCTGACTGCTGCTAACAAAACAGGGTTTCTTGCTTTCTGGAGTGGAGGGCACTGAGTGAAGTTTGTGTACAAAGCTTCTCGGTGTTTCTTGGGCACATCGTGAGAAGCAGCATTCCTGTGACTTTAGTGCTGGTGCACATGGGCTGCATGTGCCTTGGATTTCATGGGATTGGGGAAATGACAGAAGAGAAAGGTGCCTGTAGGGTAAGAAATGCATTCAGAATGTTTCTGCAAGCCAAATTCTCAGTGTCCAGTGGTCTGTGAGGCTGGGAGGGGTGGCTGGTTCTGTGTGATTTGTCACAGGTCCCTGAGCTAGTTGGAGGAGGGCAGTGCCAGCCACTTGAGGAAGAAGGCCAAGCATCCCTCTGGGGTGTCCTGCCACTGAAATCCTGCCTGCTTAGTTCTCAGCCCTCCCAAGGGAGGGACTCCAACCAGCACCCCAATTTAGTCATAGAGGGGAAGTCGATTAGGTCCCTCACCTGCCTTTGGGAAGTTCCCAGTTTAGTGGCTGAGCAAACCCGGAATATGCAATTCCCCTACAATGCTGTGAGAGGCAAACACAAAGATCAAGGCCTTAATTGATGGAGCCTTGGGGCTCAGTGGCCCCTTGCTAGAGAAAGGGAAATTTAAACAGAAGCCTAAAGGTGAACCAGGAGTTGGCCAGGTTAAGAAAGCATTGTGGGCATGCATGTGTGCTGTGCATGCACATATGTGTTGTACATGCACATATGTGTTGTACATGCATGTGTGTCTACAGCAGTGGGCTGGTTAGAGTGTCCCAGGCAGAGAGAACAGCTTATGCCAAGGCTCACAGGGAGAGAAGAGCACGATACAGCTAGGGAACTCCAAGTACTAAGAGTTGAGTAAGTTGGGAGCAGAGATAGGGATGGTGGTAAACAAATGACTGAGGAGACAGGCCATGTTCACATCCTATAAAGGCTTCTGGTAGAATCCAGGGTCTGTCCCGACTCCCTGGGCTCTAGATCCATCATCAGTTATCAACTTGTCTGTACCACCTGAATTGAGTCACCAAACTTCTCTGGGTCTGAAATTTAGCTGAAAATTAGCATGGTTACATGAGTTCCCTTCTAAGCTCCCTTAGAGTTCCAATAATAAAACTAGCAAGACTGATTTGTGCTATTCCACTTAATCCTCATATTAAACTCTCTGAGTTACCATCACCCCCATTTAGTAGATGAGAGAAGATAAATTTAAAGAAGGTTAAGTGATTATATTCTGTAAGTCTATGATTTTCTGAAAGAAACTGCCCTCAAGCTTTCTGGCTGAATAACTGAGTCCTTTGCTGTCAGAAGAACTTTATTCACAGAAGAGGAAGATGACTTGCTAATAACAACAATGATAATAATTGTTGTTACTATTGATCGAGCACTTTCTCTTTGCCAGACATTGCATTCATGCTGTGTATAGACATGCATCCATTTTTAATTGTCACAGCAATCTTAAGAGGTAGGGACTTTCATTATCCCCGTTTCAGAGATAAGGAAAACAGTGGTCAATCAACATGGCCAATGTCACATAGCCACTGGTAAGGCGAGAGCCAGGAGGTGGCCCCAGGTGGATGATTCCACTCTGAACTCCTAATGACTTCTCTGTGAGGCTTAAAAGGAGCAAAGCTCTATAAGCTCAAGCTGTGGAACTGCACATGAGGAAGTTGAGGCCTGGAAGGTGACAGAATGAGCCCAAGGTCCTATAGGAAGGCAGCAGTGGAAATGGTTTTGTGCCATTAATATCAACAATAGTAACAGTAGCGAAGTCTGGCTTAGCAGGGTGGTCAGAACATGAACTCATGTCTGAGTCTGAATCCTCGCTCCACCACTTAGTAGCTGTACAACCGTGGGCAAAGTTTTAGTTTTCTGAGCCTCAGTTACTTTACTTATAGAAAAGGGATAATAGTACCTACCTCACAGGGTTGTACAGGGGCTTAAAGAGTTCTATGAGAGCTCTACTGAAGTGTTTGCTGTCATTGATTTGCTACCTGCTCTGTGCCAGGTATGGTGTTGATATACTTTATCTTTAATTCCCACAGAAACCTTTGGAAAGAGATTATTATTCCTGTTTTCTAGATGGAGAAATAAGCTTAGAGAAATTAAATAATGTATCTAAAGTTACATGGCATGAAAGGTGTAGAAGCTGGATTGGAACCTGTGACTGATTTCCAAATCTATGTTATATCCCACAATAATCTCTCCCCCATGTATACGGCTTTGCAGAGAGCACTGACATCCATAACCTCATTACTATGAAGTATCTGGCCTATTTTTAAATGCTGATGATTTTTATATCTCTATGACAGGTGTGTGTATGCGAGGAGGGGATGATGAACAAGAAAGCACACCACAAGCAGGATGGATGACTGCATTCAAGTGTCATCTATTATTCTATAACAGAAATATAATTATTCTATAAGGATAGTAACAACCCATCCCATGTGCAGAACACTCTATGATTCAGAAAATCCTTTTACACCCATTATCTCATTGCATCCCCACGACAGTCCTGTGGTGGGGGAAGTAGAGCTAATTATATTATCTTCCATTTGTAGCAGCCACTCTTGGTTGCATAGCAATACCTACTGCCCTCCTAACAGAATCCTGACTTTGCTCAGCTAGCCACACTGTGGTTATGTGTCTCAGTTGGAAGATCCTGACTGGCAAGTTACAAAAGTCCCCTTCCTCATGAGGGAATCTGGACCACCGGCCAATCTGATATGAGGAGAGGTCTGGGGGTTCCCTGGACGGGGAATCATCCGGACACAATGCCTGGGACTGTAGCAGTGGAAGCCAAGAAGCTGAATCTGAGCCTTGATGAACATGCCTGGAATTGCCCTATCTCTGGACTTCTTGCTAAATGAGATAATAAATGTTGAAGCTAACGATAATCATTGAAGCCGGTTTGAGTTGCGGTTTTGCATAAGGCATCTTAAGATCTCCTACCTCACTGTAGACAGAGTCTTCATAAAAACCCACTCCCACTGCTTTCGTTTCCACCCTTATTGTTGAGCCATGTCCTTTGCTAAGTAAGACTGTGCTGCTCTCATGGAGTTGCCAGCAACACCCAGCTCAGTTTTTTGGTTCCCTCTCCACCACCATGCACATCTCCTGCATGCCCCGTGTCTGTCCCCAGGTCAGGACTTGCCACAGGGTAGCCATAAAGGAATCACACCTGCAAGAAGCCTGATCAGTTTGGTTGCATAATGATTCTGAGGCTTTTGCTTCTTCAACCGATAAGTAGGATAATAATATCCGCTTTGCAGACTGCTTGTGGGGCAGGGAGAGGGTGGCATCCTCAGTCTCCCTCCAAGGAAATGCCACTTGCCTTAATCAGTAATAATCCTTGCATCTTCTGGTTGGCAAGTACCATGTGCCAGGCACTGGGACCCAGTGGTGAGTGAGCAGAGCCACCCCTGTTCTTGTGACACTCCTTGTCTAACAAGGCAGATACAATACATGCTTGGAGGCCTTGTCCCACATTAGCTCCAGGTCCACTCGCGGCTGTGGCCTCCTCTGAAAACCAGTAATCAGGAGTTGTCCTCTTCCTCAGGGATGAGGCCAGAGTCCATGGACTCACCCTGGGCTCCTGTTTCCTGTCTGCTTAAGTGATTGACAACTGGCTGACACCCTGGGCGCAAGTCTCAGAGGGTCCCCTGCAGTGAGTCCGGGAATCACAGCATCTCAAGTGGTCATGCTGGGCCCTGCCCCTCTGGCTCTCCTCACACCCCCAATAGGCCCTGTGGCCCAGGGATGCATTCACACTCACTGGAAAGTTGTTCCTCTTCTTGCTGCCAATTTTCCACCCAGCTGCAACATCCAACAATCCAGCCAGGCCTGTACTTATGCACATCCCTCAGAAGGGCTTATACAAAGCGCAACAGATGGCTCTCCACGTCAAAAATTATTTCCTGATGCCCAGCTGAGATGTCCCAGACCCTGCAGTGCCCATTAGTGCTAAATCCCTGTTTCTCCTGCCCTTTGGAAACTTGTTATTCTCTGAGATGCTCTGGCAAAGTCTCTGAGCTCAGCCTTTTTAAAGCAGCCCTGAGCATTGTCCTTGCTGGTCCCCTGCAAGGGTCTCCAGGGCAGCTCTCGCAGTTACTGACCACACAGTGGCCTGGGTCTGAGGAGTTAGCTCCCTGTGACCTTTCCCGAGGCACTTGGCACTTTCCTGGCCTCTGGCCTTTGCTTGACTATTTCTTTGACCTTCAATACCCTTGCCGGTATCTTTTCTTGAAGGCTCAGTTCAAATGCCACATTCATAGGAGGAGGAAAAATAATTCACACTTTTTGAGCACCTAGTGTATAAAATGTTCTCAAAATCTCACAGTCTATTCACATTTGTTAGTCATTCATGCATTCACTCACTCATTCAACAAGTATTTATAGAAAGCCATGCTTGTGTCAGGCCTTGGGTCAGGAACTGGTGATAGACCAGTGATGCTGCCCTCAGGAAACTTACCAAAGAGTGGGTTGCCCACTCTATGTCAAACACTCTTAGTGCCTTATTTTAAAACAAACCTGTTAGATATTTTAATATCTGTTTGCAGATGATGAAAACTACTGCTATTGTCACAAGTCAGCTAAACTGTGCCCTAGTCTGTGCTTTTGTTTGTCATCCATTCGACGACACATTCCTGATGCTCATGGTGTCCTGCCTTGGGCTCTAGGGACACAGATGCATGGGTCATGGCTCTATGGGGGTTCTGATGAAAAACCGACTGGCTTTTGCACAGTGTGGTACATACTGGAGACTAGCGGCTTCCTGAAGGCAGGGAGAGGCCTTGCCTGGCATGTGCCAAGCCTGGCAGTGGGGACACGCTGCCCCCAGGGCATGCCTACCAACTGTGGAGAGGAATCAGAAGACACGGCAGGGCCTGTCACCCTCCTCTAGAGGCCTTTGAGGCCAAGCCTCTCTCCTGAGTGCTGTCCTATCCTGTGGGGGTGGGGCTGGGTGGGCTCAGTGGGGTGGCAGCTCATGAGAGGGAGGCAGGAGCCCTGGCTTTTGGCCTCTGGGTCTCACTTTCTTTGTGACCTTGAGCAAATCACTAACCCAAACAGGACTTCATTTTCTCAGCTATAAAATGGAGGACTCAGGGAATGTTCTAGAGAAAATGGATGGTCATCTGTCTGTCAAGGGTCATGTGGAGAGGATTCCAGGAGTGAGGAGGAGTGGGAGGCAGGCAGGAAAAAGCCCTGGGCTCTTCGGACTCTGGCTTTCTCTGGGCCACCAGTTTCTTCTCTGAAAAATGAGGGAAGCAGGCTAGAGACTCAGGAAGGTTTAAGTTCAAACCCCATCTCTGCGTCTTACTTTGTAATCTGTAATAGGTGACTTAATCTCTCTGAGCCTTAGATTCCTCCAAAAGCAAAATGGGGATTTACAACCTCTGCCTTGTTACACTCATGTAAGGCTTAGAGTATCCTAAATGAAGCCTAGTAAAGTATTTGGCACAGAGCAAATATCCAGTAAATGTTAATTCCCCCTTCTCTGAAGGGCTAGATACCCTCGAGAGTTCTTGAAAGGAAAAGTTTTGGTGACATAGTTTCCCCTCCGAGGTGTCAGTGAGATGAGTGTGGATTGCATTCGCCATTTGGGATCAGAGTCCCACTGGTGAACTAAACTTTGAAAATCGGTAACTCTCCAACCTCTTACTGTTATCCGCCCTGTTACTCTGCCCAAATCCAGTGCCTGAATCCCATCTACAATGTGGTTGCTGCTGACATGACAAGGGACTCACTACTCACTCCAGAGGCAATCTATTTCAGTTGCATTGAGCTCTGATTGCCATAATGTTCTTCCTTCTAATGCACCAAAATACTGTCATTACTGCTGCTGCTGCTACGCTACCTCTACTACCGGTAACCACAGCCAATATGGCATAGTGATTAAGCACGGATTCTAGAGCTGTGCTGTCCAATATGGTAGCGATTTTAACTATAAATTTTAATATTTAATATTATTTATTTAAATATTTAATATTATAAGAACAAGTCTCAGCTCCTCAGGCATAACAGCAACATTTCAAGCGATCAGTGGTTCCACGCAGCTAGTGGCTACCGTATTGGACAGTACAAGTTCTAGACCATTTCTGTTACAGCAGTGAGTTCTACTGGAGAGTGCTGCTGTAGTGCTAGCATGTCAAGGGCGGAATCCTGGCCCTACCACTTAAGGTGTGATCTTATTCAAGTCACTTAACTTCTCTGTACTTCAGTTTCCTCATCTGTAAAATGGGGATAAAAATGGTATCTGCCTCACAAGGCTGTTTGTGAGAATTAAATGAGTTAATACATGCCAAGTGCTTAAGACTGTGGTGGCTTTACAATGCTCACTTATTCATAAAAACCACCACCAGTTTGGTACCTACTCCGTGCCATGTCCTATGTATTATTTGATGTACACATGCCATACAGATTTTTTTTTTTGATCATACTGGAATGAGTATCTTTGCAAGCTAAAAGACAAATTGCTGGGCCAAAAAAATTAATATTTAAAAAATTTAAAAGATAATGCCAAATTACTTTCCAAAAGAGAATGTATAGATTTTATACTCTTACTAATAATGTGTGCTTCTCCACAACCTAAGCAACCCTGGGTAGTCTTAACTTTTTAAATCCTTACTGACCTGATAGGCGTAAAATAGTTTAAAGCCATTTTGATATTCATTACTTTAACTATTACTGAGTTTGAGCATTTTTCTATGTTTACCAGATATTATAATATTTACTCATTCAAGAATTGCCATACTTATCTTTGTACATTTTTTGTGTTGTTTATTTTATCTATTTATTGATTGGTAGGGCTTTCTGTACGTTAAAGAAGTTAACCTATCTTATAAAATGCAAATATTTTCCTTGTTTCCTTTGACATAGCTTTGTTTTTTGTTCTTTTTAAATTTTTTTTTTATTGCCATGCAGAAATGCTTAACCTGTCTGTCTCAGTCATTTTCTTTACGGCTGCTGGGTTCAATGAAGGTCAGCCAAGTTACCGAGCTACTTCCTGCCATCAGCTTTGCCCAGGCTCCCCCTCTGGGTCTACAGGCAGCACAGAAGCTCAGAGACAGAATAGAGGTGCCACTCCATGCCCTCCCGTGTGCATTCAGGAGGCCCTATGCATCTAATGGAGCCTTTTCTTCCTTTCAAATCCCTGGTGTCCCTCCAAGGTGTATCAAGAGATGAAGCACAATGTCTTTAGAACATTGATTTTCATTTAGAATATACTAGGAGCAATTCCCTTTTTTTCTACTGGGCTCCTCTTACTCCTAGAATGGAGAAGCAGGGATGCTGGGGTAGATAAAATGTGATACAAATTTGCAGTTTCCAAGGAAATTCTAACTTGGGTGTTGGCTGAAGGAGTGAAGTGAGATTTCTGAAAGTTCTATAACTCAAAGAAACATCTCTGAAATTAAGAATTTTTAATTTGGCAGAAGGAAGAAAATGGATATTAATCAAACACATACTGTATTCCAGACACTGAGCTAAGTGATTTTATATCTTATTTTCATAAAATCTTTTCCCCTTCTGTGGTTTTCAGTACAATCCTCCCCGCTTTCAGATGAGGGAACTGTAGCTTGGGGAGATTACATGGGAACCTGTCATATTGTAAGTGGATGAGGTGGCTTTTGCCCAGGTTCTCTGACCCCTGGCATAGTAGTTAAAGGCTGTAGGAGCCAAATGGGCAAATTTTATCTTGGTTCTTTGGGTGACTGCCAGTTTGGTTTTTGTTGTTGTTTGTTTTTTGAGACAGAGTCTCGCTCTGTCGTCCGCCTAGAGCGCAGTGGTGTGATCTCGGCTCACTGCAACCTCCGCCTCCCTCCACCTCCCGAGTTCAAGCTATTCTCCTGCCTCAGCCTCCTGAGTAGCTGGGAATACAGGCATCTGCCATGATGCCTGACTAATTTTTGTATTTTTAGTAGAGATGGGGTTTTGCCATATTGGCCAGGCTGGTCTTGAACTCCTGACCTCAGGTGATCCATCCACCTTGGCCTCCCAAAGTGCTGGGATTGCAGGCGTGAGTGACCCCACTCGGCTGGTCATTGTCATTTTCATCGTAAGCAAATCACTTAACCTCTGTGAGTCCAGTTCCCTCAACTGTCAAATGAAGATAATTATATTCCCTTATACAGATTCCATGAGGGTTAAATAGGAAAAGGAATATATAAACACATAGTCTAATGTCTGGCCCACAGGAAAGGCTTAATACATTTTAGGTATAATAATAAGAACAGCAGCAGCAACAACTATTTTATTGCTTCCTCCCCATCATATTATTTCTCTATCAATCATAGTTTTCCAGCTGGGTACTTTCGTATTCTCAGTCTACTTGGTGGTGCTGATGATATAATAACAGTGATGTTCATAGCAGCTTTATTCATAATAGTCTGGAAACTTTCCAAATGTCTATCAACAGGTGAACTGATACATAAATTGTAGTATATTCATACAATGAGAAGCTTCACAGCAATTAAAAAAAAACTATTGATAAATGCAACAGCATGGATGCATCTCACAGATTCTTTTTCACAGATTCATTCATGTTGAGTGAAAGAAGCCAGATGCAAGAGTCCACACCACATGATTCTGTTTCTATACAACTTAATTTGAAAACTAAGCAATACTTACAGAAGTGAGAATAGTAGTTGTCTCAGGGTAGGTGAGTGCATGAAGGAATCTTATACGTTTGCTAAAAATGTTTTATATCTTGATTTGGGCTATGGCTGCAGGGAAGGATACATTGCAAAATATCATTGTACATGTAAGTGTACTTTACACACTGTAATGCATGCATGTTATTCCTTGAAATTCTTAAGGGAGGGCAAATAAAATGTAAATCTAAAAAATGATAAATGTGAAGGTGCTACATTCAAATAATAAAAATAGTAGTTACCATTATAGCCACTTTCTATCTTGTAGGCACTGTGGAGGACCTTATTTATTCTATCTCATCTAATCTTCATTACAACTCAGAGAAGTAGGTACTACTCTTATTTCTATTTGATAGATGAAGAAACTGACGGTAAGGCAGGTTACGTTTTTTCCCCCAGGCCATTCACCCACACAGGGCCAGGACTCAGGGCTGGCTCTGTCTAGGCTGGTGCTATTACCTCTTGACAACACAAGGGACTCTCATGTAAGGTGTAGCCAGGTTGAAGATGGATGCTGCTGAGCTTCACTTTCTGATATTCACGCCCTTGTATAATTCAGCTCAGTAGAGCGGACCTGTGATACCAATAGGATATTGTGGAAATAGAGAGTTTGACTTCCAAGGCTAGCACATAGAAGATATTGTGGTTTACTCCCTAGGTTTGCTCAGATAACTTGCTCTGGAAGAAACCAGCTGCCATGTTGTGAGGATACTCAAGTAGCTATGGAGGGGTCCATGTGTAAGAAACTGAGGCCTCCTGCCAACAGCCAGTATCAGTTTGTCAACTGTGTGAGTGAGCTACCTTAGTGACCAATGGTCCAGCCCTGGTCAGGTCTTCAGATGGCTGTAACCCTGGCTGACACAAAAAGTCAGATCACTGCCTGTGGCTGCCTGTGGATTCCTGACTCTCAGAAACTGTGTAAAATAATAAATGTTGTTGTGCTAAGCAGCTACATTTTGGGGCAATTTGTTATGTAGCAATTGAAAACTAATGCATAAGGCCTATTTGAATTCAATGGTAAGCAGCTCTCACTGATGAGCTTATATCTTAAAGAAGTCACACATACACACAAAAAGAAATCACAAGACCAATAATCTGTGCCCCACCTCAGAGCTCAGATGCAGGTAGCTGTTTCTCAATGTGTAGCCTGGGTTTTAAATTGTTCCTTGGTTTTCACAATCCCCCCACTCCCTTTTTGTAAAGACAGGATCTTATTCTGTCCTGTCACCTAGGCTAGACTGCAGTGGCATAATCACAGCTCACTACAGCCTCCACCTTCCAGGCTCAAGCAATCCTCTCACCTCAGCCCCCTGAGTAGCTGGGACTACAGGCATGTGCCACCATACCCGGCTAATTTGTTTTACTTTTTTGTGGAGACAGGGTCCCACTATGTTGCCTAGGCTGGTCTCACACTCCTGAGCTCAAGTGATCCTCCTGCCTTGGCTTTCCAAAGTGCTAGGATTGCTGGCTTGAGCCACTGCATGAGGCCACGATTCCCTTTATATTTTTATTTTTGTGCTCTGTCCACACAGCTAAGGTCCAGACCTCAGCCACTGCACACTTTAGCTGGGTCCTCACAACTCTAATCCTATAGGCCTGAATAATGTCAAATCTTACAGAGAAGAAATAAAAATTTGCAACTTGTTTATTAATAAGTTAGTCCTATTGAAGGCCAAAAACAGTTCAGCTGTGTTTGTTATCAACTCTCCTCCTTACACGTTATTATTATTATGTTCTATTAACATTAACCAGAGGTTACGTTTTGGTCAGAACTTAGAAATTAAAGACTGAAAGAGTCACAGGATGTGGGAAAGCATCTAGAAATATTTTTGGTCCAGTCCTTCTGTCTGAGGCAGATGTTTTAACTATGTTCAAATACAATCCAGAGTTAGAGAGCCACATAATATTTTTTGGTGGCAACTTCTGCTGTTTACTTTTTGTTTAATCCCAGTAATCAAATAAATGTCTTCTCCATTTCACACAAATTTCTACTGCTTTCATTTCAGTTCCTTTTCTTCTGCTTCATCTTCTGAGAACATGAAGAACAAGTGTTAAGAACTCTCTTTAGAGAAATCCTTCATAGATTCACAGAGATTAATTAAATCACAGTTCAGCCATCTCATCTTCAAGTTAAACAGCTCTAGTTCCTCTGCGCTAACTCATGGGGGTTTTTCCATTCCTTTCGTCCCAGGTAGAGCCGTCCCTGGATGCTCCCTCTCTTCGGAGCAGCAGTGCTTAATGAATGCAGCAATGGCCTAGCGTGGAGTATAAAAATGATGGTTTAGGCTGGGCACCATGGCTCACGCCTGTAATCCTAGCACTTTGGGAGGCTGAGGCAGGCAGATCACTTGAGCCCAGGAGTTTGAGACCAGCCTGGACAACATAACGAAACCCCATCTCTACTAAAAGAAAAAAAAATACAAAAAATTAGCCGAGTGTGGTGGCATATAATTGTAGTCCCAGTTACTCAGGAGGCTAAGGTGGGAGAGTCACCTGAGCCCGGGGAAGTCGAGGCTGCTGTGAGCATGATTGCACCACCATACTCCAGCCTGGGTGACAGGAGTGAGGCTTTGTTTAAAAAAAAAAAAAAAGATGATTTGGCATTTTGGCCTCCTTTATTGGGTCCCAGGGTCACTTTAGAACTTATTTTAAGTTTTAGACTCACAGATATGTTAGAGGTACAGGAGTCACTTTGTTCTAACCCATAATTTTATAGCTGAAGAAGCATGGGTCAAAGAAGACAGCTCAAGGTTACTCAGACAGAGTGGCTGAGCTGTATTTGGAACCCAGGTGTTCTGACTTCGCATCATGAGTCTCCAGTCTCTTCTGCTCAGCTTGGGGTCGCCTGGCTGTGGCCTCCCACCTGCTCTGAATGTCTGTCCTCAAATTCCCACTGAGAACAATAGGACCGGAGCACCCTGCCGCTGGCACAGAGGACAATCTCCATGGCAGCGCTGTTTGAAACAGGGAAGACAGAAAACCCCGGGGCACCCTATGCCATGGACTATTCTGAAGCTGTTAAAAAGAATGAGGATGATCTAAATATACTGCGAGGGAGTAATCCACGAGATATACTGTTCAGTGGAAAAAAACAACTTGCAGAGCAGCAAATAAAGTATACGATTCCATGTGTGTTTGAAAGGAGTACACAAACACACAGATAGGAGTCTGTATAGAAATTCCTAGAAAGATACATATAAAACTGTGAACGACAGGATGGGTGTTGATGCTAAAGACCTTTACTTTTCATTTTACACCCTTTAGCAGCGCTTGAATTTTTAACCATGTGATTTTATTACTTTTATAATAAAAATCATATAAATATTTAAAATGTTCATGCCGGGGATTTTCAGTTTGTTTTACTTGTCATGCTTCTCTGTTCTTTGACTTTTTCAACTACCATGTGTTAACTTGCATAATTAGAAAAAGGATATTAAAAAGAAATACACATGAGCAATAATGTTCTGCATCTGAATACTTGTTTTATAGCAGTGCTGTTAGGACACAGGGCCCAGAGAGATGATAAATGCTGCATAGGTGAGATCAGACTGTAACCTGGCAGTGATTTCTCAGATGGCGCATGGGGTGTCTGCGTGTGTGCCTGTGTATGTGGAGCTGTGTGCAGCTTGTTTTTGGTAGTCACAATGACTAAGATGGCTGCTACCGGCACTGAATACACTGAAGCTGAGAATGCTAAGACTGTCCTGCCCAAAATCCCAGGGTAGCCCTCCTGAGAAACACTGGTAGAATATTTAAAATAAAAGTTTTACAATGTCTCTATCTAGTCCCTTATTTGAACTTCACATCCCTTTTGAGGTTAAAAAAAAAGGATTCATTATTGCCTCTTGTTGATAGGAAGGAAACATCTGAGAGGTAGGTTACTCGAAGGTCTCAGAAAGGGAGCTTTCTCTGAGAAAGAAAGGCAGGATGGTAGCAAGATTGTACCGAGCAACCAAGAGGCAAGAGCACTTGTTGAATGCTTGTGCATATAAATACTGTACCACAACTGTGACATCCCTTACCACAGTTAATAGGGTGGTATTCTCCCTATTTTACAGGTGAGTAAACTGAAGCCTTGTATTAGACCACCAGCCCTAGGGCACTTGGCTAGTAAGTGGCTCAGCTCAAACCTGGGTCTGTAGGAGGTTTCTAAAGCCCTTGCTCGTCACATTTCCCCATGTGGCCTCTCTCACAGCCATGCAGGGAGACCAGGTGGCACCTGGAAGCAATTTCTCCCTTGGTTTTCCCCATGGACCCATGCTACTTTGGTAGGGAATTCACAGTAGGAAATTAACCTCTGTCTGCAAGGGCCAATTATACAGTCTAGGATTAAAAAAGAAATGTGGGCCCAGACCCAGGCAAAACACTGGCTTCCTCACCCTGTGCTGCTGCTGGTGGAGGTGGCTGGGATGGGAACAGGAGGGGTGGCAGGAAACCCCATTCTATTTTGAGAAAATAGTTGTGTTTGATTATCCAATAATACCAAGCTATAAGGCTGGGACAACTATGGATTTTCCCTAAATTTGAAAAATAGTGACTCATTAACTTCCCACTCTGAAGGTAGATCTATTCAAAAGAAATTTAATTCCCTGTAACAAGCACTAAGGAGGAGTCAGAGTTACTGCAGAGGCAGACTTCTGTTAGGAAAAGGAGTTCAGACCTGAGAGCACCTGCTGGTGCACAGCAAAGGAGAACGAGCAGCTTCTAAGAGGACTTCCTGCCATCCCACTGACCTTGGCTTCTCTCACTGTGTCCTCTAATGCAGGCACATGGACTTTTTGTTGCATTTGTATTTTATACTTTGTCCAGTTCTCATATCCTTAAGACTCATGTCAGGCATGACCTCTTCCGGGAAGTCCTCACTGAGTAGTCTAGTTGGCTCAGGGACTCCCAAACCCCTAGTATTGCCTTCTCTCTTGTACTGATCTCATTTGACCAAGGACTCTTTCTCTGATTACACTGTGCATTGCTTTAGGTTAGAAGACATAGCTCATTCATCTCAGGATTCCATGGCTTAAAAGAGCACGGGCACTCAGACTTGCCTTCTGGATTTGTGGTGGTATGTGAACTCATTTTTCCTGCCGAAGATAGTTTTGATGTGGATCTTGAGAAAGAACGGGACTTCACCAGGTGGGTGAGAGAAAGGCAGAAGAAATAGCATGGACAAAAGAAAGCGTAGAGCCATGGGAATATATGATTAAGAAATAGGTTGTGAGTAGGAAGTAGAGAAGGTGTTTTGTCCAGCTTTTGAAATCAATCTTGTGGGGATAACCTACAATCTCACTTACTATCTGCGTGACCGGAGGCAATTTACTTAGCTCTTTGCCCTTTGCTTTTCTCATTATAAGACTTTAATTAGGTGTATATAAATGGCTTACCACAGCACCAGGCATTCAGTGGGCACTCAATAAATTGTGGTTTTAAATATTATTATTCTGAAAGGGGAGGCATAATTCTCTTGTGGGATGACCTGGGTTCCACTGCTTCTTGGTGTTGTTTGCTTAGAAGTCCAGGATTTAATAACCAACCTGTGCTATTACCTTTATTCATTCAGGTACTTAATTCACCCATTTAATTGATTGTTGAACAGCTACTATTGGCAACATGTTGTGATATGCCGTGATAGCCTCAATGCAAGATGAATTCCCAGCCATTAAAAAGCTCAAAATCTTTCAAGGGGCATGAAGCATAGACCCAAAGCTATGATCAAGACAGAGTCAAAGGGGAGTTGAGGAAAAGGTGCTAAGGGAGCCTGGAGGAAGAGGGGGCATTACTAGAAGGAGAAATTCATTTATGAAAAAGGGGAATTTATGTCTTTTTCTGGTTGCTTTTTAAGATTTTCTCTTTATAATTGATTTTCAGCAATTTTATTACGGTTTTGTGTTTATTCCTGTGACTTGTTGAGTTTCCTGGATTTGTGGGCTTAATTTACATCAAATTTGAAAAAATCTCAGCTATTATTTTTACTGTTTTCATCTCTCTCTTCTCCTTGTGGGACTCTAATTACATGTTAGACCACTTGACATTGTCCCTCAGGTCACTGAAGTTCTGTTCATTTTTTTCAGCCTTTATTCTTCTCTCTTTCTGCTTCAGTTTGGATAGTTTTTATTGCCCTGTATTCAAATTCATGAAACTTTTTATTCCACAGTGTACAATCTGCTGTTAAACCCAACAGTGAACTTTTTATTTCAGATACTACATTTTTCAATTCAAGAATTTCAATTTGGTTCCATTTCTCTATGAAGATGTTCTGTTTGCTCACTCATTATATTCATATTTTTCTCTAATTCCTTGAACAGATTTATAGTATCTATTTTCAAAGTCCTTATTTGCTAATTCCATAATTCCTGTAATCTATGTTTCTACTGAGTAATCTTTCTCTTGGTTATGAGTTCCCTATCCTTCTTCTATGCACACATAATTTTTTATTGTATACTGCACATTATGGATATTAAGATGTTTGGGGTCTGGATTTTGTTGTCTTCCCTAAAAAAATGTTGAGTTTTTGCTTAGGTAGGCAGTTAATTTACTTGCAGATTAGTATGATCATTTCAAGGCTTATTTTAATCACCATTAGATTAGGCCTAAAGTAGCCTTGACTCTATAACTAGATTAACCCTATTCCTAAAGCATGGCCTTTCTCCAGTGTGTAGTGGAAGCCTAGGAAGTTCAACAAGGTCCTTCCCTTCTGGGTAGTTGGAACGGAAACATCTCTCAGCCTGGTGTGAATGTCAGCATGCAGCTGCTTGGTAGTTGTTTTATTTCCTGGCAGTTGTTTTTTCCCCAGTAGATGTTCTTTGACCAGCCACATGAAGTTTTTCCTTGCATATGTGAAGCTTGGCATTTAATCAAAGGCTCATGAGGACCTCAATGCAGATTTCTGTAGCCTTTTCTCTCTAGTACCCTATCCTACAAATTCCAGATTTGTCAATGGCCCTAAACTAGTAGGATGGTTGTGTTCTATCTGAACTCTACTACTTGGGAGTTTTATAAAGTTCCTCTAAGCTGAAAGCTGGAACGACCATGTAACTTGTGTAGTTTTCTACCTCTTGGAAGCCATAGCTTTGTGCTGCCTTTTATCTAAAATCAGAAAATAGTAATTTCATACACTGTGTTCATTTTTACAATCGCTTACGGTAGGATGGCTAGTCCAATTCCAGTTATTCTATTATGGCCAGAGTGGAAGGGTGGGAAATGGAGAATCGGAAGAGTTGTTTGAAGACTAGGGAAGATACAGACATAAGGCAATAAATGAAGAGACACCTCTCAGAAAGAGTATCAATCTCTGTTTTGTGTTAGGCACAGGGGATTTTGTGGTGAATAAGACAAACAGAGACTTGTCCTAATGGAGTTTATAGCTTGTTCTGATCTGTGTTCATTTCCACCATTCCCCGGATGCCTATTCTGTGCAAAACACTGGGGTGTGCAAGAAGTTGGTATTACAAAGAAGAATAAAACGCAATTCTGGTCTTCAGGGATTTCATGTCTTTTGGGAGATATGAACTAAGAGATAAATAAAGAGTTTCAACATAAAGTAGTGAGTGAGGTGACAAAGTTATGCCAAGAGTGCTATCGGGTAAGGGAGATGGACTTGGAAGTCTAGCCTCCTCTATGATATATGCACTATATTTCCTAGAATGAGTAAGAGTTAACCAGGAGTGGAAGGAATAGAGTGAGGCCCTCTAGAAAATAGCAACAAGATAATCAAAAGCACAGAGACACACCGTACCGGCTGAAAACTGTAAGCATCTCAGTGTGATAGGATGAGATAAGACTGGAGAGGCAGATCAGCTCTTAAAGGGGTTTGCATGCCATGTCAAGAGTTTAGATTTTGTCCTGAGGGCAATGGGGGAGCCATGGAAAGCTTTGAAGCAGAGGAGTGACGTCCTGAAAACTCCTGTCCTTGACATCTCCCAGCTGGCAGGGAAAGTACTGAGTACTCAAAAGGGGATTTATGGGACTGGAGAGGGCTTAGAAGTCAATTACCTTCTACCAGGAATTTGAAGGACCCTTTCATAAGAGCCATTTGGATTTCTAAAAAAATAGTATAAGACACTTACAAACAAATGCTATGGGTCAAAATCTTGTCAACAGAGATACAGAAAAGTAGCAAATGCAGCAGGAGGAGATGTGCTTCTTCAGGTAAGTGGTGGGTGGAAAAGAATTATAAAATTTTAAAGTTAGAATGGGCCTTGAACATCACTGCTTTTTTTTTTTTTTCTTAATATATGACATTGGAGGCAACTAAGATTCAGAGAGATGAGATGCAGAGTGAGGGTGGCAAGAAAGGCTTTGGAGTTAGGCTGACCTGAGTTTGAATCCTGGATTGACCATTTTACTAGCTGAAACCTTGCATCGATCACTTAAGCTCTCTGAATTTTAGGTTCTTCACCTGCACAATGGGGGATAAGAAAACCTACCTGGCTGAATTGCAGTAAGACTCATAAGAGATCAGTGGAGTGGTTCCCATTGAGCCTAAACTGAGATCGCTTATGTAAGGTCATCAGCTCCTTAGCTGCTCCTTTGCTCAGCTGATTTACGTGGAGAGAAGAAAGCCGCAAGGAGGACTGTTTCCTTAGGAACAGCCTCAAAAACTAGGGGGAATGGCAGTGGATTTTAAAGATGGCTGCAAATTCTTTGTCACTAACCTCATCATGAGCTAGGGCTTATTTTCTTTCCCCTTGAATCCTGGCTGGCCCTGTGACTACTTTAACTAATTGAATGCAGCAGATGCTAGCTCTGGGCCCACACCCTAAGAGAACTAGTAACCTATGCTTCCTCCCTATTGGAACACTCTTGAGATCCAACTATCATGAAAAGAAGTCTAAGCTAGTTAAGTGGAAAAACCACATGGAGAGACAGCGGTGCCAGCCTTCCAACTGACCCTGTGAAGGCACAGAACACATGAGTAAAGCCATCTTCGATGTTTTAGCCCCAGCCAAGAGCTCCAGCCACCATGCGACTAAAGCCTCATAAGAGACCCTGAGCAGAACTTACAGAGCTGCCCAGTCAACCCACAGAATTATGAAAAATAACACATGGTTGTTATTTTAAGCCTTTAAGTTTTAGGATAGTTTGTTACACAGCAAAGGATACCCAGAAGGGATAGGAAGGTTTGCTCTCCTGCCTGGGCCCAGGGTCAGCTCTGAGCCTTATTGGGAAGCTGAAGAAGCTATTAAATAGTGGACCCAAGCAGTGCTGCTTTGGGGCCTAGGAATCAAGGTTAGCATGGAGTCAAGGTGAGGCTCCTTCTCTTCCCTTCTCTAGGAAACAGCATGTTTATGGTACACTGTAGACAGTGCAGTGATTAAGGGTTTGCAGCTTTGGGATGACCCTGGGGCAGAAGAATGGTGGTCTTGTGGAGGGCTCCAGCTGTAAGGGCCGGGGCATGGTTCCACCTTCCCAGTGGCTTGTAGTCAGAGAGAATATTAACAAGGGGTGCGATGTGAAGGTGCCAAAGAAGAGTTCTTCTCAAACACATGGGAGGCCTCTGGAGGCTTCCAGAAAGCCCCAAGGGGGGACCTTCAAGTAAGCTGTAGGTCCTGTGCAAGTTGTTGGGGCGGGGGTAGGGTGGGTGTAGGAATACAGGAAATTTGGATTATTTCCATCAAAGTGACCACAGGCTGCTGAGGCCCAGGAACATTCATGTTTTGTGTATAAAGCTCCTAAGATAGTGTTTGGTACATGGTAAATGCTCAATAAGTGACAGACTTCATCATTAGGAAAGTGGCCCTAAAATTCAGAGCAGTCCAGCGTGTTCTCTCCATGAGACTGTGACCTCTGCAAAGAGCTCACACTATTCTCTGGAGACTCAGGCAAATCCCATCAGTCTCCAAAGTTTACATATGTCCTTGTTTTGGCACAGAAGATAATACTCTGATTTGAGGGTTTATGACTCTGAATCTTAAAGCAAATGTTACCTTTCTTTGCTAAACCATTCAACAAAGAAAGTTGGAAAAAATAAAATGACTGTTACAACTTTAAGACTGGTTAAAATACGTGCCATAGTTATAATTCAGGAGCTACCCACATGCAAAGCACAGTGCCTCTCAGTAGGATGGCTGCAGGAGAAAGGACGTCCCACCATCACCTCTTAGCTTAATGGGGAAAAGAAGAAAGGCCCTGAGCTTCAGCATCCACAGCTGGAATTTATCCATTGTTTCTTTCCCCCTGAAGTTTGGCTTTGATGAATATGAAGACCCAGTGAAACTCTACAGGCCTCAAGTCAGCAAGAGAAAGCTAAGTTCTGGACTGGCGTCTATTATGGGTTGAATGTATGTGTCCCTTTAGAATTTACATGTTGAAGCCCTACCCATGATGTGATGGCATTGGAAGGTAGAGCCTTTTTAGGAGGTAATTAGGTTTAGATGAAGTAATGAAGGTGGGACCGTGATGACAGGATCAGTGCCCTTATAAGAGGAGGAAAAGAGAAGTCTTCTCTCTCTCTTCTCTCTTTCCTTGGTGTATATACACCGAGGAAAGGCCATGTGAACACACAGTGAAAAGGCTGCTGTCTATTAGCCAGAACGTATGCCCTCACCAAAAACCAAATCTGCTGGCACCTTGATCTTGGACTTCCCAGCTTCAAGAAATGTGAGACATAACTGTCTGTTGTTCAAGCCACTAGTCTATGGTATTTTGTTATAGCACCCCAAGCTGACTAAGGTAGCTTATTTGCTCAGTGGTCAATGGAACCACACCCAGGCTTCATGGTACAGTAGAAAAGCACTGAAAGACAGAAATCCAGGCTGAAAACCTGGCTCAGTCAGTTTCAAGCTGGAGGACACTGGGCAAGTCACTTAGCCTCTCTGAGCTTCACTTTCTTTATCTTTGAAATGGCACTAACAACATTGCTCTGTCAGTCTCACCTAGACGTTGTTAGAATCAAAAGAGATTTAAGAGGACTTTAGAAATTATAGGGGGGATTTTGGCCTATGGCCAAATGAGGAGGTTGACAAATCATCTCTTCTCAAAAGGAAATGTAAAGTTTGACAAAATTGACAAAAATAACTATTTTAATTTTCTGGAAATTGACAAAAGGCATATAATGATCTCCGAAGTGATTATGCTTGAAAAACTGCTATATTTTAGGTAAGAACAGTGGGACTCAGTGGTGTTATCATCCTGGGCTTGTTCTGTCCACCACGCCTTGGCCAGCACAGTTCTGCCAGGGTGAAGTTGCTATGAGGATTGGCAACTTGGCTTACAAGGTCAGTGGGAGCAGCAGCTGATGCCCATGGCTGGTGGCATTGTCGTAAAAGTAGTGACTCTTGGCAGCAGGTAAGTGGGGAGGGCCAATGGTTCTGGTAGCATGAGGTCATAGTGGGGCAAGCATATTCTTGGCTGAGATGTGAATGAATAGTGGAGTCCAGAGAGGTTCCAGACCATTCTCATACTTCTGGCCAACCCTGAGGATGCATAAATGAAGGCATGCATACATACAGGAGATGTAAAAGGACCCAGTGGAAATCAAAAGCCAGACAGGTTTTAAAAAGACCTAAGCTTTGAATGTATTTCCCTTCATCTCACATCTCCATTGGCAGAACATCTGGCTCAAACACATGGAAGTGTTTTGAGCACAGTCTCTGTCCATCTGTCCATTGGTTGATCACTAAGCTATGTAGTCAGAAGCTGAAAAGTGACAAGAAAAAAATCAAGTGATTAGGGACACCAGTGGTCACACCGCGGGAGAGAAACATTTCACAGATTTAGCCCAGACATGTTCTAAACAAAGATAAACAATGGGCTGGGCGGGGTGGCTCACGCCCGTAATCCTAGCACTTTGGGAGGCTGAGGTGGGTGGATCACGAGGTCAGGAGATTGAGACCATCCTGGCTAACATGGTGAAACCCTGTCTCTACTAAAAAATACAATAGAAATTAGCCAGGCGTGGTGGTGTGCGCCTGTAGTCCCAGCTACTCGGGAGGCTGAGGCAGGAGAATGGCATGAACCCGGGAGACGGAGCTTGTAGTGAGCCGAGATCACACCACCGCACTTCAGCCTGGGAGACAGAGCGGGACTCCATCTCAAAAAACAAAACAAAACAAAACAAAAAAACCACCAAAGATAAACAATAAATAAAAAGAGAACAGTAACAACAATCTTCATAAGTGAAAATTAGAATCCAGAGTTGTTACAATATAGTAACTGAAGTGTCCAGTTTTCAACAACAAAATCAAAATTACAAGACATGCATACAAAGAAACAGGAAAGTGTGACCCATACTTAGGAAGGAAAGCAGTCAATAGAAACTGACTGAGAGTGGGACAACATTAAGCCCAACAACAAACATATAATAAAGGCTCCAGGAGAGGAGAAAGAGAGAAACCAGAGAAAGAGAAGAGAGAGGTGCAGAGGAAATTATTTGAAGAAATAATTATTAAACTTCCCCTTATTTGATGAAAAACATTAATCTATATATCCAAGAAGCAAAATGAACCCCTAGCAAGATAAATGAGAAGAGATCCATACAGAGACACATCATAAACTGTTGAAAGCCAAAGACACAGAGAAAATTTTGAAAATTGGTAAGAGAAAAATGACTGATTGTTTACAGGAAAGCATCAATACAATTAATGGCTGACTCCTCATCTTAAACAATGGAGGGCATATCAGAGCTGTTAGAGAAATAACTGTCAATGAACAATTTTATATCCAGCAAAACTATCCTTAAAAAGTGAAGGTAAAACAAAGACATTCTCAGATAAACAAAGACTGAGAGAATTTACTGCTAGGAGACCTGCCTCACATGTCTAAATCAAGTCTTTTAAGCTGAAAGGGAATAATATTGAGATATACTCAAATCCACAGAAAGAAGTGAAAAGCATCAGAAATGGAAAATACACACATTAATAAAAATAAACCTATCAATATAAATTTTCTCATTTCTTCTCTTAATATCTTTAAAAAATATAAGATTGAGTGAAACAATAATTATAACACTGTATAGTTAGGTTTATAATATGTATATATATATATGTGTGACAAAAAATAGCAAAAGAAAGAAGAAAGGAATACAGTCATCTTGGAGCATAGTTTTCAGGTTTTAGTGAAATTGGTAGTGACAAAATAGATTGTGACAAATTAAAATGCATTTTGTATTCCCTAGAGCAACCACTAAAAAAAATCCTCAAGATATAGTTAAAAAAATCAACAAAGGTATTACAATGCTACATAAAAACTTTATTTAACATACAAAAGGTAGTAAAATAGAAACAGAGAAATAAAAAAGACAGGGAAGTTATCAAAAGCAAATAGGAAGGGCCGGGTGCAGCGGCTCATGCCTGTAATCCCAGCACTTTGGGAGGCTGAGGCAGGTGGATCACCTGAGGTCAGGAGTTCTAGACCAGCCTGGCCAACATGGTAAAACCTTGTCTCTACTAAAAATACAATAATTAGCCAGGCCTGGTGGCATATGCCTGTAGTCCCAGCTACTTGGGAGGCTGAGGCAGGAGAATCACTTGAACCCAGGAGGTGGAGGTTGCAGTGAGCTGAGATTGCACCACTGCACTTCAGCCTGGGTGACAAATTGAGACTCCATCTCAAAAAAAGGAAAGTAGCAAATGTAAATCCAATCATATAAATAATGACAGTAAATATGGCCTAAATGACCCAATCAAAAGGCTGATATTGTGACAGCAGATAAAAAAGCAAGATCCAATGATATATTGTCTATAGGAAACATACTTTAGATTGTAAGACACAAACAGCTTCAAAGTAAAAGAATGGAGCCAGGAGAAATGTCTGCCACTGAGAGGCTGGGACATCAGGAAGACTGATACATTCTAAGTGGATCTTCAGAGGGAAGACATTGATAGTGGATGAAGGGAGGATGCAGATGCTGGGCTGAAGGCGGGGGGAAGCTGGGAACCCTGCATGGGGCTACTGAGCACCAGCCTGGCCCTCAGCAACTCCTGGGGAAGGGTTGGGTTGAACAGGCAAGGAATGGCATGCTCTTGCCATGAACTTCCAGAATCCTGGCAGCAGGAGACCCCCCCCAAATCCCATGAACACTTGAGCTGTCAAGGAGAGATGCTTATAGAGGTTGTAGGAGCAGGGCTCCAGCCTGCGCAGAGCCCAAAGGGTTTGGTGCAGGAACATCTGCAGTAGAGCACGGCCAGGGATGGCCATTCTCCATGGCTTACTATTCTCCTTTAGGAGATTTTAGCCTTGAGGGGGACTACTGAAGCTGGACAGAGCAGGGTGGTCTTACTTGTGAGATACAGCCAGTCTGAACTAATTGCCCCCCTGTATGTTGGCCTCTCCTGGGACCCGAGTTTGGCCATGCCTACTTGCAATGCAGCCTTGGATGCCCAACCAGGGTGCATCCTGGGGGCTCTCACCATAGCTCCTTTGTCAGCAAACCATGCCTGACCATTGGAGAGCTCCAGCAGAACATCCCCTGCCAATGTGCACCAACTCACCTGTATTCTTCCCCCAATGCCTGCAGCCTCCCTCCACTGTTTTGCTGTCATGCATTTGCCCATAGCTCCCCATCTCCCCTGCTTTTCTGGTGCATCCAGGGTGCACCTGGCTTCCCCACCCCCACCAGCACATGTGTGCAAGCATACCCCACTGCACTAGCTGGCATGAGCACACCCTGCCATCCCCACCCCCCCACTGATACATGGGTACCTGGTTGTGCTGCCCTTGCTGGCATGAAAGCACATACAAACACTAGTGGCCCTGCACCTCCCCTTCTGTAAACGTGTGCACAGAAGCCAGCAGCTTTGTGCCTGCCAGCACCTCACTCCTGCCAGTGCAAATGCACACAGGAATGTTGGGGTTCACTCCTGTGAGTACTCTGCCCCAGCCAACACATGGGTACCCTGCCATGCTGCTACAGCTACTGACATGTGCAAGTGAAATGGATCCTGCTGCCCCTTCCCTGATGAGGTGCTCTGGCTGGCACCACCCATTGGAGTGTTGTGGCCAGTGAACTGGGAACACCTCAGCCCCTCCAATGCAGCAGGTTCCTAACCTCTAGAACAAAGGCAGGGGCCCAGTACTAGTTTCCAAGAGTTACAGCACACAGCCCAAAAGTGCCAAGCTGAGTCTTGGCCCTCTAAAATCTTCAAGAAACAAGGCTAGTTGAGTGAATCCACCTTATACCAAAATCAAACCCCCAAGCGCATCAAACAAGATAAAATCAAAAAAACCCATTGGAAGGATAGCAACTTGAAAGACTGAAGGAACATCAGCCCACACAGATGAGAAAGAACTAGTGCAATAACTTTGAGATTTCAAAAAGCCAAGGGGTCTTCTCATCTCCAATTGACTGCACTAGTTCCCCAGCAATGATTCTTAACCAGGCTGAAATGTCCAAAACTAAAGAAACAGAATTCACAATATGCATAGGAGCAAAGATCATCAGGATTCAGAAGAAACCTAATCCAAGGATTCTAAGGAATACAACAGAACAATACAGGAGATGAAAGATAAAATGGCCATTTTAAGAAAGAACCAAACTGATCTGATAGAGCTGATCTGATACAGCTGATAAATTCACTTTAAGAATTTCATAATACAATTGTAAGTATTAACAGTAGAATTAACCAAGCTGAGAAAACAGAGCTTGAAGACCAGTTCCCCAAAATAACTCAGTCAGACAAAAATAAAGAAAAAAGAAGAAAGAAGAATGAACAAAGCCTTTAAGAAATATGGAATTGTGTAAAGAGGCCAAATCTGTAAGTCACTGGCATCCCTCAAAGAGAGGAAGAGAAAGCAAGCAACTTCATATTTGAGGATATCACCCAGGAAAATTTCCCCAACCTTGCTAGAGAGGCCAACATTTAAACTCAGAAAATGTAGACAACCCTTGTGAGATACTGTACAAGATGGCCATCCCCAAGACACACAGTCTTCATATTCTCCAAGGTCAAAATGAAAAAAAAAAAAGTTAATGGCAGCTAAAGGGAAGGGGAAGGTCTCCTACAAAAATAACTCCATCAGGCTAACAGCAGAACTTTCAGCAGAAATCCCACAAGCCTGAAATTGGGGGCCTATATTCAGCATTCTTTAAGAAAACAAATTTCAACCAAGAATTTCATATCCAGCCAAACTAAGCTTCATAAGCAAAGAAGAAATAAAATACTTTTCAGATAAGCAAATGGTAAGGGAATTTGCTACCATGAGACCTGCCTTACAAAAGGTCTGCAAGGGAGTGCTAAATATGGAAAGACAAGATGGTTACTGGTCTTCAGTAACTGCTAGATATTGTACAAGATGACCATCCCCAAAGGTCTATGTACACACATAAGTATATAGACCATTGACACTATAAAGTGACAACACAATAAAGTCTGCATAATAACCAGCTAACAACATAATGACAGGATCAAATCTGCACATATCAACTCGGATAAAGAAGCAAGACCCAACTGTATGTTGTCTTCAAGAGACCATCTCACATGCTATGGCACCCACAGGCTTAAAATAAAGGAATGGAGAAAAATCTAGCAAGCAGAAAGCAAACAGAAAAACACAGGGGTTGCTATTCTAATTTCAGAAAAAAAAAAAAACAGACTTTAAACCAACAAAGATCAAAAAAGACAAAGAAGGGCATTACTTAATGGTAAAGGGTTCAATCCAACAAGAAGATCTAGCTATCCTAAATATGTATTCATCCAACACCGGAGAACTCAGATTCATAAAGCAAGTTCTTAGAGATCTAGAAAGAGAGTTGGGTAACCAGATAATAATAGTGGGAGCTGTCAATGTCCCACTGACGGTAGGAGATAGATCACCAAGGTAGAAAACTAGCAAAGAGATTCAGGATCTGAATTCAATGCTTGACCAAATGGACCTAACAGATATCTACAGAACTCTCCACCCCAAACCAACAGAATATAAATTCTTACCATCTGCACAAGGCACACACTTTAAATCGACTACACAATCATCGGCAAATTAAGAGATACCAACCACGCTCTTGGACCACAGCACAATAAAAATAGAAATCAATACTGAGAAAATTGCACAAAACCATACAATTACATGGAATTAAATGGAAATTAAACAACCTTTTGTGTAAAGTATGAAACTAAGGCAGAAATCAAGAAATTCTTTGAAATTAATGAGAACAAAGATACAACATATCAGGATCTCTAAAGCATTGTTAAGATGAAAGACTATAGCGCTAAACAGTCACATCAAAAAGTTAGAAAGATCTCAAATTAACAACCGAACATCACACCTACACTAACTAGAGAAACAAGAGCAAACCAACTCCAAAGCTAGTAGAAGACAAGAAATAACCAACATCAGAGCTGAATGGAAGGAAATTGAGATGCAAAAAACCATAAGAAAGATCAATGAATCCAGGAGTTGGTTTTTTGATACAAGTAAGACTGACAAGCTGCTAGCTAGGCTAATAAAGAAAAAAAGAGAGAAGATACAAATAAACACAATCAGAAATGACAAAGGTGACATTATTAATGATCCCATAGAAATACCAAAAAAAAAAAAAAAAAAAACAACTCTGACTACTATGAATACCTCTATGTACACAAACTAGAAAACTAAGTAGGAATTGATAAATTCCTCAAAACATACAATGTCCCCAGATTGAACCAGGAAGAAATTGAATCCCTGAACGTACCAATAATGAATCCTGAAATTGAATCAGTAATGAAAAGCCTACCCACCAGAGAAAAACCAGGACCAGATGGATTCACAGCTGAATTCTACCAGATGTATAAAGAAGAGTTGATCCATTCCTACTGAAACTATTCCAAAAAATTTAGGAGGAGGTACTCCTCCCTAACTCATTCTATGAGGCCAGCATTATCCTGATACCAAAACCTGGCAGAGAAAAAGAGAAAACTTTAGGCAATATCCTTGATCAATATAGTTGCAAAAATCCTCAACAACGTATTAGCAAGTCAAATCCAGGAGCACATCAAAAAGGTAATCCACCACGATCAATTAGGCTTATCCCTGGAATGCAAGGTTTGTTCAATATACGCAAGTCAATAAATGTGATTCATCACATAAACAAAACTCAAAACAAAAACCACATGATCATCTCAAAGAGGCAGAAAAGGCTTTCAATAAAATTCAACATTGCTTCATGTTAAAAACCCTCAACAAACTAGGCATTGAAGGAATATATACCTCAAAATAATAACAGCCATCTATGACAAACCCATTACACTGAATGGGCAAAAACTTGAAGCATTTCCCCTGAGAGCAAGAAAAAGAAAAGGATGCCCACTCTCACCACTCCTATCCAACACAGTTCTTGAAGTCCTAGCCAAAGCAATCAAGAAAAAGAAATAAATAAAAGGCATACAAAGAGGAAGACAGCAAGTCAAACTATCCTTGTTTTCAGATAATATGATTCTATACCTAGAAAACTCCACAGTTTCTACCCAAAAGCTCCTAGATCTGATAAATAACTTCAGCCGAGTTTCAGGATACAAAATCAGTGTACAAAAATCAGTAGCATTTCTATACACTAACAATGCCTAAGCTGAGAGCTAAGTCAAGAAAAAGTCTGAAATCACACAAAGTATTTTTTTCACCACAACAGAATTATATTAGAAATCACCAACAAAAAGAAATGTAGGAACTCTACCTGCTTTCTGGTTCAGCAAAACATGGCCTACAGTAGCCAGGTGATGGGAAGCTATCCCTCTCCTGGGAGGGGAATACTTGCTTTTTGAGGCAGTCATAATGTTTTCCTCACCACTTCTCTTTTCCCCTCCCTAATCAGTACCTCCCTTTCTACCCCCTACTCAGTACCTCCCTTTCTACCTTCAGTTAGAAATTGCAACCCCAAGAAAATGGGTGGCACCTTACCTATTGGGATACCTTCAAGTTGGTTGATGGTCAGTGTCAGAAACTATAAAGATGGAGTATTCATTTTCATGACCCCAAACACATAATAGGATAGCTATGATATACGCAGATCTAAATGTGATGCTCTAGCAATACTAAGAAGGCAGGAAAGTACAGGGCAGGCTCATTTACTGAGTTCAGAACCTTGGTCAGGTATCACACAAGGCATTTTAATATCTGATTCCTGTGAATCTTCACCAAAACTCTATGAGGTGTAGACGTGATTCTCTTATTTAACACACTAGATAACTGAGGCTCAGATAGGTTAAGTCAATCACCACCCAAAGCCACATAGGGTGCATCAGGCCTGGGATATATATCCACCAAATTTAGATATACAGGCACAGGCCTTAAGGCCTACATTAGAAACTTTGCTATCTTTTGTTACAAAGAATAGAGTTGCAGAAAACTCTGAATGTGAAAAAGCACATAGAACATTGAATTTTCTTAGAAGCTTAAAAGATGAGTTCTTGTGATGGTTAATTTTTATGTGTCAACTTGGCTGGACCACAGAGCACAGATATTTGGTCAAACATTATTCTGGATGTTTCTGTGAAGGTGTTTTTGAACAAGAATAACATTTAAATTGGTGGACTTCGAGCACAGCAGATTGCCCTCCTTCATGTAGGTGGCCTTCATTCACTCAGTTGAAGGCCTGAATAAAACAGAAGACTGAACCTCCCCCAAAGAAGAGGAAACCCTGCAGCAGATGGCCTTTGGACTTGGACGGCAACGTTGGCTCTTCCCAGGTCACAAGCTTGCCAGCCTACCCTGCAGATTTTGGGCTTTCATAATCATGTGAGCCAATTCTTTAAAATAAGCCTCTTTCTATATATACAGACATCCTGTTGGTAGTATTTCTCCGGAGAACCCTAATACTGTGCCTAAATGCTATTTGAATGGTTTTACTTGACTGGAGTATGGAAATATTCTGTGATAATATTTTAATAAAATGGGTAGAAAGAGTGGGGGCTGGAGCGGGGAGCAGTAGTAGGGGAAGATGGGAGTTTATTATCCTCACTCTCCGAATGAGAAAACCAGAGCTGAGAGAGAGACTATGTGAGTGATTTCCCTTGGGTGACAAAGCTGACTGGGGGCTAAGCAGGGTGTAGAACACAGGCCTCTTGGAGCCCGTTTAGTGTGGAAAGCAGTGGCTGTGTCAGGCATCCACTGGGGCACTGCAAGCGGTATGCAGGCAATGGACTCCTGACCCATCCTTAGGTCTGGTCGTTGCTAAGAGGCTGCGGAGACCCTTTCCTGAGACAAGGAGTAAGGCAGGCTCCTTCCAGAGGGCTGTGGGTGTCCACTAGCTGGGGCCTCCTCCCCACCTGTCTAGGGGCAGACAGGAAAAGAGCACTCCAGCCAAAGTAGCTCCTCCTCCAACACCCTTCACAACCCCTTTTTCTTCTTGAAGGATAGCCATCTTTCCTAAATCCTCTCCCTTGCTTGGCCAAATCCGTGTACCTTCCTGAAAGAACAGTGGGAAGTTGGCTCTTTATCATGACTATGCACTGCACACTCGGCACAGGCCCATTTCTTCCTTTTTTTCCCACCAGTTCTGCCCTGGATCCCTGTCTTGACTTGATGCCTGGAGTTCTACCAGGCATCACTTAGCAATGCGCCAAGCCACTGGGTTTAAAACAGCAGGGGACTTGAGAGTTTCAAACCCGCAGCTCTTGGTCAGTGAATGGGATTTTTATGAGGCCGCTGGAATCAGTCTTGCATGCAGGGTGCTAAAAATTTTTATGGCTGGCTGGGATTCGTTGGAAGCGCCAAGCTGGAACGTGATGGAGTTACCCATTAGAGAATGTCCCCAGGAAAGTGGGCTTGCATGGTTCCCTGGTACTCAGAGGTGTCAGAGAGCTGGTTTTATGGAAAGCAATTTCCTTAGCAAAGAAAAAATATGCTCCAGAGACAGAGCGATTTCAGCACAAGGGCTCTGCCACCCCGGGTTTAACGGGCTTCCTTAGCAGGCGGTCCCTGGTGATTGCAAAGACAAATGGGTCCTACTCGTTCTGGCTGCCAGCAAACTTTTACTTCCCTTCTTTAGAAACATGTATTTTAAACATAGAATAATAAAAATTTAGAAAAAAAGGAAAATGAACTGTAGTGACATCATTCACACAACACTATTAACATTTTGTTATATATACACATATTTTTGACATAGTTTTGACATAGCTATGATACAGTTTTATACCTTTTGCTTAACATTTTATGATAAACACTTTGAAGCCATGAAAGCCTCTTTGTAGGACTCATTTTAAGTAACTTTATAATATTACATTAGCTTGGTATGCCATAAAGTGGTAGTACTATTTTCCATACTGTGGGATATGGAGCTGGTTTCTGATTTTTTTTTGTGATTATAAATAATGACATCATGAACATCTGGTAACATAAAGCTTTGGTCCTATTTCGAATGAGATCCTTGGAATAGATTTCTAGAAACACAATAATGGGGCCAAGGGATGGACATATTTTAAAGTGTCCTGTTATATATTGCCAAGTTGCTTTCCATAAAGGTGATCAGTTCACATTTCCATCCACCCTCCATGAGAGTGTCTATATCACCACGCCCTTGCCAACACTGAAATCTTTAATATAAACATATCTTCTATGTAATTTGCTAAGTAAAAAATGCCATCTCTTAGTGTTTTAGTTTGCATTTTTGGATTAATAGCAAAGGTGAACATTTTGCTCATTTGTGTATCATCTGTCTGCATTTCTTCTGTTCTATTGGAGTCTTAGTGCTTTCCTGTTTACTATACAAAGGGCTGTCTGCCATATTTGTTACAAAAATATTTTTACCAATTTGTTATTCCTGGAAAACTTTTCAAGCCCAACCCGAACACTAACCCTTACCCTAACCAAGCTGGACACACGTGGGTTTTTAGTTACTCATGTTTAGTTGTACAATGCTTACCCCAAGGTTATCTCAGGTCCCAGCTTTTGGAGGTTTGGTGTTTAACCTTTGGTTAGGTATGTGGGGTACACAGACTGGGCCCAAATTCAGCTTCAGACACTCAAGCAAGTATTTTATTGTTCTTATGAGCCTCACCCCATGTGCCCAGAACCTGGGGATGTGGAGATGAGAAAGGCACAGACCCTTTATGAGCTTGCAGCCTACCTGGAAATAAAACAAGTACACCTGCGACTAGAGTCCAAGGAATGGGGTAATAAATGCCATTTGTGAGGGGTTTGGCCCAACACCTGAGATTCAGGTTCTTTAATTCTACAGAGCATTATGGACAGTTTTTGGATCCTGGGACCCTGATTTTTAGGCCATAGGATCACTTAGTGTTGTTGAGAGGATCCTAGCAATCATTTGCTGAACATCTCCATTTTGCGGATGAGGAAACTGAGGCTCAGAGAGGGCAGGGACTTGACCAACGTCTTGGGGAAAGTTAGTGGCAGGGCTAGTCTGGCATCCAAGCCTCCTGCTTCCCAGTGTAAGCTTTCCCCGAACACTTCAATTTCTTTATATTCCAGTGATATGGTTTGGCTCTGTGTCCCCACCCAAATCTCACCTTGAATTGTAATGATCCCCACATGTCATGGGAGGGACCCTGTGGGAGGTAATTCAGTCATGGGGGTGGGTTTTTCTCATGCTGTTCTTGTGATAGTGATAAGTCTCATGAGATCTGACAGTTTTATATAGGAGAGTTCCCCTGCACATGCCCTCTTGCCTGCTGCCCTGTAAGACCCGACTTTTTCCTCATTCACCTTCCTCCATGATTGTGAGGACTCCCCAGCCATATGGAACTGTGAGTCAATTAAACCTCTTTCCTTTATAAATTACCCAGTTTTGGGTATGTCTTTATTAGCGGTGTGAGAACAGACTAATAGACCCAGTCTTTCCTGTCCTTCTCCTTACCTACCTGGCTACCTTTACATGATACTTTTCATGTGCCAAGCACTAGGACATGGAATTAAAAATACGGTTTCTGCTGCAAAGGAACTCACTGTTTGCGGGGAGAAGGGCTGTGAAGGGGGCAGTGTAAGTACTCTGAGGAATACAGAGTAAGTACTTTGGGCCACTGGGGCTCAGAGGAGACTTGGGGAGGCCAGGGAGGCCGGAAGTCTTCACTGGGCTTCCATTGCTCTGGGGGAGTTTTCCTTAGGGTATTAGTCTGTTATCATGCTGCTAATAAAGACACACCCAAGACTGGGTAACTTATAAAGAAAAAGAGGTTTAATGGACTCACAGTTCCACATGGCTGGGGAGGCCTCACAATTATGGTGGAAAGCAAGGAGGAGCAAGTCACATCTTACATGGATGGTAGCAGGCAAAGAAGAGCTGTGCAGGGAAACTCCCCCTTATTAAACCTTCAGATCTTGTGAGACTTACTATCACGGGAACAGCAGGAGAAAGACCTGCCCCCATGATTCAATTACCTCCCACCATGTCCCTCCAACAACATGTGGGAATTCAAGATGAGATTTGGGTGGGGACACAGCCAAACCATGTCAGGGTTCTAGGGGACAGGAAACCAAGGGAAGGCCAGAGCAAAGGTCCCAGCAGAAAGCCCCTCTTTAGCACCTGTCCACAATGTTTAGGAGAAAGAAGACAGGCTTTAGAGTCAGACTCTGCCCCTTACTAGCTGTGGGTCCTGGAGCAAGTTACTTTATTCTCTGGGCCTTAGTTTTCTGATCTTTAGAATGGGCCACTGGGTTATATGTGAGAAATAAACAAAACACATAGTAGAATGTTTGATGTGTAGTAGGTGTGTTCCCTTCTCTAGTCATCCTTATTAAGCCCTGTTAGAATATTTTCTTTTTGAAACCTACCCTGAATGTATGCTTTAGAAAAGGAAAAACAAAAAACCTTCCGTGAATCCAGAACAGATGGGCCCACGCATGGGCTCTGCCCCACCCTCCCAAGAGGGTGCTCGCTCAGCTTTCTGCTTGCTCCCTTATTGGCTGGGCACTGTTCTGATTCTAGCTCCCTTTTAAGTTGATGTCTGGGCCTCTGAGTTATTCTCTGAGTCAGAATCACAGCAGGGACTGTGTCCTTTCAGGTATCTGCATTTTTCCAAGGCTCTTACATGGGAATTTTGGAGTCCCAGTTCCCAGACCTGTCTTGGCCTTGGTCCTGTTTCTGGGTGCGTTTTCTAGTTGCCTGCCCAAGACTCTCCTAAGCGAGTATTGCCTTGCTTCTGTAAGACCCTCTTCCAAGACTGACCTCCCTGAGGTTCTTGGCTTAGATGCCCAGGTTCCTGAGTGTGGGATGTGGGGCCAGATCCTCTGCCTACACTCTTCCTCCTCTCCAGGAACTGGCTGCTGGTTGGAACCCCAACAGGGGTCTGCACCCCCGCTGGCTTGGCAGCCCCTATCCAGCTTCATGGAGTTGGCTTATGCCTGCTGCCATCTTTTCCCCACTGCCCCACCTGCTGGGAGAAACTTATGGCCTGAAATAATGTAATTTAGAGGAATATTACAACTGGAATCACTAGCACAGTCATCAAGCATAAAGAAGAGTGTGAAATTTCCTCATTAGGGGAGCCTGCCCATCTCTTCTTACTTTTCAAAAATCCAATGACTCTGTCATTCTGATTCAGACTAAATACCGATACAGTTCCTTCTCAGTTCCTTTCTTTAGATGAAACCCCCTTTTCCCTGGATGTAGCCCCCAGCCTATTTCCCACCTCCACGCATCTTTATGTAAAAGTTGGTGGGCAGCAGCCAAGTGGCCTGCTAGAACCCTTGGGACAAACTGCAATCCACGTTGCCAGCCCTGGGAGGATCAAGGAGGAACAAATGCCCAAAGCACATGTCTCCAGAAAAATGAGACCGGCTCCTCTGTCCTGGGGGACGCAAAGTTGAATTTGATCAGCACAATTTCCAGATATTTGAGTTAGAAAGACTCAGAAAAGTCACCATGAGAGTGGCCTCTATTTTTAAGCCGTGTGTATTTGGCTTTTCCCCGACGGCCTCATGTCTGCAATTAGATTCTTCGCCTTGTGGTAGGGCAAGGTTTTCCAAAGCCAAGGTCCTGAAGAAAACAGGAGGTTGCCAGACCATCCTATCTGCTCTTAGGATCTTGCCTGGAAAAGCTTGAAAGATGGGAAGATGGGTGTTGGTGCTTACTGAGTACCTACCATGTGCCAGGCAGTTCCCTCATTTGATCTTTGTAATAACCCTGAGCCCAGGAGAGTACCCTTGTTTCCAAAGGAGAAAATTGAGGCAGTTTTCTCACTGTCTGACACAAAGTGGGTGCTTAATAAATGCTCAATCTGAACTTATCTCCAAGTTCTTGAGAAATGATAAAGTTTTCTGAAAACATGAAGGATTATAATTCTTATTATCAAGGTAGTTTGCTGTGCTGAACGAGATATAGGAGGAGGTACAGGATGATGTTTACTGAGTTTACAGCATATTCACCAGGGGTAGGTGCTCACTGGCCACCACAGGTATGCTCTTCCCTCCAGACACTGACCTGGGGCTGAAAGTGGCTGCTCAGCGAGGACGACCTTTCCCAGCTCCCCTGGCAGCTCCATGGCACCAGTGCACTCCATCTCACAGAACTACCAGAAGGTGTGATTGTTCTCATCCAAGATGGCTAAAAAGTAGCCTTCACCCTTGATCCCTCTTTTGCAGATGACACTGAGGCTCCAGGGGATGGAAGACCAAAGAGAGGAGTCCAGGTTTTTCAGTGATCCCCAACATAAAGAAATGTCTGCTATCAGGAACACTACACCAGACTGATACACGAACAAGATTTATGCAGTCCTTGGAAATGGCTTTCCTACTAATAACTGGCATTATCCTAATATACTCAATGTGGCTGATATTATGGTGCCTCTTTCAGACATTCGGGAAATGGCAACATTCAGGGGGCACGAGAGCTGGTTAAGTGCTTCCTGGTATTTCCTGACTTAGATCCTTCACCAACACCAGCCACCAGACTATCCTCCACCCATTTCCACCTCCCGCATTCCTTGCAACGTCTTCTCAGGCTCTTCCTTGTTAATATCTTACCTATCTTTCCAGATACCCTCCAATTTGCCCCCTCTGGGAAGCTCTGTGTGCCCCTCTCCCAGGCAGAATTAATCCCCTTAAGTCTTTCTATGCTGCTTATCAGACTTGTCCTGTTGTTATATTTTGAAGCTCCTTCCCCCAACCCCCTTCACTGTGTTCTCTGGGCAGGCACCAGGCCCACTGCCTTTCCATCTGCCTCATGGGTGCAGGCCTGGCGCAGCCCAGCAGCCCAATCATGGGGTGGGGAAGTGACTGGAATCTCACACTTCCTCTGGAGCGCCAACAGGGAGGGACTGGTAGAGCTCCTGGAAGGCTGGATGAACAAGATTCCAAGGCCAAATCAGGCTCATGGGAAAGATGGTTATGATCACCCAAGGGTGCAGGAGAAAGCAGCAGCTCCTTGCCTGCCATGAGTCAGCCATTCCAGATCCAACACATACTAAAATTACAGACCAGGAAGTCCTAGAGGAAGTATAACAACTCCTCTGCTGGGCACCCTCCAAAGGCTCTTCAACTGCATCCCAGCCAGAGCCCAGGCCCCCGCAGTGGCCCTCAAGGCCCTCAGAGATCCAGCTGAGTCACTTTTCTAACCACTCTTTAAAATTGCACCCTCCCTCCCTGCTCACTCCCCATCTTATATTCCCGATTTGCCCCTCTTCTTACTTAATTTTTTCTCTATAGTCACTTTTTGACTACCTAACAAAGTCTATGACATTCTTATTGATTTGTTTTCTCTGGGCAGGAACTCTTGTTATCTGTATCCTCAGAGCCCGGCACAGTCTGTGGCACACAGTAGGCAGTCCACAAATATTCATTAAAAGAATAGATAACAAAAGAAGTGAGTGAGCCTGGGACTCATGTCCTGTGCCATTTCGACTATAACAAAAAGCTGCCCTTTTCCTCAGCATCTAACTTAGATGTTGTCATCATGATGCTTGAGCCAAGAGAACCTTAGGAACCATGGCCCAGGCACAGCCAGTTCCCTCTTCCTCCCCACACCTCCCTGGTGATAGAGAGGAAGCCTCTTTCTTAATGCTAATGCTGGCACAGGGGTAGGAGAGGCCACCGGAACTTTGGAATCCATTTATCTATTAATTTATTATCTAATTAAGGCTCACAATGACAGTGCTATTTGTTCCAAAATGCCCTCAGACGAAACCAATACAGCATATGCACATTCTAATCAATTAAAATGGTTCTCCTTAATGTCTGCCTTCAGCAGCCAGTAACTGTTGCACTCCTGGGTCCAGAGCACAAAATACCTTTGCACTTCATTAGGCCCCAAATGGTCTTCATGCACAGAGGCCACCAGGGCTCTTCTGCTTAGAGAGGAGGCAGCTGTTCCAGGATCCTGGGTGATGCATGAACAGGATTCTTTTCAGGGAGAACTGCCTTTCACTTGCCGTTTGCAAATCAAGTTATAACCACAGAGAAAGCCGGTTCTGGGAGACAAGAAGATGGGCAAAAGTGGGCAAGAGTGCCTTAATCTACCACACCTGTAGCCTTGGCCAGGGGCGGTGACTTTTATAACCAGGAAGGCTAAGTGAAGTGGATTTGCAGATAGGTCTCCATGGGATTAATGCTCTCCTGCCTGGACATGCCTCTGCCCCTGCACTAACTTCATTGTTTCACTCTACACAGTTGTAAAGTGTTCCTAAGAATTTGGGAGCCCCTTTAGGATCCACTCATCCCTGTATCTCCAGGCCCTGGCAGAGGGGCACAGGAAGTGTTAGTTGAACTAAACTGAAACATAAATATCTCATTAGGCCATTGGGAAAAAAAGTCTCTGTAAGAAGTGCAGCACAGTAATGATGCTAGTGATCACTAAGGACTTACTGCCTGCCAGGCCCTGTGTGTTAACACATGGAATCCTCACAACAACCATAGAAGGTGGGCATTGCTTTTTATCAACTCATTGTAGGGATGAAGAATTGAATCAGAGCTGGGATTGGAACCCAGGCAGTCTGGCTCCAAGTTCATGGTCTAAGCCACTGCAATCTCAAACACCTTTGCTGCACTGAGTGACGCAGGAATTATTCTCCAATGATGCTCTACTGCCTCCTTAGGTACGAGGAATGCTAGAGGCCACCTCTTTCCATTTCATACTGTGGATCACTAACCTATAGAGAAAAACTACACTGCTGATTTCATGAGAAAAAAAGTCATTTAGTGTGTGTGTGTGTGTGTGTGTGTGTGTGTGTATGTATTCTAAGAAACATTTTTATTGTTCAACTCTCCCACAGTGCAAAACCTATTCAATTAAAACAACAGGTAATAAAAATTATATTGCAGCTTTCTAGTAAAGCCTATTACATGGAAGAACCAGAGAAAGGCGAAAAACTAATTCCACAGTACTTGAGAGTCTGCTGCACTATGTGTCTGGCACTACGCTTACTGCTGGAGGTACCACAATGCATGAAAAAGACATGGTTTCTGCTCTGATGGAGCTTCTAGTTTGGTGAAGAGATAGACAATAAACACAAACAAAACAACCAAAAAGGAATGGTCATAAGTGCTCTGTCAGGTATAAATAAGTAGGACGCCTTGAGAGAGGATACCAAGGCATGAATTCTGATAAGGTGGTCAGAAAAGGCCCCTCAGGAGAGTGAGTTAGATTGGACCTAAAGATGTCAAAAGTGGGTGGAAGAGCATTCCAGGAAGGGGAAGAGCATATGTGTAAAAGCCAAAGGCAAGGGCGAGCCTGATGAGACCAAGGTACTGAGAGTGTGGCTGGGGCATGGTGAGTAGAAGGGTAGGAAGTGAGCTAGAGTGGATCCCAGACAAGGGAGTATTGTAGGCATGGTCAAAGCTCTGGATTTTATTTTAGGAATAAAAAGAAGGTTTTAAGTGGAACACAATGATGCTCTCAAAGATCTATTGTATAGGGGGCAAGAGTGGCAACAAGGAGAAATGTAAACTGGGTATCCCAGCAGCTCAGAGGGGAGATGCTGGGGACTTGACTTAAGGTTATGAGTAGAGAGAAAAGTGAACCTGGGAGACATTTTTGGAGGTGGAACCAACAGGACTTGTTGGTGATTTAGACACAGAAGATGAAGAAAAGGCGAGAATCAAAGATGACACTAGTTTCTAACTTGGGCGAGTGGGTAGATCACTCCATTTACTGAGATGGGGAAGACTTTGGAAAGATAATGGATTTGGGGTCATGATTATGAGTTTTGTTTTAGTTATGTTACGTTTGAGAGGCTACACTTTCAAGCAGAGATATCAACAAATGGTTGGAAACAGAAGTTTATAATTTGGAGGAGGAGTCTAGGCTAAAGATACACATTCGGTTGATATTTAAAGCATGGAAACGAGATTATCTTGAAAGTCAAGGTGGAAACTCTTAAATAACATAACAGGTAATAAAAGAAACAGCATTCATCATGCCCAAGAAAAACTACCCAAATGAAAGTTCATAGTTAATAGCATGTGTGTGAGGAAGTCTTTGGGGGAAGCATTCAGCTTTCAGTCCCATTATTTGGTTCATCAAAAGACCCCAAAGAGATTGAGAGGGGAGGTGAGACTGTGGTCTTGTTAAGAGCATGGTTTGGAGTTAGACAAACCTTGGTTTGAATCCTTTCAACACTTACTTGCTGGGTGACTTTTTGTATGTTACTTTACCTCTCTGACCTTGAGATGCCTCATCTGTAAAGGAGGGACTATAAGACCTATCTCCCAGAGTTGTCATGAGGCTCAATGTGATGTTTATAGATACATAGCATGGTTCCTGGCACAGAGTCAATTTCCAGTGGAACTATAATTATCATTAAGTGGGCTGCATTGAGGTCAGGTGACGAGAATGATGGAGGAGATCAATTTTTTTCTGCTGTGAGCAGAGCAGCCCACCTTTGGTGGGTCAATTGGCCAGCTCTGGGCCTCACACATTCAGAAAGTTGCAAACAGGATCAGTTTAGACATCACACTCTGTGAGGAATGGCTGAAGGAATAGTCTAGATAAAAGAGGCGGAGGCTGGAGGAAGTGGGGTAGGTGGGAGTTTAGTCTCTGCTTTTACATTTCTGCAGGGCTTTTCCAGGGAAGAAATGGCCTTGTTCCAAAGGTGGTGAGAAGAGTGGGTGGCTACTGTCCTGGATACCAGGAAGCAAGTTCTGATGCAGGGCACAGAAGACCTGTTTAGTATGCAACCTCTGAATTTTAAAAAAGGGAAAAAGGCAAAAATATAGACTTCTATTTGCAGAAAGAAACCCTGAGAGGATACACAAAAAAACAAAAAGTGGTTATCTATGGGAAGGGGATAAGGGATGTTGGGAATGGTGGGGGGAGAAGTGGAACTAATACTTTGTAACTACATAGCACTTTATGTTGTTTAACTTTTAAGCCAAGTGAGCATATTACACATTCAAGATATTAAATTAAAAATATAATTGAGGCAAACCTGCAAGCAAGCAGGCAGAAGGCAGGCAGGAAGGAAAGTACATTCTGAGTCTGTGCTCTTGAAATGCGGCACAGGCTGCTTAGGGAGCAGGTCCAGCCTCATGGGCACAGGCCCTGTGTACAGGGCTCAGGCTCAGAAGGGCCTCATCCTTGATTCTAATGCTCTACTGTCACTGTCTTGAAATTCTTAAGTCTTTGAATGTGGAGTCCTGCATTTTCATTTTACACTGGGTTCCACAAATGATGTTAACAGGTCCTGCTGGAGAGGAAAGGTGGTCCTCCCACTTGGGGATGTAAGCTGGGGCTGGAAAACCATTTGGCTGCCTGCTGTGGGATAGTCTCAAGCTGGGGAGGAGGGCTGGGGGATGAGGGCTGGGGGATGAAGCCACTTCTCCATCTGAAATAAAATCTTGTTGCCCAACTGAATGCAAGGACCTCTTAATCCTAGATGTTTGTTACCCTGGAACCCTGAGGCTGGGATGACCACATGTTCCAGTTGGCCCAGGATGATACTGGTTTGTGCCTGTTCTTCCAGTGTAATTATTAGCAGCGATCCCATTCATTCTGAGCCATGTCCTGGTTTGAACAACATATTATCTGGCTACCCTAACCTGAGGTTCTCTTGCCAGCAGCTGGCTCCTTGGTCTGATAGGCCAGGGGTAATCTCATTTCTCTGGGCTGCTTAAGGATCAAGGTTGCTTCCTGGCTCCTGTCCACTATCTCCAGAACCTCCACTCTCACACACATGCACACACACACACACATCCCCCCACACACATCCCTACCCCACATGCCTGGCCTAGCTCACCAGTAAGCTGATTATTTATAATGTGGCAGAAGATAGTTTTAAGATAAAGAAATGGAACTTGGGCCTGATTGAAACAATGTGTGCTTATCTCTGTCTCGGTAGGAAAGAGTGGTCAGAGAGAGATTACTCAGAAGAGGTTTACTTACTTCCCGGAGACCTCTCCCCCACGCTTATTTTCAGAATGGGTTTAATATGTGCATTGTGATTTGAGCCAGGCAGGGAGGGAGAAATGGAAGTGATTCACTCTGGCCATGCTGATCTACATGTTATTCACTGACATTTTTTTAGCCAGACTTTTAAATGAGCAGTCTTAGAATGATAGGGCTGGCAAAGATTATTAAGATTATTTTAGAGATGAGCTAGTACAACTTATTCATTTCACAGAGGGGAAAGCTGAGGACCAGAGAGGAGAGGAGGCTTGCTCCACAGTCTTACAGCTTGGAGCCTTGGCTCCCAGCCCCTCCACCCACCCTCCATCTCTTGGGTTTCTTCTGGGGGACTCCCTATTCCATGGTAGTGGTTTGAATGTCCACTCATGGGGAAGCGAAGCAAAGACTCTACAAAAAATACCCAGAGGCACTTCTGGACAACTAACTTCTCCTCCACACTTCCATGCCTCTGTGAAAGCCACTCCTTCACATGAAATGACATTGCCTGTTTGTACTGAAGACAGTTAATTCCTCCAGGGCCTGGACCTATTACTAGTTTCCTGGAGCCTGGACCAGATCTAGGTAGAGGACGGCAGCAAGGCAGAAGAAAAGATGGAAGTTAGTGCAGCAGCATGGTCACTAACCTGAGCATCCCACTAGACCTTCATTCTCTTACTTCTTTGGGAATGGGGGAAGGAAAAATGGCTACAGTGGAGGTCACAGAGTAGAAGAGCCCATCCTCTCCAAAGCCCAACTCTTCTACCTCTATAACCACCCAGGGTGCCATTTCCCCTCAACTAGCCATAATAGCTGACTCTGCTGAAAAGGCAGAATCATTGTCCCTATCTTTCAGGTTTCTATTTGAATGTCATATCTTCCAGAAAGCCCTCTAAAAGCTAGTTCTTCCTTTACTTTGCTCTCTAAGTACTTTTCCCACATTCTAATTTATTATTTCAGTGAATATTTATTCATCACCCACTATGCACTGTGTTCTATACCATGTACAGGCTCTGTGCTAGAAGTTGAGGCTACAAAGGCAAATAAGATGCCATCATTATCTTCAAGTTTGCAGTCTTGTGAGAGGGGGGTTGAGGAAGTGGAGACACAGACACTATGACATTAGACAGTGAAATTAGAAGGCAGCATTGGGAGTTAAGGGAACATCCCCTCCAAGCAAGATTCCTAGGAGAAACAAGACTTGAATTGCATCTTGAAAGGTAAGCCTGGAGCCTGGGGGTGGGGAATAAAGGTGAAAGTGAAAGACAGGTGCCAAGGCCTTCAGGCACCTGAGTACCTGGTATTCTGTTGCTATTACTTTTCTCAATATCCCACCACCCTGCCAGCCTGTTAGCTTTGTGGAGACTGCCACGGCTCATTCATTTTCTTATCCCCACAATCCCTTGCCCTTTCCCAAAACTCATCACTTCTTTGTTAAATAGAACAGATCAACAATGGCTCTCGCTCAGGGTAAAACAAAGCTTCTTGTCTTCTGGCACAGATGATGTTAGTGTGTGTTACTGATCCAGAGAAATCAAGAGAGCCCCCTTGCTGGAGAGCAGGGCAGCTGGGACCAGCCTTAGCCATCAATTAACACTACTGCAAGATCAACACCGAACACTAATTTTGCAGACACAAAAAGCACTATTAGAAATTTATTTCCAAATGTTGAGCTCATGTCGCTAATTCTGTTTTAATATTAACTATCTCATTTGGCAATTCTATTTCAATAATGAAAAGGTTATCTCTACTGTAAGATAAATAATGAGGAAGACTCACTGGCTTTGACTTGATCATTCAAATTTATGTGTCATTGGAGCTGTATTCTCTATTATGACCCAACAAACTGATTAAATATCAGCCAAGCATGAACAATAGCTTGCAGCTCTAATTCCTCCTTCCCATCCCACCTCTGAAAGCCTTTAAACCCTGGAATGTAAATGCAATTTTTTTTTTCCTGGCATTAAAAAAAACATGAAAAAATTGTATTTTTGACTCTGTTGTCTACTGTTGCTGACAATGTTCAAACCACTTGGGCCTTATTTCTTGTCTGAGATCAGTGATCTATGGGGAAAGGTGTTTCCTAGTTGGGCAAAGGAATCATGGGGTCAGAGGCTTCTTCCTCTTCCCCTGAACTGCTCAGTTCAATTCAACCAACATCGCTGAGCACCTACTCTATGTCAAGCCCAGACCTAGACCTAAGGCCCTAAAGAGAATTCCATAGGGAAAGAAAAACAACTGTTGCTGAACACATGCCTTACTCTTTGGAGTCCCCACAGTACCCTCTGCAGCTGCACACCTAATAGAATGCACAGTGTTGAAATGCCCTTTCCTGAGTGCTTCAGGGATAGAGGATGTGCCTTATTCATCTTTGCATCCCTGCTGGGCCAGCTCAGAGCCTAGCATACAATAGACACTCAACAAATGTTTGGTGGATTTTAACGAATTGCCTGAAATTTTATATACCTTACTGAGTCCTCACAGCCAACCAGAAAGTGACTCTTTATTCTACCCAGCCCTCATCACAACTAAACTTGAGGGTTTCTAAGTCTCTTCTCAAGAATATAAGCATCTGAAAGCAGGAGCCATTTACCATTCATTCACGGGTTCTCAGGAAACTTTTGTTGGATGAATGGCCATGTCTTTTTCAGTGGTTCCTCTTCTATCTAGGACTAGTTTCCTACTGTTTGGGTTCCCTCAGGAGCTAACCCTAAAAAAAGGATTCAAATGCAAGTAGCATCTGAGAGTAAACTACTTATAGGCAAAGGAGTGGGGATGTGAGATAGGGAAGGGAAGGCCCCTAAGAATGGGTGTGTTGCAGAATTGTGCCATCAGATGGTGGGCGGGGGAGCTGGGGTATTTATATGCCTGCCCATCAGTTATTTGTTGGGGGCTGCTTCCAGGGGGTGTTCATACCTTTTCACTTCTGATCTGCTCCATGTATGGGCAAAGCTGCCTTTAGAGGCCAGAAAGAGCTTCAGGAGAAGAAAGTAGACTTGGAAGTTGGGCTGGCTGTACTGAAATGGTCATAGGGTATAAATGGGGTGCCCACTGCCACAGCTGCAGGTGAGTAATTGTGATCACATGATGATGTGGGATGCCTCCAGAACATTCAAAGGGAAAGTGAGACACTCATAGGTCTGGAGGTTAGATAAGAGGACATCAGAGATTCCTTACAGTACTAACATTCTAGAATGCCATGACTTCAGCATACTGGCTTTTAAAGTACAAATCACCTTCAGAAGAAAATCCCTTTGTCTTTGGGTTGAGCAAGTAAAAGACCCAGGGAGAGGTGTGTGTGTGGCATGAGGGTGGCAGAGGATACGCAGACAATTTGGCTCAATCGTGCTGTCTCTAGAGAAACCAAGGGACATTGATGGTGAGATAACCCATAGTCATGGAGAGATGGATGGCTTAAGTCCTAACATAAGCGTTAGGGAGGTCCAATCACCTTGCTGGCCTCCACCAAATAATCTGATGCTTTACCGACCACCTATTTCACATCAGGCACTGTGTTTCACTCTTCACATATATGAATTTGTATTATTTAATCTTCACAGCAACCTTGGAAGATGTTATAAAGATACCATTTTGCAGATGATGAAACTGAGGTTCAGAGAGGCCCAATAGTCGACACAAAACCAAGGTGGGAATGTGAATCTGTTTTTCATTCCGTGACCCTGTGGTGCCCTTCTCTACAGCTGTTCATCCACAGACCTTCAAAGGATGTGCCACCAGTCTCAGCTATGCAGTAAACAGTCCCGGCAAAGGATCTTTGTGCAGATTTGTGATTAAAGGCAAACAAGATAATGAGTCCCAGGACCAGGGGAGAGCAGTCCGCACTCTCATGCATTCCTCAATTCACATGGCCCTGGAAACCTTTCAGTGTGGCAGTGGCTGTGGCAATCACTCTGCCAACTGCAGAATAAAGGGTCCTGTCTGGAAATGCAATTATTTCCAAATAAAAGGTTTTTAAAAGACACACACGATAGCATTTTTGGTTTTCAGAAACTGATATACCAAATAAGGACAAAAATTAACTTTGTAAAAAATGAAGATGATGAAGACAATGAAGAGATGGTGATGATGATGATGGATGAAGATTGTGGTGATAAGCATGATGAATATATTGAGAAGGTGAAGATGATGAAGATGAAGATGGTGATGATGATGGTAGCAGCAACCACCATTTTCTGAGCACATAAATGTGCCACTCACTATGTTGGCTACTCTATAGACATTATCTCTAATTATTACAATAACCCTGTAAGACAAAGTTTAGCACCTCCATTTAACACATGAGAAACTGAAGCTCAGAGAAGTGAAGTAACCTGCCTGAGGTCACAACCTTAGGCATGAAAAAGGATTGACAGAGATTACTGCTTGAATTATTACTCCAAATCCTGTGCCTCTAACCACTAACATAACCACTTCATTTGTTTACTCCTTCATTTATTTAAAAAATTTATTCATCTATTGAATGAATGTTTACTTGGTCTCAGATATACCTATGATACCTGCTAGACCTTCCTAATCCCCATTTGTCAAGAAAATGCCACCACCCTCACATTAGGGATAAATGAAAATGAGGGTGAATTATATTCAAATCAAGGTTTATCAGCCTGGCGTGGTGGCTCATGCCTGTAATCCCAGCACTTTGGGAGGCTGAGGTGGGAGGATCACCTGAGGTCAGGAGTTCAAGACCAGCCTGGCCATCATGGCAAAACCCCGTCTCTACTAAAAAAATACAAAAATTAGCCGGGCGCAGTGGTGTGCACCTGTAATCCCAACTACTCAGGAGGCTGAGGCAGGAGAATCGCTTGAACCTGGGAGGTGGAGGTTGTGGTGAGCCAAGATCATGCCACTGCACTCCAGCCTGGGTGACAGAGAAAGGCTCTGTCTCAAAAAAAAAAAAAAAATCATGATGACTCTTTCTACAACTAGTGTGAAAAGAGCTATCAATTATTTTTCAGCTCCTATAAGCTAATGACAATTATCTGCTTCACTGTTAATTAATGTGGCAGTAAAAAGCTACATAGTAATTGGTTGATAAAGAGAAGCGTGTGCTCTAGGCAGAGGGCCCAGTGGACCAGGGTGGGTGGATACCAGGAAGAGCTCCTGAAGGCTCTTAGTGCTGGGCCAATACTGGGGAACAAACATGGCTGGACAGTTGGGCAGTACTCACTACCTGGCTATTCCCTGATGTGGCTTGATAGGCAGGGGTGGGCCTCATTCTTTGGCATTTACTAAGTGCCACTACCAGATACGATGGCACCTACCACGAAAGAAACATTAAGCATTGCTAGAACTATTTCACAGTTCAGAGAAGTTAAATAACTTCTTTAAGGTCATTCAGTTAGAAAGTAGGGGAATTAAGATTCAACCTGATCTATGAGGTTTGTAAGTTTTCCCTTAGAGTTGCCATAAATAGAGATATCCTTCCCATCCCCTGTGTAGTGGGAAGGACGAAGACAATGAACGACTTGGAGAAAGTTTGGAAAAGGTCTGGTGGCCAGGGTACCTGGCCCAGTTCCACCACTGACTTAGAATGTCCACCTGCCTGTAACACCTCTGTTGGCTGTGCCTCAGGATCTTTACCTAGAATGAAAAGTGATTGGCCTGTGGTCTGTCTCAGTTCCATTCCAGCCTCCCTAGACTTCCAAGACCCTGGTTTACAGTTTGCTCAACTATTCTTTAACACATCTGATCATGAGAACTACTCTAGCAGAGAGGGGGGGCAGCATGGGTTGTTTATGTACTTTACATGGAAGGACTTATGATATTCTAAAGCTATTCACATCCAAGAAAACACATCTCTGGAGTAAGCATGTAACTCAATGGAAAAGTCAGATTTAATATATAGAAAATTGGTTTACACCATAAAATCAGATATATGGCCTTGTACTCTCTCATTCCCTGCCTAGATCATCTGTGTACATTTTTTTCTCCTCAATAAGAAGGTGAGTGGATTGAGAGTATTGCTTCTTTTGCATCCTCCATAGACTCTAGCATACCCCTGGGCATGGAAAGGGATTGACACACATTGTTGCTTGAATTATTACAAAGAGTAATGTTTCAGCTCGTGTGTATGGTGCCTTTATGTATTACTGCAGAGTTCACCTTGAGCAATACTGAGAATACTATCCTCATTTTCTACAGAAGGAAATGAGGGCTCAGAGGAGCCAAACAGTTTGGCCAAGGGCCACACACCAGAAAGCAATGGGTCTAGGCCTCTTGATTCTTACCCGGGGCTCTTGTCACCAGCATCTTAGAGAGAGACCAATTCCTCCCTCAGAAGAAGGGGGAAGATGTTAGGATATGCCTCTCTTGAAGACAGCAACATCCCTTGAAAAACCTGCCGGAGGCAGCATTTTGAGAATTGGCATGCTCCTTTGGGAACCCCTGGAGGATGCCAGGGGAGGAAGGAAAGGGATGGGGAGACTCTTCCAGTTCAAAGAACCCCCACTTCTTGCCATAAGATTTGGCTAAGTACCCCTCTGTCTCTCACACTAGCCTGAGAATTCCCTGAGACAGGGTAGGGGTCATATTCATGTCTATTTCCCCTACCCCTATCACATCCAGGAAGACTTGGCATAACACTGGAATGAATGAATGAATGAATGAATGAATGAATGAATGAGTGATTCAGTCTGCCAGAAGGGGACATCTAGAGGCTTTCACATAGGTGTGGCCTAACAGGCCCTAAGGACGGTTCTGCGCTTTTTAATAATAATTAATAATAATAGACATCCCCCTAGCTCCGTGAAGTTTTGTAAACACTTCTGTAGGACAAGGATTATCATCTCAGTTTGGGAGATTTGCCCAAGGCCATGGAGACAGCATAAGTAGCTATCATTTAATGAGCTTCCTGGTAATAGCTCATTTAGCCTTTGGCAAGGATAGATACTCTGTGGTAGGTATTATTATTATCTCTATTCTCTGGATGAGGAAACTGAGGTTGCAGAAAGTAGCCTGTGTAAGGTCCCATGGGCAGTCATTTTATGTAAAGCCAAAAGGATCTGGCTCCCCAGTGTGGGCATTTGCTCTTTACGGCTAATCTGCCTGAATCAACATTCCTGAAGCTTGGAGTGGGATGTCCTAATGAGGTGCTGTCAGGCTGACAACTCTCTGCTGAATGGAGGCTAATTGGGAATTTTACAGGAACAACAGGAACAAACCCGATCTCTCTCGATTACAATGAATGTGAATCTGTGTGTGTGCTACGGGGCTGGCTCCGGGACACATGCACTCTGCTTGTGAGTGTATGTGGGGGAGTGTTGTGTATGCATGTCTACTTGTCTTCCCTGAGGAAAAAAATACAACAGACCCATCCAGTTCTCTTTTCTTAAATATTTCTAGATGCTGTAAGCCTTCGATTCTCTGTGCTCCAACGAGGGCAACGATGTCAGTGATCACAGCATGTGTGAGCAGGATTCAGGGCAGTGCCTGGCCAGGTGTGAACACGAGGGCAAATGTCCCAGTTCTGAAAGGAATTACAGGTGGTACAGTCGATTTTGTTATGTATAACATTCATTAAGGGTATTCTACCAGTCCTACATGACCCTGGGTGTGAGGCCAGAAATAGTTAAAAATGTAACAGTGATTACAGTAAAACCAACTTGAAAGGGTTGTTCAACCAGGCACTGTTATCTCAGGGAGAAACAAAAGCAAACGTGTGCAGATGGAATTCAAGGCAGAGCTCTTTCTGACAGTGATCAGGTAGCAGGGAACTAACAATTGCCCAAGGAAGCGAGTGGAAGGAAGGCTTAACAAGAGCGCCATGGACACAGTGCATAGGACTATTTTCTACCAAAGGCATCTGGTAGGAAAAGGAATTGAGCAGGGAGGACATCTTCCAGCCCTTCAAAGTCAAACTTTGGAGAGATCAGACGTCCTAGAACCTAATCAGTGGTGTTAGAAGTAGTACTTTTAGTGCTTTTTTGAATATCTACTTTGGGTCAGGCACTGTTGGGTCCTTTCTATGAATTACTTCAGCTACTTCTCACAGCAACCAAGAAAGGGTATTATTAGTCCAGCTTCGCAGAGAAGGGATTCAATCACTCCTTGTTAGGTTGAATGAAGTACTGGGTGGTCTGATCCCCAAACCTTACAGAGTGGCTTCCTTCACAAAATGAATTAATCAAGATGATCACGCAGCAGAAAAGCCAGCTTCTTGGACTCTGGTAAAAGGGCAAAACAAATAAATTTCCTGGGATCCTTCCATCCAAACAACCCTGTGCAAAGCTGGCCACTCTATATAGATTCTAACAGAGAGAGAGAGAGAGTTCATGTGAGTAAGTGAGTGGGCTAGGGAGGCAGTGAGATCTGTGAATCAGTATCCTGGGTGTTCTAATACTTCCTACTGAGTTCCTACACACTCCCATGTGTAATTTAAGGGGTTAAGTGCTGAGCGTGGAGGCAGAGAAGAAGTAAATGTGGGTTGAACAAGAGACTTAAACTTGGAATTATCCAGACTTAAAAGTTCTAAAAAGGAATGCTGTAAAATTTAGGGGAAGAGGATAGGGCAGAAAATGCTTCTAACAGTAGGTTTGTGGTTTGTGGCTTCCCTTCTGAAACCACAGAGGGCTAGCACTTCAACCCAAATTAGAGCCCAAAGATTCACGCAGTCACCAAGTTTCTGACCTGGTAGAGTCTTAGAGATCCTAAGTCCTGATTCCCATCTATATTTCTAAATGAGGCTGAAATTGGGGAATGTGGACTTTCCCTGGATCACACAACTCTTCTGTGGCAGAGCCAGGATAAGATGCTCTTTGAGTCAAAGTCTAGTAGTTTTTGGCTGAGAGCGATGTAGGTTAGGTGGCCACAGGGCCTAGACCCTAGCAGACCATCCTTTGTCACTGTGCCAGAAACTGGCATTCTCAGCTGCATCCTTAGTTTCCTGCCTTCCCAAAAGCTCTGAGCAGCTGAGATTTGTGCATTGGTGCAAATGATTTTTTCCTTTGCTCAGTCTTGTTCAACACAGTCACCTCCTCTCGAATCCATATCTCTCATTTCCTTGGACATTTCTTCTCTGGCCTTCTGTGAACACCAGCCAGCTTAGGGCTTTCCATAGGAGACATATTTCATTCAGGCATTCCCTGAAAAGTGTTCACCAGAGACCTGTCAAGACTCCACAATAGCTAGACCTATCTGTTCAGCTGGTGCCTGTTGGGCTACAGGCATGTGTTAGATTCTTAACACCGACTGAGCCTCAATTCAGCCCCCTAACACGCTTGCAATGTAGGTACTATGAAGCCCATTTTACAGGTTAGGAAACTGAAGCTCAGTTGGGTTCACTCACAGGAAGGTCATAAAGCTAGCACATGGAAGAACCTCAAATAAACCCTGAGAAGCCATAGATTGTAGTGGTTAAAGGTCTGTTAGGCCAGACAGTATGGATTTGAAACCCAACTCTGCCACTGTGTGACTATGTGACCCTTGGCAAGTTGCTTAAGTTTCCTGTACCTCAGTTTCCTCACTTGTGAAGTGGGGATAAGTAACAGAGCAGTTGTAAAGATTTAGGGAGAAGATAAATATAAAGCACTGAAAACACTGTAAGAGCCCAATAAATATGAGTTGCCATTATTATTATATTATCTCAAGACTATGTATTTTCCACTGTTTAATGCTGCTCAAACCCATCTGAAGTATGCTTGTCCTAGGTCAGCTTCCCTGGGAAATAAACTCTGAAATGGAGATTTGCTGGCAGGAGGCTTCTTGCTCTCATGAGCAACCCCTGTAAGGGAGGGAGAAAAGCAGAACTGGGCAGAGGGAGAACTTGAGCTACAATGCGGCTGCAACACAGGCCTCAGCCAATCTTTTCAAGAGCTCTGGAGCTGGGCTGGCCTTTCAGAGTTGTCTCAAATTGGGTCAAGAAGGTTGGGTCTTTGTAATCCTCACTCCTACTCCCACCTTTCACATGGAGGACTCACTGGTGACAAGCTGCCTCCAGGGATGGGTCTTAACCTTGGGCTGGGCAAGGCAGCTCCTTTCAGGGGAAGACAATTCTCAGAGAATGAAGTAGCTGTGGGCTGTGAACTGCTGGTCTTGGGTAGAATCTGGGTGATACACCACAGCATCCACTATAATCCTGAATAGCAGAAGGGTAGGTATTACCCGCTCTCCAAGGCAAGGTTGGTGTTAGTATAGTTGCAAAGATATTGTGTGGGGCACTAGTTAACATGCAATTTTTTGAGTTCAATTTTAGAAGTATTGTTAGTCATAATCTCTGGGTAGAAGGCTCAGGACTCTGAGTTTAACAAGCACACTAAGTGGTATGTGTACACCATTAAGATTGAGAACCAGTGCCCTAAAGAGTCTTGAGAAATTGGCCATAAGTGGTCATTTCAATAAATTCTCATCTTAAGAATTTACTCACATTTTGCATCCTTTCAAAATATATTTTTTAATACAAAAATATTTTTCCCCTCGCATCTTCAGAAATACAGGCCATCGTTACCTCTCTGTCAATCTCTGCACAGGCCAGAGAATACTCTCATCGCAGTTTGAGAAGGCTGGCTGCCTCTTTTTGACTATCTTTACTATCTGCTGGGGATGCAAACAAAGTAAGATCCAGCCTCTGCTCTTAAGGAGCTCAAAGTCTAGCGGAGAGCTAATACACAAGGCATCTTCCAGAACTGCAATCTTTCCCCTGGCCTCCTCCGCCTGCTAGATTCACCTGCTTTCAAATTTGTTTTCTGGGAGCCGAATAACCAATGCTCTTATGGAGTTAGCAAATTTGTTTTTCCCAGGACTGCCACCTCCCCACCCTCAATCAATTTCTTTGTGTCTGAGGGCAGTGTATGGCTGGTTTAGTTTCTCCTGTGTCCATGTTCTCTACTTTCTGAATCATTAAATCATTCTCGTCCAAATACAGCAATCTATTTCATCTTAGAAGCTTGGCTGTCTTGGAAACCCAAGAGCCCCTGGGGGAGTGGAAGGCCCAAGAGAACTGAGTGATTTAGAACTCCTCAAAACCAGGCCTCAACATTTCTCAGTCTCATTCCCAGAGGGGCCTTCGCAGTTGGAATCTTAATTCAGAAAGTGCCTTCCAAGTTGGAAGGCAAAAGAAACACGGGGAGGGCATAAAACGGGACAAGAGTGACTTGGTATTTGTGACAAGTAGCTTTCTCTATCCAGGTGGGCTCTTCTCCAGGAAGCCCTATTAATAACATATTCACTTCGGTAACAGCTTTTATTTTGAGAAATCCCCGGGTCCTTTATGGGGAGAAATCATATCACCTGACAATGAACTTGATCTGCTGAACAGGGTAAGTTAACAGCTGTTAAACAGCTGCATTGCTCTAGCCCAGGGAAAGGGAGGTTTAGGGCCTTGAAAGGATCTAGGGAAAGGTAATAGGCAGAACCCCACCCAGTTCAATGGGAGGCAATCGGAATCCGCCCTGGATTAAAAGCAAGATTCCTGTCTACTTTTCATTCGGCAATCAGGCATGTAATCAGAGGAAGAGACTAGGAAGCTGAGAGGAACTTGGGGCCAGAGCTGGTGTTGACTGAGCTTTTCATGTACCAGGTACTGTGCTAAGCCACTTACATGGATTATTTGATTCCTCACACTGATGGGAGGATGTAGCTTTGATATTATCCTCATATATATAAAGGGAAATTGAGCCTCGAAGAAGTGAAGGGACCAGCTCAGGTTTACCTGGTGGGTAAGGGGAGCCCAGGTTGGGTTCCCAAGTCCTCACTTGAAATCAGGAAGTTTCAGAAGCCCTCTCTCACTGCCTTGGCTGAGATGCTAGGTTGGGAGCCACCCTAGCTTGATTCTATGGGAAGGCTGTGCTGCTATCAAAAAGCTAGAGTCATTTCGGCTGGACATACCACCAATGAAACTCGGCAGCAGGCAGGGAGGAGAGACAGCTCCCCACTGGATATCTGGCAGCCTGTCCTTCTCAGGGTGTCAGTCCTCTCCAATTTTAGAAATTTCCTCGAGCTGCATGCCAAGCAGAGTGAAGCCGTGTGCTGCTCAGGCAGGACTCTTGGTGGATGATTTATGGGCCCCGTATCCTTCCACAATCCCCAGGAAGGAGTGATCCTTCTTACTTACTGCCCAGCCCAGCCGACTCCTGTCAAACAGCCTCGGCAGACCTCCTTAAACGACAGTAATTCTCCTACCAGGAGGAAGCCAGGGTGACAGATTTCTGACCAAGATCCAGCGCCCCTGAGAAGCCTCTCAGCAGGCCCCCGCCAAGGCCCTGCTGGATATAGATGGGGCGTAGGATGGAAAGCACCAGAGAGACCCAGGAGACAGAGGCAAAAAGAGGAGCGAGACAGAGAGAAAGTGGGGGGAAGGCAGAGAAGGACAGAGAAAGGAGACACGAAGGTGGATAAAGGGACATATATGTGGGTGATCGATTATTTGACGAAAGCCTGTCCCTCCCACTGCATTGTAGGGACCACGTCTTGTTTTGCTTAATCTTGTATCCGTAGCACCCAGCACAGTGCCTGACATGGAGGAGGGGCTCAGAAGTACTTAGCAAATGATGTCACAGATAAAGAGATGTAAGGATACAGACAGCACAAATCCTGGCACATTAGAGGAGCTCAGCAAAGGCTCGCTGACTGACAAAATGCCTACATACAGATAATGTATTTGGGGCAGGGGAGATACCCAATTTTCAGGACAGGAGCCCAAGTAGATTCAATAGGGAAAAGAAGTAATGAGAGATGAAGGCTCATAGGCAACAGCTGCACCCAACAGATGGTCCAGGCTAGGGTCTGAACCTGGGAATTTAAAGCCAGGGTGGGGAGTCAGCAGGGAAAGGAGCTTTCTCATAGGCACCAGGAAGCCAGAAGCACACCTTCAACCTCAGGATCAGAGAAGGAGAAGGGCAATCAGTGGTAGGGTAGAGAGCTCACCGCTGCTGTCTCAGAATCCAGCACCGATCCAGGCATGCAACAGGCATGCAGCAGAAGTTTGCTTAATTAGTGAATGAGTACAGAATTGTGGGATAAGAAGGTCAAGGTGAGGGGTTTAGGACTGTACCTGTGGAAGGACAGTGGGACTTGTGAGGCGGGCACAGAGGCTTAAAGGGGCATGCTGGGTTGGACATGCCCTCCCTTAAGACTTGGTGCCTCTGGGCAAACGTGAGTGAACGTTGCTTCTACTTTCATGCTAGGGCATTGGTTCTTAACATGAGCAATTTTGCTATCCAGGGGGTCATAGAGCAATGTTTGGAGACATTTTGGACTGCCACAACTTGGGGAAAGGGTTACTGGCATCTAATGGGCCAGAGCCAGGGATGCCACTAAACATCCTACAATGCACAAGACAGACTCCACAACAAAGCGTTGTCTGGCTCCAAATGTGAGGGTTGAAAAGCCCTTTTCTGTAGCCTATGGGAGTACCACTGCTCCCTTGATCCTGAATCTCAGGCCTCACTTAGATGTATTTTAGTCACCATAATTAAGATTACTACCATCAGTAAAGATTTATTGAGTACTGACACATATAAGCAGATAACTACCATCTTGTACTTTTGTTCCTTAAAACTGATGACAGGGGTTTGGGATTCAGAGAAGGCCAATGGGAACACAATCCATTGTACAGTCCAGCTGGAGATGTGAGATCACAGCAGTAATCACCCTGAGGCGGGGGGCACCAGGCCGGGGACTTCCCTTTAGCCTTCTGGAATTTGTAACCCTGGATGTAGACCTCGAAGGGTCCATAGGAGCCTCTTGTCCCCCTGCTTTATCTTACAGGTGAAGCAGCTGAAGTCTGAGAAGAAAATGGCTGTCCAGGGTCACAGGGCAAGTACAGGCCTGGAAGCACAGATCTCCGGACTGCCAGCCTAGTGCTTTTTCTATGAGAAAGAGCCTCTGGTGATATAAGTTTCTAAAAGGCGCCTCCTGCAGTGAGAAGTGTGTGATAGGCATGAATGACGTGAAAGCCTTTCAAATGTCCAGGTAATCAGGCGCCGTTCCCCTTAGACTGACCACTGCTTAGGGAGCCAGAGCCTACTAGAAGGTTCTGGTGGGAGTCTGTGGCTCATTCACCTTCAACAGAAAGATAATTGCTTGAAGATACTGTATTTAAGCATTCATGGGGGATCCCCCTAAGATCCAAAGAACAACATGACTTTAAAAGAGTTAGAATACTTCTCCCCTAATGTCCCAAGGAAAGGCGATACTAATAAATGAAAAGATGAGCACCACAAATAGGGACTGATATTTTTTTCCCCATTCCTCAGGCCCCTGAGAATTATTTTCACGACAAAAAGTTGTTATTCACTTGTCCAGGGAGAACATGCTGGTGACTGGCTTATTTGGAGTGGAAATTAAAGACCACAGGCTCAGCCAGAGAAGTGGGGTCATCTAACAAGTCACAGAGCAGTAAAATTCCCTCTGCTCCTCAACCTCCCTCCACCTGGAGACTGTTCCTGCAGCATCTACCCTCTAAGGCATTTTTATCCCCACTCCTCAGGGAAGAACTAAATCTGTACCACTTGATGACCTACTAGATATCTATGCAAAGACCCCAATATGTAATGAATTTGTTTATTGGGTCACCCTTCTTCTCCTCTAGACTGCGAGATCCATCCCTAGTGCTTGGCACAGGGACAGCCATACAGCAGGTGCCCAATAAGTATTTGTTGATTTGTCAAAACCAGGTTCCTGGAGGTCAAGTTCCTAGGGGAAAATGTGCACACCAGAGGAGAAATGGGGTATGTGTGCTGGGAAGGAAGAATTAAGTTCTGTTTTCCTGTCCTGCTTGTACCCAAGAAGGAAGGATACTAATATTTCCTGATCTCCTACTCTGCACAAGGCACTTACACTCACAGGGTTAGTCCTCCCAACAATGCGGTGAACAAAGTATTATGGTCCCTGGTTCACTGATAATGAAATGGCTACTAGAGAGCTGGGATTACATGGTGCCAAAGCACAAGTTTTCCTGGTCCATCCACCAAGCTGTGTCTTGCACCATAAACAGTCTCTTTCCAGTGGGTCAATAAAACCTGATGATGCCTACTTGGACAGGTGGGAATTTGTCCCATAAGAGCTTCAGTCCATGGATGTTCTCATATTTAACATGGACACTAGTAAAAGTAGCTGGTTTTGCTATCAGAGCACTAGAAATCTATTTTCTAAGCAAATATAAATAAATAAATAGACTTGATTTGATTTGTGAACTTAAAATTTATGAAGTGATTTATTTGGAGGGTCCTAAAAAGATACAAATAAACTACATTTTGCTAAGCACTTAATGAACTGACTTTCGTGTTTAAATTCCCTGAAATCAGCTCTATTTCAAAAAATCTAGGGCTTACCACAATCATTAATCATAGGAGGCATTTAGCGTAATGGAAACAATACAGGATGGAGCGTGAAAAGAGCAGGGTTGGGTCACCATGCTGCCTTTTAGGAGCTGATTCTCAGTTTCCTTATCTGTAAAATGGGAGTAATAACATGCAGCTCACTCAGGTCTATTTTGAGGACATGGAGGTGAAAGCATTTTTGCAAACTGCAGAGCGACATACAAGCATTTTTACAGTTGTAGAAATTTCAGCATTTTATGCCCACTTATGAAGGCTCAATTTCAAAGAAGCTTTCATCATGTATATGGAAAAAGTTAAAAACTACCACCCTGAAGTGTGTACAGTGGTTGGACCACTTCTGCATGTCAGTTTCTGAGTTCACTGTCTTTCCTTTCCCACTGCATGCTGGGGCTGAGAGGGCCTTGTAATTTGTAGCATCCTTAACTAGTGTAACCACAAATGCTATTCTGCTGCCTTATGAAGGCGCAATCCTTATTAACCTCCAGCACTCAGAGGCACACGCTGGAGATCCTGCTCTTGTTGTGAGGATAATTACAGACATTTTTAGCTTTCTAGGAATTTTTTTTAAAGAACAAAATGTTCTGAAGAAATCTGAAACCACCATGTAGAAAATATTGTGGAAGTTTAATTAAAAAAAATTTTTTTTTAAATTAGGTATCTATGGGGCCTAAAAAGCATCTCAAAACTGTCTTTTGGAACACTCTATCTGTAAGATGCTAACGGGTGCTCCATAGAAAGCTGTCTGTGGTCAGACGGGCCTGGAAAATGCCTGGATAACAAGGTGAGCACATGGCTGTGGGACTGGCATACGTGGACCATGATGATATGCACGGACCTCTAAGAGCAGACATGGTGAGCGAAGGGTCTCAAACTTACCTGGAAACCTTTATTCCTCAGGACATCTGGGGAACTAGTTTTCATAGAACTTTCAGAACCTCTGCTCAAAACTGGCTTTCACACTGTGCTCAACAGGATCCCAGAGGCTACTGGAGGGGGTCTGAGGAGCTACAGAGGGCTGGGGCTAAGGTCCCCTCATCCCTTGCAGAGCACATCCCCTAAACACTTGAAAAAGTACTGCTCTAGAACATGCAAGGACATGAGGCCTTTGAGTTGGCCTAAACCTTATTGTTAATCTTCAGACCATAATATTGCCTCTGCTGTTCTGAGCCAAGCAGTGCAGAGGACAGTCACAAGATGAGGTCTGAATCCGGGTTCACTCCTCCCTTAACCTTGGGCAAGTTCCTTGACCTCCCCAGCCTCTGCTGCTCGGCTGTGCAATGGCCATGGTGCTCATCTTGCAGAATCCACAGGGGACACGGCTGGCACTCAGCAGAGGCTCAAGAAATAACACCCCCTGTATCCCAAACATTACCTTGTTGCTTTTATTTTTTATTTTATTTTAAAATTCTCAGCTCACCATCAGTGAAGCCATTTGCACCCTACAGCTCTGTGTCACTCTGCTGTGCCTGTGGTAACTTATGTCTCTTCATCCTGCCTTTGTCATTCCTCCTTAAAACAGTTTTGGTCTATTTTTCTCATCACACAAGGGATATACATTCCTTGTAGAAGATTTAAAAAAATTCAGACAAGAAAAAAAAAAAAGAAGGAAAACAAAGCAAGACAAAATCGCCCATAATTCCACCACTTGGAGCTATCTTGTTAACACAAAAACATATTCCTTTTCAATTTAAGCTCATCTCAGAAATGCCTGTGAAGCTTCCTGGGTTTATTCTATGCTGTGTTGTTAAACTTACATTTACCCAAATCTCCCATTCTTCTTCTTTACTTTTATCTTTCCTACTTTTTGGTTCAAAAATAATTCTAGCATATTCACATTTGAATTCCAACAATACAGAACAAGCTGAACACAAATATAAATCCTCCTTCCCTCCTTCCACCTCACCCATCCCACTCATCTCCCAAGGAAACCACTGTTAAATGTTGTATTTACAGACATTTTCCTATTTATTTTCATATTATAGTCAGTCTTGATGCTTAAAAACATAAAAGATGATCTTAGATCTACTGTTTTATTTCCCAAGCCTCTTGAATCATCTTTTTAGTGTGTCTGGCCTTAAAACTAAACCTAGTATTTTCCCTGAGATAACTTTCTTCAAAGTCTAGGGCATCGCTGCTCGACTTCAGGATGTATGAGGTGCTTGGAGAACTTGTTAAAAAGCAGAATCTGAGTCAGTGGGGTCTGGAGTGGGGCTGAGATTCTGCATTTCTCATCAGCTTATGCTGTAGGTTCCCTGGAGCACTTTGAGGAGCAAGGCTCCAGGACACTCGTCCACCCAAGGCAGGCATCCTTCTCCTTTGCTTATATAAACTCCACGATGAGTGTTGTTCCTGTGTATCGCAGGCACCTGCATCACCAGCTATCTTTGATTGGCCAGACTTAAGCCCAATGCACAAGTCTCCCTCAAGATTTGGGATAGCTGGTGGTATGGGGATCCCTGGAGTTCTGGATTCCCAAATAAAAGGGAACTCGGTGTTCAGGCATCTTCTGCATGGGGCAAACATCCAGAGGAGCAGCAGACATCATGACCAGTGTACCACACTCCTGAGAGTGTGGCATGGTACTGGACCAAAAGACAGCCAAGGGAGCAGTAGTGAGGGGCTTTAGCCCTAAGTGGGGAAAAAAGCCCAAAGAAGCACAGCAAGATGCAGACACCCAAGTTTAGCCAAAGTGGTCAAGTACTTGTTGGCAACTGAGTTGATGTTGTAGGTGGAGCCTGAGAAGTGGAGATGGGTGAGTCAGAGAAAGAATATACACTCGGCCAGGCGCAGTGGCTCACGCCTGTAGTCCCAGCACTTTGGGAGGCCAAGGCAGGAGGATCACAAGGTCAGGAGATCAAGACCATCCTGGCTAACGTGGTGAAACCCTGTCTCTACTAAAAATACAAAAAATTAGCTGGGCATGGTGGCGGTCACCTGTATTCCCAGCTACTCAGGAGGCTGAGGCAGGAGAATGGCGTGAACCTGGAAGGCAGAGCTTGCAGTGAGCGGAGATTGCATTGTGCCACTGCACTCCAGCCTGGGCAACAGAACAAGACTCCATCTCAAAAAAAAAAAAAAAAAAAAAAAAAAAAAAGAAAAAAAAGAAAATACACTCAAGATGTATTCTGACAAAGGACATCTGGGGTGAGGATGAGGGCAGGTAGGAAAGGGGCGATTGTATTACAACATCATCCAGGACAGGAGGGACAGCGTGGAGTGGTGCTATGCACATGGGCCAGCTGCCTGCTCCTCTAACCTCAAATGTGGTCCCTTTAGGAGGCTCTCTTGCTGTCAGCTGCTGCACCTATGAGGCAGCCCTCAACTACATGGCAAGTTTCATCCAGCACAGTTCTTAAACCACAGCCCTTTGGCACTTCATAGTGACCCTGGCCTTGGGTTGAGGTGCTGGGGGCAGAGCCTTAGGAGTTAATCCGATGGCCAGATTTCTTATGCATCTGGAGGGTCTAATGAGAATCTCCTTCTACTGCTATATTCCGAGAATGAAAGAGCCAGGATTTCTGATTGGTTAGTGATCAAATAATGAGAGCCTAGAAAACAAATTCCTTACAATTTTCACAGTTAAGCACATCATATTTCATTTGGCTTCATTTTTTTAAGCTGTTGGTTACTAGAGCTTAAGTCCATACACTTTGGGAGAAATCCTTCCCTAATCAACCACCATGTCTCAAATTTTCTTTGCTGATGTGTAAGAGACTTTTCTCCATGATTTGTCTATTAATACCTTTTCTCCCAAATAACTGAAACCTGCCCAAGAAAGCCAGTGGACACTTATTTGCACAGTTTTCATTCAAATCCATCAGGATATCCATAGCTAAGAATGTAACGGTCAAGGGAACTAAATATATGTATTTCTAATAAACTTTCATGAATTTGACCTGCATGAGAATCATCATAAAGACTCCTTCCCTAATCAAATCAGAATCAAGTACTAGAAAATGATTCCTATTGTGGAACAGAGAGAAGGGCTTGCACTCAGAACCAATGCTTGACAGTCAGCCTCTGCTCTAAGATGCCTTCTTTTTATGAAACATCTCCAGGGAAAGCATAATAGGGACATTTGGCCAGACCATCCTACCCAGAGGTCCTGCAAAGTCAAAGCTGGACAAAGGAAGCCGGAGACAACCATCGCCTGAGACATCTGTTTTGTTCATCATTGTATTCCCAATATCCAGCATAGGGCCTGCCTAGAGTAGGTACTGTACACATTTCCCTTGCCTGGGTGAATGAATGGATACATGGATGAGAGAACAATCACCTCTAAATCAATATCTCCAGGACCTCTTATTCAGCTCCAGGTGTCTGGTAATCATGTCTACTTAGATGCCTCCCAGGTGCTTCAAACTCATCACATCTGAAATTCTAACTCATCAAGTGCCACCTGCTGTCCCTGCAAACTCCTCCTCTGGGACTCTGGAATTTCAATGCCATCTTTAACTGTCTGTACTTCTCCTTCTTACCTTCTTCATCTACCAAACTCCCAGTACAAATGTTACCTTTTCCCCAATGCCTTCCTTGGCCACATCTTGCCTGCCCCTCTTCACTGGCCTTCTTTCTTATTTAAAAATAGATTTGAGTTTGAGGTGATGACTTTGACTTTTTGTGAACAGGGAAGGGAGGCTGAGCAACACACAGGCAGTTGAGCTCTCTCTGAAGGGCAGAAACTCCTTTTTTTCTCTTCCGTTTCATTTCTCTCTGTTGCTTTTCTAGCTGCAATAGGACAGAACCCTATTTGGGGGAAACAGAGAAAGCCAAGACCTCTGGGCACTAACTGCAGAAGTTCAAATCCTGGCTTGGGAAAAAACCATCTTAAAACTATGCAAGAGTTTAACTTGGCAGGTAGGTTGCAAGAAGCCTAGCCTCATAGAAGAGAAAGAGCCAGGGAAGGGAAAGAGCTTTCATACTGATGGTTCTGCTTTCAGGTGTCACAATGGAAAAGTAAGGTTTGAAACTTCTGATGAAGTCCACTGACTGCCCAAAGACCACCAGGATTACATCTAGAGTGATAAATAAATGTATTTAGCATGCTGAAGCAAGGGAGAATGTACCCCAGGGGGGCCTCAGGCACTTGGTGGTGGTAGGGGCTTGTGTTGGAGCATTCTAAAGAGAATGCAGAAAGTTCTCTTGGAACTTGGGGCCCCATTCTTCCAGCTTAAATAGCTGTTACCTGCTTTTTAAGCCCTGTCCCCTTTGCCCAATTTTCTAGCTAGGTGAAGAAACAACCCTTAAGCCCTATCCAGAGCAAAAATGATTTTGTGATTTGCAGCATCTGTGCCTGGTGCTCTGCTGAGTCATGCCCACTTGCCTTACAGCCTCAAAGGGTTTTTGGTGTTGTGGTGATGGCAAAGTGAATGCCACCAACAGAGGACAAATCCCAGCCCCACACTTGCTGTACGTCAGCACAGCTGTCAGCCTGGCTCACATTTCAGGATCTTTCAGGAAGCTGTGAGACGCAGAAAGAAGCCAGTTTTAGGCTCTGTGGGCAAGAAGATACCTTTTGACTTATAAACTGCAGATCCTCAGATGTGGATGTTGTCATAGGACTGAGTGTGTTGGTCCTGCACATGGTCCCCAGTAGAACTCCTCTACAGAAAAGAACCCTTTTATCAGCAGATGGGCAGGAACCCCTCAGAGGGAGAGGTAGACACTCAAGCCTTCACTTAAGACATCTATAATAAGGGGAGGGAGAGCATTAGGACAAATACCTAATACATGTGGGGCTTAAAACCTAGATGATGGGTTGAAAGGTGCAGCAAATCACCATGGCACGTGTATACCTATGTAACAAACCTGCACGTTCAGCACATGTATCTCAGAACTTAAAGTAAAATAAAATAAATCAACAAACAAACAAAATAGTACCTCCTATAAACTGTGAAAGAATGAAATGAGATGGAAACGTATCTAAAGCATTCAACACAGTGTCAGACATGTACTCAGTGCTTGCTAATGCTAGCTTATATTATTCTGATGAATCATATTAGCAAATGAAAATTCACCTATTCACTGAATCTTTTGGGGACCACTACTATATTCTCGGCTAAATAAAAGAGGCAAAATGATTAAAAAAAAAAAAAAGACTTCTATAAAAAGCCACCAGCCAGCTAGAGCAACCAGAACAGAACCTCTTCGTGTCTCTATTCCCTTTTTTCTCCCTCCTAACCCTGGAAGTCTTTCCTGAGGACTGAGTGCAGACCCGGTGCAAGGATGTTGGGAAGTAACTTTGTCTCTGAGCTTCAGTTTCTTTTTTTGTAACATGGGAGTCATAACATTGACCTAAAAGAGTTGTGTGCAATTGAAGAGACAAAGAATGCAAAACATAGTCTGTGAACCTACAAAAGGTGCTCGCTCAGCTCAGTTTCAACCACTATTCCCCTCTCCTTCTTCCTCACTGACTGCCTTTGTCCAGCCTCCAGGAGCAGCCAGCCTCCAGGAGCAGCCAGCCTCCGGCCTCCTGCCTCCTTTCTGTGCCAGCCCAGCAACCTGAGTCACACTCTGGATTCAGTCCCAGTCTGCTTGGCTGAAGTCTGGTGTTTGCTGCACTTACTATTCCAGGCACCCTGTGATTTACTTTTCTAGTGAGTTAATTGCAAAATCCATATGGAGTGGAGAGAAAACATCAACCCAAGCTTGCCATGAAAAGCAGGGGAACAGAGGAAGTTTTCCATCTTGGCCAGCACAGCCTGGAGAGGAGGCAAAGAGGGAGGATGATGCTGCTGCCCCACTTGCCAAGCTCAAGGCAAGTCACATGGTGTTCAGGCCTCTTTACTCCCCCTTTGTTTATTCTCTCATCTAATTAGACAAAAATTTAAGTTTTAGAAACCCACTGTGGGTATAAACTATAGGTGATCAAATCTCAATGTGCATAAGAAGCACCTGGGAAGTTTATTTAAAATGCAGATTCCCAAGCTTCTCCCTCCAGAGTTTCATCCAATAAGTCCAGGCACAACCCCAGAACTTGCATCCTGCTTGTGCCCAATGCAGGTAATCCACAGACCAAGGGTTAAGAAATGAAAATACAAAGGGAAGGGCAGTGCAGTAACTCGGGAGTTAGAAGAATTTAAGATTGGTTCTTGGACAAATCATTTGCCATTCTCCTCTTTTTTTTTTTTGAGACAGAGTCTCACTCTGTCACCTTGGCTGGCGTGCAGTGGCACAATCTTAGCTCAATGCAACCTCCGCCTCCCGGGTTCAAGTGATTCTCCTGCCTTAGCCTCCTGAGTAGCTGGGACTACAGGCATCTGCCACTGCACCTGGCTAATTTTTGTATTTTTAGTAGAGATGGGGTTTCGCTATGTTGGCCAGGCTGGTCTTGAATTCCTGACCTCAGATGATCCGCCAGCCTCAGCCTTCCAAAGTGCTGGGATTATAGGCATGAGCCATCATGCCCGGCCTCATTTGTCTCTTGAAGCCCCAGATTTCTTATCTCTATAGCAGGAATGAGAATACCTACCTCACAGGACCATTGAGAGAATAACAGATATTGAAATCCCTTAACACAACTCTTGGCACATTGGAGGCACTCAAAAAAAAAAAAAATCGAAGAAACAATTTACTTTTCTTTCCTGGAGAAGATTCTTTTTAAAACTGGCCCAAGGCATCTTTGCTCATGAATGTGAATACATTTTTGTATCTGTTTACAATTTACAACATCCAAAGAGTGGCCTTTGGGGAAGCAGGCTCTTGTTTTGAAATCACTTTGAAGATGAAAAGGTGTCAAATCCTCCAGTCTTGGTTGGTGGAAGTTAAAACAAATATTTAATTTGGTGAGTTATAATTTATTAAAGCCTTTTGGAAAATGAAAGTACTATTTATGTTGTCACAAGGGACCCAACAGTTTTGAATAGTTTGTAGTTAATTCACTCATTTTGTTTAAGAAACATTTACTGAACACCTGGGTGCCAGCCCTCGCAGGGCTCAGGGTCTGAACAATGATAGTAACTTGGTTCTGACCACAACGGGGGCTACAGAAGCCCAGGGAGCAGTGACTTCCCTTAGCCGGAGGGTCTGGGCCTTAGGAAGGTGATCAGCAGGAAATGACTCCATTTTGAAAGCACCCAGATTTATACACAATAGACCTGGTACCAATAGATGCGTAACTTAAAATCCCTGGAGGAAAGAACTACTTTCCCCAGAGGTTACCCCTACACCTTTAATTTCTTAGACACTTGGGAAGGGTAGGCTGACTCTCTTCTAAGCTTTCAGGCCCTAATATCCAAGTGCTTTAAGACACCTGGATTTAGAGGTTCCACAGGTATACAGACTCAACAATGTCTAGCACTCAGCTTATTACTTCTCTCTACAATCATGCTCCAGCATTTCCTTGCTGCATCCACACAGTTACCCTGCTATGGTCTGAATTTCTGTGTCCCCCACAAATTCATATGCTAATACCTAAACCCCAAATGTGATGGTATTAAGGAGGTGGGGCCTTTGGGAGATGATTAGGCCAAGAGGGCTCTTCCCTTATGAATGGGATTAGTGACCTTATAAAAGAGGCTTAAGGGAGCTTGTTTGCTCCTTCTACCACGGGAGGACACAGAAAGCACCATCTGAGAAGCAGAGGGCAAGCCCTCACCAGAAACTGAATCTGTTGGTGCCTTGATCTTGGACTTCCCAGCCTCCAGAACTGTGAGCAATAAATTTCTGTGGCTTGTAATTTACCCAGTCTAGGATATTTTGTTATAGCAGCCTGAAGGGATTAAGACATGCCCCAGTCAAAATTCAGGCCACAGACCTGTCCATTTCCTTTCCCCCAACCCACATCTATTTAGTTACCAAATTTTAATCACTTCTTTCTGCTAAGTACCTCTTGAATCTGTCTGCATGATTACTATTCAGATTCCGGGGGCCACAATCTGTCTCTATCTCTCCTCTGTCAGGTAGAACCAGGGTGATCTTCCTAAAATATATAGGATCATATCCTTTCCTAGAAAGCTTTTTAGTAGCTTTCCCTACCTACAGAATAAGGTTCCAACACCTACATGTGGTGCCCAAGCACGTCTTGCCACAAAAGCCACCTGCGCTGAGCTCCCTCAGTCATACAGTACATGCATGTATGAGCATGCCATGACATTTCCTGGCTAGACTGCCAGCAATCCCACCCCACTCTGGGATATTCCAGTAAATGGCTCCCTCCTCTCAGAGCTAACAGCACAATTCCTCTTCCCCCTCTCCAACACATTGTTGGATTCCCTCAGCTGTTACTTAAGTCTGTTCACTTGTCTCTTCTGCTAGATGGAAACACCTCAGAGGATAATGTTCTATTGTGTTCATACCTCAGATCTTTTTATTCTATGTTGTGTAGAGACTTTGGGTACTCATTGTGTCTGGTTCTCTTCTGCTTCTGGTGCATGGAAGGTGCACGTTTCCCTGCTCCTTTGTAGTTAAGTGGGGCCATATGAGTAATTCAGGCCTATGGGCTGTGAGAAGCAGCCAAAAAGGCTATTTGCTCCAGAGTGGGTAGCTCCACAAGATGGTGGAGCTTCTGTCACCCTGGGTCCATGAGAGACTGTGTGGAACAAAGTCTCCCCCCAGCCCCAAAGCATGTTGGGTACATAACATGAGAAATAAACTCTGTTAAGCCACTCATATATTAGGGTTGTTTGTCACTGCACCATAAATTAACCCTCTGTTGTTAATTTAGCTGTTAACCTATGCTGACAAATACAGAAACCTTATTTTTGTCTATAATCACTAAAACAGGACATGGAAATATCAGGTTCTCTATAAACATCTGATGAATGAATGAATGGCTGAATGAACAAATAAGCCTAGAAAAATGAACATGAGATCCGGAGTCAAAAGAAAATAGCTTATAATAACCACCCCCATCTCTTGCCCCACAGTGCTATTCTTATCTCCATTTGGCCTCAGAGGCAGGATTTAACCTGTTGATTCTGCTCTCTGAAGTATCTCTGTACTGATGCCAACCCAAACTGCATGCAGACCATGGCTTATGGCTCACTGTCTAGAGGAGGTGAACTGGTGACATATTTTGCCGGTTTTGCACTAAGCCATAATCCCACTGACTTTGAACTTCATGCTTCCAGGGTTACATCTGGACTCGGTCCCAAGGATGGGGATTCCTGAGCTCCCTGAACCAAAGGCTGCTAATTCTAACAGCTCTCCCAACCCCATCAGATTAAAGAATGGCCTCATTAGACCAAATATATGTTTACATGTGGGGAAAATATTCAATAATTATCCTTAAATCTTTCAACACGTTTCAGTTAAACACAAAAGCAGGGCTGTGAATTTTGGATGAATTCTACATATTTTCAAAAACAAACACAAACATAAAGAATGTCATTCCAAAGTCACAGGTTTGTGAAATTACTGCTTGGCAAGAAGGTCAGGGCACTAATAAAAACATCTAGCAGGCCAAATCTAGCTAATCAGGTCAGAGGGATCCCTGTGCAGCAGTGCTGACAAGGGAATAGGGTGGGGCGCATAGGAGGCGGCAGGACTGGGTAGGGAAGATGGTAGAGCCTTCAGCCAAAGGATGCAGAGGAACTGTCCTTAGCCAAGGTCTGTTTTGCTAATATGTCAGTAATACATGGTTTCTGCAACCTCTAGCTGTGCTATGCTTCAGTTAGCTTGTGAGTGCTGGGCCTGAAACTATTATGGAGGAAACACATCGTACTAAACGCAGGGTGGGTTCATATCCTATTACATTCCTTAAGAGCTGTGTGGCTTTGGATAAGTCTCCTGTTTTTGTGATTTTTAGGTTTCCCATGTATAAAGTAGGGGTGAATATAACAACATCTCAGTGATTTGAGGATTACGCAGACTACTTGGGTTAAAACGGAAAACACATTTCAGCAGCATATTAGTCTGCATCCCCTAACCCCAAACACATTTGTATCCCCGGGGCCTGATCCTACGGATGCACTCAATAAATGGATGCTGAAGTGAATAAAGCGAATAAGGTGCCCTGGGTTGTTTTTTTAAAGTATGTTTATTATAGAAAAGTATACATAAAACTCATCATTTTAACCATTTAAAAGCATGTAATTCAGTGGCATTTAGTATACATCCAATGTTGTGCAACCCTCGTGACTACCTGGTTCTAGAACATTTTCTTCACTCCCCAGAGAAACCCCCATACCCATTAAGCAGTTATTCTCTTTCCACATCCCCAAGTCTATGACGATTTTAGCTAAAATCAATACTTTAAAACATGGCTGGAGGATATTGCGTTGGTGAGAAAGTTGGCAGGAGCTGGTCAGGCAAGAATTGATTTCCTGAGTGTCCACTGCGTGCTCCTCTCTGTGGGAGGCACAGGTAGATGCACGGTCACAGCTCCACTGGGCATGTGCAACACTATGAAGGAGGTTGTGTTCCAGGAATGTGAAGAAGCACAGTGGAGTTGGAAGCTGAATTAAGGGAGAGTGGTGAGAGACGGGGTCAGTGGGGTCAGAAGGGGTTGGATCAGGAAGGGGCTTGGTGCAGTAAGATTGGGATTTAAGTCCATGAGTCGATGACTAGAGGCTCAGCCCTTTCCTCTCCTACCTAGTGTGGTTTGAGGATGCTTTTAGGAGGAGAGAGACAAAGAGACATGCACCCCACCCCCTTACTGACAGGTCTGCAGTGGAGGGCCCTGGCCTGGCTGCTACTGGAGCTCAGGCTGCAGAGGAGCCCGGCTTGGAGGCAGGCAGCCACGGACAGTTAATGAGTGATTTATTGGTGCTGCTGCAGAAGCAGCTTCTCTGGGACCTGTTCCTAATTAACAACCACTAACTGGATGACGCCTTTTTTTTTTTTTTAAATTAGAAAAAGCCCCCAAAGCCCTTTTTCCTTATCTTAGTGGGAAGAAAGACTTCACCTTTGCCTGCTGGTTAATTCTAAAATACAACAGGTATTTGGCAGAAATCCCCACCCACTCCTTCACTCCTGTGCAGACACGCAAAACACACCCTCATGTGGAGTCAAACCCACACATTCTTGCTCACGTGTTCCCCAGTCACACATTTGTTCCTGTGCTAATGTAACTGCACTGACATTGTCACACACTCCCACTCATATGGTGTCGAGAGCATCTGCACTTTGCACTTGCAGTCACTCTTACACGTGCATTCCCACACAGCCACATCTCCTGCTGTTCTAGGCAAGGCCACAGGTACACACATGGTCTCAGGCAGGAATCTTCCCTGTGGCATCATGCCTCCGGTGAAGGGGCTGACTCACTTAGAAGGGGCTTAAGATTGTGTGTCCTGGCCCAGCCTGGTCAGCTGTGAGATGCTGTGAGCCAGGGAGATGGGGAGGGAGTTGCAGCCAGGCCTCAGGGGCCCAGCATGGAGAGTGGCAACTGCTCCATTGTTCAGAACAAAACGGTTTCTTCTGTTACAGTTCATGGAGCACCAAAAAGCTGCAAATTTAAGACCCAGGCTTCTGAGGGGTGGGGAGTTAAAAGAGCCTGTCATAGTGCCTGGCAACTAATGGGGTGTGCTTGGCATCTGTTATGGGATGAACTCTCCCCCCCAAAAAAACGACAAGTTGAAGTGCTGACCCCTAGAACTTCCAGATGTGACCTTATTTGGAAATAGAGTTGTTGCAGATGTAATTAGTTAAGATGAGGTCATAGCCGAGTAGGGTGGGAACCTACTCCAATATGACTTGTATTCTTATAAGACAGCAGCCATGTGAAGGCAGCACCATGCAGGGAGAATGAAACCGTGTCACAATCCAGGCAGAGACTGGAGTGATGCAGCTGCAAGCCAGGGAATACCAGAGATGGTGGCAACCCACTGGAGCTAGGAAGAGGCAGAGAAAGATTCACCTACAGGGTTCAGAGAGAGCATGGCCCTGTCTATACCACCCAGAACCACGAGACAATGAATTTCAGTTGTTTTGAGGCACTTGGTTTGTGGTACTTCGTGACAGCACCCTAGGAAATGAATACAACACCCAATAAATATGAGTTCTATTCCCTTGTTTCTTCTTTCTGGGCCTCCATCTAGCATTCAGAAACATAGGCTTGATGATTCATCAAGACGCGATGAGAACCCATTCTAATCTATACATATTTATGGAATTTTATGTGCCAGGCCCTGATTACACAGAGATAGATAAACCATGGCTTTGCCAAGATTGACACAGATCTGTGAAAAGGTTTCACGGCATTACCTTGAAATAATACTTAATTAAAAGTAACGGCAAAACCCGCAATTACTTTGCGCCAACCTAATGTAAAGTGGACCACTGAAGAAAAATAATACCTCTGACCAAGAGACAGACTTAAAAAGGACTTTGAATTCCCCCTCCCTCCACAAAACAATGCTGGACCTCTGACAGGGATGACGAGGTCACCCATCAGATCTACTTAAAAGGTTTCACCCCAGCTTTTGAGCTCTAGATATTGAGTTTCATGAAGACACTGTTGTGGTGGAATACAAAGCTAATCAATAGTGGGCAGCTCTTTTTCATATTAATTAGCCAGCTGTGCAGGAATAAAAAATACATCAAGCTCACTCGTGCTCTCTGGGGATGCTCACTTTGCTGGTGCAATGACAGCAGCTCCCGGGAACCACCACACTCTGCCAGGGACTGGGCTTCTGCGGGCTGTCACAGTCTGTGGTCCTGGAAGTGCTCTGTCTGTGAACACACTTCGGATTTGTCTCAGAGCTCTTAGGCTCCTTGGACTAAGACCAGTCTCAGCTAACAGCTCGGCAGCACTTCTCCTTCAGTGCCCATGTGTCAAGGGGGCCTAGGGTAGTGGGAGGATGCAGGTTCGGAGTCAGGCGGGTATCTGTGTTTGAATTCAGCCTTATTAGGCAGGTGGCCTGACAGCTGGCACTTAATTTGTTTGAGCCCCTATTTCTGTAGCTGCAAAAAAAGAAAATACCAATTTTATAGCGATTTTAAGAGGAGAATGAAATGAGATAGTGTATTTGAATAGGCTTATGTAATATCTGACCTGTAATAAGTACTAAATGATAATTATTAAATAAATAATTATTGAAGAGCACTTAATTAATATAATAACACCTATTAAGTTATTTTCATTATTATTTTTCCCAGACACAGATTTATCATGGCCACAGGTCACTGAAGGCTCTTGAAGCCCTGTCATACCTGGTACAATTTTTCTTTTCATTTGTCTTTTGATTTGGGATAAAAAAGGAAAAATTAGTCCCTGACAGCCAGGAGCTGGCCTGGCACTCACAGTGAGGTGACGGCATTCACCTGTTGAATATCAACAGTTTCACATACCAACCTCAGACAAGGCAACTCTGACTGTAATGGATCAAGACAAAAATAAGGTCACTCTACAGTCATGTCTGAACTCAGACAAAAAACACAAGAACATTGTTCAAGCCACACAATGACCAAACACTCCCTATCCTGCCTAACATGAGTGACTGCCACCTTTTTTCCAGTGACCACTTCAACTTCACACCATTCTTCCTGCCTTCTACATAAGATTTATGAAGATACCCCGGCAGAAGATTGCCCATTCCCTGACAGTAGGCAGTCTAGAGCAAAGCCCTGATCCTGGACCCCACCCCCAAATCATGTGACACAAGGGCCAATCCTGCACATCCTTTCTAACACCCTCTACCGAGACCCTAATGGCTCTGCATGGTGTGGTGCTTCTGTGCTGCAAAGAGTCTGTGATCGTGTCTTGGTTCAACCAACTGTATGTGAGTTTCTGGTAGTCTTTGGCCAGATTGTATTAACAGAGGTTTCAGTGTTACCCTGACCTAGCAGGAAGACTGATTCGGGGTAGCAACACCTCTGGGCCTTTTCTGTACCCGGATACCAGGTAAAGCTTTCTCCCTAGCCTACTTTCTCTATCAAACGGGGATCCTGACTCCACAACCTTTAAGTTGCCTCTTTTGCCACTGGAACTCCTGAAAACCATGTTACAGGATGGGCAGGGGCCATTCTGGTGGGCATTCTTCTGTCTGTGGTCCCATCCCAGATCTCCCTTGGTCGGTGCTTAGAACCTCAGGGGACCTTAGGCATCATTTTATCCAGTTGCTCAAGCAGAGCTGGATTTCTTCTGCGGATTCTCTGGCTGATGGTTACCCAGAAGAGTCCTCAGCACTGATGTATGCCTACGTAGGTGTCTGTCTTCTGTATACCATGAGCCCCTGAGGTAGAGACCACGTCAGGTCCAGTTAGCCTTCCTGCAGCCAGGCAGCACTAGCACCTTGCCTGGCACAGATTGCTGAATGGGAGCAGCACACAGACAGTCACTGGGCAGCACAATTCCCTCCCCCAGTCCCCAGTTCATCAATACAACTATGGACCAAGTAGCACTGGCCCACTGTGAGAGTCATTTGGACACGGCTCTTCCCCCCTACTCAGGACGCATCATTTCATTTTTCTCTCCACTTTCATTATCAGCACTAGCAGTGCGCTCTAACAGAATTTCTCACAAAGTTTATAATCACTCTCTAAGAGTTATTGCATGAAGGAGGATGACTAGAGAAAGAACTACAAGGCCGTCCTGAGAAGTATACACTAGGGGGATCTGCTAGGGCCGCTCACTAATCAAACAGGAGGGCAGTCCAAGAGGCAGGGGGCAGAAAGGAGTTAACATAGCAGGCCGAAGCCTGCATCCTTAGAAAGCTCTGCTTGCAAAGCTGGCCTTGGGCTGGTGCCTGAGAACCTGGCTGGTAAACAGTTGCCTAGGTCCTAAATGATAGGAGGGGCTATCTGTGCCTAGATTGTATTATGCCTAGATTGTACCAATAATGAGTGTATGTTAAACACCTTATTTCCTTCCGGGAGATTGGAATTTGGTGCATGCTAGGCAGAGGGCACCTATGTGACTAGCACCTGATCAACACTTGGGGCCCTGAGTCTTGAGCTTCCATGGTAAACAGCACTTTGTAGGTGTCATCACAGCTCCTGGCTGTAGGAACAGAGCACTTCCCGCATGACTCTGCTGAGAGAAAAACTCTTGGAAGCTTTTGCCCGGCTTCCTCCGAACTTTGTCCCATGAACCTTTTCCCTTTGCTGATTTGCTTTTTTTTCCCTTTTGCTGTAACAAATATTGTGAGCCCCACTCCATGTTGTGTCCTGTAAATGCTTTTAGTGACTTATTGAACCTTGGGCACATCCGGACCCAGGCTCCAAGGCCAAAGGGCCACTGTCAGCATTTAAAGCCAGGGTATGGGCTCAGGTGCCCTGGACTGGGGAGATGATGTCATGACTTATGAAATGTCAGGTATTAAAGGGCATTGTGAGCTATTATGCACTCCCTAAATGTGAATAATAATGGCCAGGCTGCCAGAGCAGACTCTTGAAGAGCTTTTGAAATCTGGGGAAAAAAGTGACACGATCTTTTTTCAAAATAAAATCCATCTTTTAGCACTAGCTCTAGTGCTGGGGTTATAAATTATTGAAGGCTGTGGATGCAGGTAGAGAGAAGGGCAAATCCTTTGGGCTTAAGCGGTTTCCCTCTTTTTGCTACCAGGTGAGGCCGCATGTAGAGTGAGAGAGAGACGCCTGGAGGCACCTCACTTCTAATTGCTGTCTAACTTCTGACTTAGCCCATTTGGTTCCCATTTGAAGCACCTTCTTTTGCACTTTCATAGCCCACTTCACACCCATGAGGGCTCTTCTCTCCTCCCTCTTGCATCTTTACAAGCAGCTGGAATTGCAAACAATTTCCCTTTGTTTATACCATGCTTTGAACCTGGTTTGTTCCATACACTTATTTCCTTTTTGGAGGCACATTCAGGAAAGCAATTTGTTTTGTAGTTTAGGTACTACACAAACTAAGTACAGCAAACTCATTTAGAAGCCAGGCTGCTGAGCAATGGCAGAAAGAAAATCCCTCTTCGGTGTTTGGGACCAAAAGGATTTGGCTATTTATTTGAGGGAGAGTTTCTTCCAGAAGAAGGATCCTTCTCACAGAGCAAACTGGGAGAAAGTGGCCTGAAGAAAATCAGGCTGACTGGAGCCTTTTCACACTTGGTCCTGGTACCTAGGGAATCATCTCTGGCAGTTAGAGCCAGGCTGACCAGCTGCCAGAGAGAGTTATGAACAGCTGTGCATGCGTGTGGAGTCAGATAGACCTGGGGTTGAATCCCATCTCCTCCATGGGCCAGCTGCATGATCTCAAGAGCACTTCCAAATGAGAATGAGGCCGATATCTACCTCAAAGCTTGTCACAAATGTTAAACAAAATATGAAAACACTTTGTAAATCACGAAGTGCAATGCATTTAACAACATACACTTAAATAGCACTTCCTGTGTGCCAGACACGATTCTAAGTGCTTTAACTTTCTTACCTCATTTAATCCTTACAACCACACTGTGAGAGAGATACCAGAATTATCCCCATTTTACGGGTGAGAAGACCGAGGCATGGAGAGATGAAGAGACCTGCCTTGTTTAACACAAGGTAACACAGCTAATAAGTGGAAGTGCTAGGGTTCCAACCCAGGCAGCCTGGCTCCAGAGTATGTGCTTATAAGTTGGAGTCACCAAGTGTGTGTTTGCAGGGGCTAGTCTGATACATCAACACCTTTTTAACCTGTAAAATTACTGGCAGTCATTCACTCAAGTAGTTCTATATTCCTGTCTCCATCAGGTAATATGACTAGGGTAAGAGCTTTGGATTTGGATAGCCCTGGGTTAGCTATCAGCTTTTTAACTGGCTAGCTGGCAAGTTACTTATGCTTTCGAGGCTTGAATTTCATCAGCTCTAAAATGGGAATAACAACCCCTGTTTTTCTTCTTCAACTTTTAAGTTCAGGGGTATATGTGCCAGATGTGCAGGTTTGTCACATAAATAAACGTGTGTCATGGTTAGCTATTCTTCCTGATGCTCTCCCTCCCCATTGCACCAACCTCCAACAGACCCCAGTATGTGTTGTTGCCCACAATGTGTCCATGTGTTCTCAGCATTCAGCTCCCACTTATAAGTGAGAACATGCAGTGTCTGATTTTCCATTTCTGCGTTAGTTTGCTAAGGATGATGGCTTCCAGCTCCATCCATGTCCCTGCAAAGGACATGATCTTGTTCCTTTTTATGGCTGCACAGTATTCCATGGTGTATATGTACCACATTTTCTTTATCCAGTCTAACATTGATGGACATTTAGGTTGATTCCATGTTTTTGCTATTGTAAATAGTACTGCAATGAACATAGGTGTGCATGTATCTTTATAACAGAGTGATTTATATTCCTTTGGGTATATACCCAGTAATGGGATTGCTGGGTCAAATGATATTTCTGCCTCTAGGTCTTTGAGGAATTGCCACGCTGTCTTCCAAAATGGTTCAACTAATTTACACTTCCACCAACAGTGCAAAAGCATTCCTTTTTCTCTGTAAACTTGCCAGCATCTGTTGTTTTTTGACTTTTTAGTAATAGCCATTCTGACTGGTGAGAGATGATATCTCATTGTGGTTTTGATTTGCATTTCTCTGATGATCAGTGATGGTGAGCTTTCTTTCGTATGTTTGTTGGCCGCATGTATATCTTCTTTTGAGAAGTATCTGTTCATGTCCTTTGCCCACTTTTAAATGGGGAACAACCCTTGTTTTATGGGCTGATCATGGTAATGAAATGAAGTAATGCATGTGCACTATCTGGTTCACTGTAAGTATATAATAAATAGTGAGCATTACTCCTGTAATTATTGACAGGTAGAGTTTATGAGTAAAAAGAAATAAAGAAAGGAGCAGGGGGGATGTGGCGAGGGAGGGAGGGAGGAAGAAGCAGTTAACAGCAGCATCCATCACAGCTTATGCACCCTTTCAGTCTCTTGGGGTCGCCATCTGCTGGCCTCTCAGCCAATGGCAGCACTTCAGCTGCCACTGTGGCCAGTCGGTCCATTGAATTCTGCTGCCTAGCACCCATTAACTGCTTGTCTTGCCTTCCTCCCACAGACTATTCTGGAGAGTAGACTGCTATGTACAGCCTGCCTGAGAGCCTTCTCAGGAGGCATTCCTGCTTAGAGACCAGATATGTCTCCTTGCAGCTTGTTGTGAGGCACTGGCAAGCATGGTAACACATCACCGTTCTTTGCTTCTCATCTTTCTTTGTTTCATGTTCCTGAGTTGACTTCTCCTAAATAAAGCATCAGCTTTTAATCTTTGCCTCAGCTCTGCTTTCTAGGAAACTCAGACTAAATCAGGTTTATTAAGACAAGAAGATAGTAATTATATATACAAACAAACTCTTTATAAACAAAATCTGATAACCAGTTGGGCACCCTCTAAAGGATTCTTAAAGTCAAAATTTGGCAGAGGCGGGACTTGAGGTTCTTGACAAGTTCATGGTTAGTTAGTTATTCAGGGCAAATGCATTATGAATGTGGGTTCCAGCCTGACCTGCAGCTTTATTTATTTAAACTGCTAGTAATTCAAAGCTAAAGGCAATTGTAGTCTTCTCAAGAACAAGATCACTCTAGATGTCATGTCTGTTCTTACCTGAATCAGAGAAGGCATTTGTCACCTTTAACTTCTCCCTGCTTAAAATTTCCCTGTGGTTCCTATCACCTTCAGGACAAAGGCTGAACCCTTGAGCCAGCAATTCAGAACCATCTCCTGCTATGATGCAACCCAGCTCTCCTCTCTGGCCTCATCTTTTCTTAATCTCACAGGCTTTAGCCATAATAGATCTTTGCTGTTTCCTAAATAGTCTCCACCAGCCAGAAGTCAGACCCATGTTCTCTGTCTGCAGTCCAATGCCCCTTTTCCTGATTGCTGCTGCTTCCCACCATCAGAGGAAGCCAGGCTTGTCACTTTGGGGAGAGTTTTGGGAAGGTCTGGTCATCCCTAAGGGCTCTTCCTGAAAGAGATATTTTGTGGGGTATGGGTAATTGCTGCCTCCTGGGCTTCATGTATCAAACCCATATAAACTCCTGGAGTCCCTCTTCATCCTTTGCTTCCTATGCTCCCTTCCAGACTGAAGTCAAAGGAAAGCAACCAATTACTATACAGTGCTCTGTCCATCTGCCTGGGTTGATTAGTGTGAAATTAAATTTGTGGTAAGGATCTATGGGTTGGAAGAAGCCAGATTTCTCTTGACATGCTAGTTTCATGTTGTGCCCATTGCTATCTGCTCTGGGTTCCTCTCCAGTTGCCTTTGTGCTCAGTGGAGAGATCCAGGTGGGTGCGTGAACCCAGCTTATGCCTCATCTAGCCCCTGTATCTTCCTAAGTCAGCTCTCCCTGTTCGGGGATGCTTTTCCTGCTGTCCCCACAGCCCATAGTTACTCTACGGCTTATTAATCATCCCAATGACCATTTACATAGGAGGGAACTGGGAGAGGAGAGAGGAGAGATGTACAGGTTCTACAAATTAGGGATTCCAGCTTTATCACTGTACAAGCTGTGTGACCTTGATTAAGCCTCTGATCCCGGAGTCAATCTTCTTTCAGCTGAATCATGAGCCCCTGCCCAGATACTTAGTCATTCTCAGAAAGGGGATCCTAGAAATACTAGGCCAACAGTTTTTGACCAAGACTTTTACATCATGAATCATGGAGTTTTTGAGCTAAGGGGTCCTTGAAGGAAGGGAATTAACATTCACAAGGTCCAGGCATATTCCAGGTACCATCTTTTTTTTTTTTTTGAGACAGGGTCTTGTTCTGCTGCCCAGGCTAGAGTTCAGTGGTGTAATCATAGCTCACTGCAGCCTCGATCACCCAGGCCCCTACCTCAGTCTTCTGAGTATCTGGGATTTCAGAAGCACACCATCATCCTTGGCTATTTTTTGTTGTTGTTATTTTTAGTTCAAGCGATCCTCCCGCCTTGGCCTCCCAAAGTGCTGAGATTACAGGCATGAGTCATGGTGCTTGGCCCCCAGTTACCATCTTTTAAGCTTGTTTTTACTAAAACCTATAATAATAAATATATTTTACATGACAGTTGACTGCATGTATTGTGTGTAAAGTGTAACTGACTGGCTGGGTGCAGTGACTCATGCCTCTAACACCAGCACTTTGGGAGGCTGAGGTGGGTGGATCATCTGAGGTCAGGAGTTCAAGACCAGCCTGGCCAATCTGGTGAAAGCTCATCTCTACTAAACAAACAATTAGCCAGGCGTGGTGGCAGAACCTGTAATCCCAGGTACTTGGGAGGCTGAGGCAGGAGAATTGCTTGAACCCAGGATGCAGAGGTTGCAGTGAGCCAAGATCGCGCCACTGCACTCCAGCCTGGAAAACAAGAGTGAAACTCCATCTCAAAAAAAAAAAAAACCTGTAACTGGAATAAAAAGTTTACAAAATAATACTTATCTTCTATGTGCCATACACTTTATTCTGCTTCTCTCTATTCTATCTATTATATTATTATTATTACTAATTTATTTATTTTGAGATGCAGTCTCACTCTGTTGTCTAGGCTGGTGTGCGGTGGCATGATCTTGGCTCACAGCAACTTCTGCCTTCCAGATTCAAGTGATCCTCCCACCTCAGCTTCCTGAGTAGCTGGGACTACAGGCACACACCACCACACCCAGCTAATTTTTGTATTTTTAGTAGAGTAGGGGTTTCACCATGTTGGCCAGGCTGGTCTTGAACTCCTGACCTCAAGTGATCTGCCTGTCTCGGCCTCCCAAAGTGCTGGGATTATGGGCGTGAGCCACTGTGCCCAGACTATTTATTATTATTTTAAATGATGTTGCTGAGCTATAAAATTTATTTCATGATTGGTTGACCCATAGTTTTGAAAACACTGTCCTGCTCTTTCACATGCATGATCACCTTCCATCCTTATTACAACTTTAGGAGGTAGACAGTTATTCATTCCCAGGTTGCAGATGAAGAAACTGAGTTTCTCCGTTTCTTCATCTCAGTGAGATCTAGTAATTCGCACAAAGTCACTCAATTCCTAAGTAGCTGAGTTGGGATTCCAAGTTTGACTCCAAAGCCTATCCTCCTTCCAAGTTATCTCACTGTCTGAGATTCCACTGACCTTTTTCGGCTGATGGGGAAACTATGATAATGCTCAGAGAGAAGTGACTAGGTCAAAGTCACACTAGGACTAGTGACACAGCCTAAAATTGAAACCAGATTCATCCCTGGACTCCACACATCTGGCACTGGAACTAGGCTCCCATAGGCAGGAAGCTCCTTTCCCAATGTTGGTTATACTCTTTCTTCCTTGAAGTCATCCTGGGTCAGATGAAGTTCAAGCAGCCTCAGAAACCACTCTTCTTGGACAAAGCTGAGCTTACTGACAGGGAAAAATGCTTCTGAAACATCTTTCGGTAGGAAGTTTGTCATCATGCATGTTGTTGCCTCCACTGGAATTGAAAATCGTGTTGTCTCAAATTAAAAACAAAACTCTCATTTGCTGTACCTCTCTGCACACTCAGCAGGTCTCAACCCAGTTTCGGGAATGCAATCTGTCTTAATTTACCATGGCTCTGAGCCTTCCTTTTCCTCCCTTTCCCTTTCAGAAGCAAGGTGCTGTTGTGTTAGTATGTGCTGCCACCAGGGAGAGTCACAGAGCTTGCCAGCAGGAAGCGGTTATGGGGTGCATTTAATCTGGGCCAGGACTTCTTAAAGGGACTCCTAAGAACAACAAAGCTAGTAGCCGTCAGTGTTGGCTCCCAGATCACAGGCAATTCCAGCCAATTTCGTGCTATGCGGAGGAGGCCCCAGGTCAAACTTCACTAAGGCAGCTTGAGGCAACCAAGCAGAAGGAAAGGCTAAAATTATGGCTTAAAGGGAAGCTGAGATTGTATCAAAAAATGATGGTTCCAAGAGTCTCATGTGGAAGATAAGGCAAGGCTGGGTGAGGGAGTCAGGCACCAAGGTCAGAAACCAAGATGATCTGCAGCAGGATGGAGCGTGGTGGGAGGAGTGGGCAAGGGATATGGCTCATCACCAAAGCTGTGGACTAAGAACAAGAAAGCACAGGGTATGGCATGGGACAGGCCATGGCTAAAGGACCCGGAACTGGGCCAAGGTAGCTGTGAGGCTGGGAGAAGGATCAGGGGCAAGCCCCCCGTCCTTACAGTACTGGCAAGCCATTTTGGTCACAGAATTTAAGAGTCTTGAAGTCATCCTCAATGCTAACAAGATGGTGGGGAGGAGCAGGGAAGAGAAAGTTCTATCCCCATCCACAGGTACAGGTACTACCCTCACTGCCACACCTCAGTGAACTACAACCCTTGCCCATTCCTCACCTATGGCTCACTCTGACCTGAGCACCTGTTGTCTCTCTCCTGGATGACTGCAATAGCTGCCTACTTCAGCCTTTGCCTGTTAGTCTACTCTCAACACAGCTTCCAGAATCATCCTGTTCAAGTATTAGTCAGACCTCATCACTTCTCCACTCAGAACCCTCCGTGGCTCCCCTGCACTGGCCTGCACACACCCCTACTCCCTCCCCTCTTTGGCCTCCTCTACCATCTAGCCACTCTGGCCTCCTTGCTGCTTTTCAAACTAGCCACACACACACTCCTGCCTTAAGGCCCTAGCACCTGCCCTTCCCTCTCCCAAGATTGTTTTACTTCCAGACATCCTCACAGCCTGCTCCCTCACCTACCGCAAGGCTATGTTCAAATGTCACCTTCTCTGTGAAGCCTTCTCTGGCTACCATCTTTACAACTGCACCTCCCCATGACACTGCCCAGACTCACCCTGGGGACTTACTGTCCCCCTTTCCATAACAACTATTATAGAGAAACATCCTATGTTATTTATTTTTTACCTTGTTCATCATCAATTTTCCCACTAGAATGTATCTCCATGAGAGGGGGCAGTTTTGTCTGCTTTGGTCATTGCTGGAACCCCAGTATTTAAAACAGTGCCTGGTACATAGTAGGTGCTCAACAAATAGTTGTGGAATGACAGACAATCCAGCTAACTTGCAAACCTTACCTCCTAGTACACTCTGCCACCCTATTCCCAGTTGCACGCGCTTATGTCCTAGCCTCATATGACAAACCTTCTCTTGGTTTACCCCCAAGCTTTGCCCACATAGAATGTCCCCTCTTACCCCTCTTTGCCTGTTACAGTCCTTTCCAGCCCTCAAAACCTAGGGGCCAGCACTTCTTCCATAAAGCTTTCTCAGATACCTTCTGATGGGATATTTCTCTTAATCCTCTAAAACATGTACTTCAAATGTCATTTTTCTAGCATGTCATAATTTGAGAGTGGCCCAGTATGATCTCTGGGTCCTGATCATTTCTAATAGGTTATGGGTTCAATTTCTTTTCTGGAAGTTTCTAATATTGACAAAGAAGTTTATATTCTGGATATAGCTAGAAGCATCTCTAGCATCTATATTTTTTGGGTTGAGCTAACATGAACGTGTCTCTATAAAACAAAAAAGACTGTAGAACACGGTGGTCAAGAAGGATAATGGGCCAGGTGCGGTGGCTCACGCCTGTAATCCCAGCACTTTGGGAGGCTGAGACGGGCAGATCATAAGGTCAGGAGATCGAGACCATCCTGGCTAACACAGTGAAACCCTGTCTCTACTAAAAATACAAAAAAAATTAGCCAGGTGTGGTGGTGGGCGCCTGTAGTCCCAGCTACTGGGGAGGCTGAGGCAGGAGAATGGCATGAACCCTGGAGGCGGAGTTGCAGTGAGCTGAGATCGTGCCACTGCACTCCAGCCTGGACGACAGAGTGAGACTCCATCTCAAAAAAAAAAAAACAAAAAAAAGGATAATGGACACTGTAGTAGGATGGATCTGGATTCACACCCTGGCTCTGACATTTACTAGCTATGCACCCTTCAATGAGATAACCTAACTGCTCCAAATCTCTGTGTCCTTGGCTAGAAAATGAGGGAAGGTTAAGAGTTGGTGGGCTTGTTGTCTCCAAGGTTCTTTCTAGCTCACAGATTCCGAGAGGCTCAGAGGCTCTGGCTCTACCAGGCTCTCCTCAGTCCTCTTGGGAGCCTGGGGGCAAGCAGCAGAGTAATCAAATGTGGGGCCCAATCCCTACCCTAGTGGATGGGACCTAACTTCCCATTCTAGAAGATGGTGTCCCATTGTACAATGAGTTGGGTTGCTGCAGTATTTTGACCACTTTGGGACTTAATGATAGATATTCTTATAGATTTTTAAAACCAAGTCTCTTGGGTATGGGGCCAAGGAGAGCAGAGGATAAATGGAGTTAATTGGTAATGAGTTCCTTTCTCACTGTGCTTTGGAGATGCTCACCTAATCTACTGACTCTGAATGAGCAATTTGGCTGCCTAATTAGGTTAACCAATAATTTCCCTTTTGACACCAGGCTGCTTGACAATTTGGGGCAGGGGTAACTGTGATTCTGTTTCATTGTTTCCTTTCAAAGTAGGTTTCTTAATTTGCCTCTGGGATTAAATCATGTACATTCTTACTGTTCCCCAGACCCATCATGCTTCTGCGTGCCTCCAAGCCTTGGGTCATGCAATTGTCTCTATTGGGAATGCCTCTCTCAGATCCCTCACACTCAGTGAAATCCTACTAGGCTTTCAAGCCCCATGCATAACATGAGTGGAATGAAGGAATGAGCCTCTGCACCCTCAGGGCAAAATGAACTGCTCCTTTATTGTCATCATCCAGCTTCTTAAAAAATTAATATTAATAGCTCCCGTGAATTAAGGCCCAACACAGACCTGACGCTTCACAAATGCTGTAGTACAGGCTCACGGCAACACTTCAAGGAAGGAAGATGGCATGCTGTTTTTGTAATTTTTTATCATGTGAAAAATACATAACAGTTAATCTTTTTAATCATTTTGAGGAATAGAGCTCAGTGGCATTAGTGTAGTCACATGGTTGTGCATCCATTACTCTTATCTCTGAACTTTTTCATTATCCCAAACTGAAAATCTGTACCCATTAAACAATAACTCCCCAACAGCCTCTTCTTAGTTCCTGCTAACCACTGATGTGCTCTTTTTAAAATGACAAAACTGTGGCTCCAAGAGGTGAAATGCCTTGCCCAAGATCTCAGAGCTTAGACTGGGGCAACCAGGACTTGAGGCCAGGTCTCCACATTGGACTCTGAAACTAGCATTCTTTTTCCACTCTGCAACACTGCCTGCTGCACCTCTATTAAAGAGCTGCAAGGTGGTCACAGCCCTGCCTCCCTCACCGGTCATCTAGAGTCCACATCCTAGAATCATGCTGCACACTGAAGGAGCTCAGCATAGCTGTGGGACAAATTACAGAATGAACCCACAAAAGACACTGTGTCAGCTTGACCCAGTGCTTGGGAGCGAAGCTTGAATTGCAACCTCTGCTTTCTAAAAAACATCTATTGCATGCCGACTGTTCCTGACAGGCCAGCTTCTCACTGCCTCCCGACCCCCAGCCTGTTGGCCTCTCACGGCAGGGGAGGAGAGGCCTGAGGGCTGGCTCTGCCTGAAGGCCCCGAGTAGGAAGATTTGTGTTTACATTACCCAGTCAATTCTGTATTTATTTTAGATATTAAGCAGTGACATAAAAGCTGCTGACATTAACCTTCAGGGGCAGAAATTGTCTTTAATGGACCCCATAAAAGTTATTATTGATGGCAGCTGCATGCAGCATCAGTGTGACCTCTGCAAAAGCCTCTACCGCTATCAATACTGTTGACAATTACTATTGACTAATGCAAGGCAGGGTGTGGAGGCAGAGTAAATGTTCCTGTGGCTGGAGGTTGCTGGGGGTTATGCTTCACATTTTACATTTATCTGGTAAGGATCTCTGAGAACTTGGTTGCACATTTTTGGTGGCCTCAACTGAGAGCTGAGGACGCCTGCAGACTCAAATGGAGGCAGGCAAAGGACTCAGAGAAACCAGACTTCAAATATAAGCTCTGCCAACTTGCTGACTCGCAGGCTATTGTGTCTCAGTTTGGAGCCTCAGGTTTCCCATTTGGCAAATGGGAATGCCACTGAGTTGCCAGGGAGATTAAAGGCAATTGCACATGTACAGTGGTAGGCCCATAGCATGAGGTTGCTGCCTTTGCTCTACCCCTGAGAAGTGACCACACTGTGATGTGTTCACTGACAGGTCCAGTGGAACTGAGCCCTGTTCTGATGGTGAGATCCGAGTTCTCATCACAAGAAAAGGAGAGGTCTGGCTGGGGCCCAGGGGTTTGTTGAGGTCAGTGGGAACTAGAGAAAGATGGGAGAAGGGGAAGGTAAAAGAAAAGGGAGAGACAGGGTAAAAGGAACCAAGACTTTTGTCATAGAGCCTGGCTCCAGCTCAACTAGATATGTGGCCCTGTGCACAGCCTTTAATCTCTCTGTGCCTCAGTTTCCTCCGCTATAAGTTGGGGAGATAATAGTGTAAGAGGAACCTGAACCTAATCAGTGAATAAAAGGGAGCCATTCCCATGATTGCTGTCATTATTTAGATCTGAGTACCGCATAACGAAGCTGTTAATGTAACTTCCTAACCAGGAGCAAGTAGACAGCCTTTGGGCACCTATGGGGAGTCTAGGTTTAGGGAGTCCAGTCTTGGAAGGGATGTGGGAAACAGAAGCCCTTTATTAGATTCATCTGCCTACCTCCTCTGCCCACCCGTCTACCCTGAGTACAGTGAGGCTTTGAGTTCTGTGGCCAGTGGGGAAATGGACGATCACAAAGAAATGACAACATGGCCAGGGGAGCAGGCAGCCATTTCTCTGTCCCACTATCAAAGGCTGAAACTCTTCAGGCTTGATTAATATGTCATTATCACCCAACAGAGGCTTAATTCAGCTGTAATTCAGCTCTCAGGGAATATACAATAATGTGCGCAAGTGTGCACCTCTTTCTGTCATGACTTTATGTTAAGTGATCATTTGTCACCATGGCAAGAAGCCTTCAAAAGAACAAATAACCCAAGTATTTTGCTACAGAGGGAACTCACTGTAACTAGGGCTGTAAGAGTAAAGATTTTAGAGTCATGTAGGCTTGAGTTCCAATCTCATTTTGCTTGCTGTGTGACCTATGCAGATTTCTTAACTTCTCTGGGCTGCGGTTTCCTTACTGTGTGCAATGGGGATAATAAAACCTTCTTTAAAGGGTTGTAGGGGGAGTAAATGAGATAATATAGCTAAAGCAGTTAGCACTGTGCTTAGGTTGAGATAATCGGTGGCAACTATTTTTTTTTTTTTTTTGACAGAGTCTAGCTCTGTTGCCCAGGCTGGAGTGCAGTGGTGCAATCTTGGCTCATGGCAACCTCTGCCTCTGGGGTTCCAGTGATTCTCCTGCCTCAGCCTCCTGAGTAGCTGGGATTACAAGTGTGCACCACCATGCCTGGCTAATTTTTGTATTTTTAATAGAGATGGGGTTTTGCCATGTTGCCCAGGCTGGTCTTGGACTCTGGCCTCAAGCAATCCATCCACCCCAGCCTCTGAAAGTGCTAGGATTACAGGCCTGAACCACCATGCCCAGCCATACAACTATTAAGTATTAATGCTGTTATTATTATCATTTTCCTCTTGCACACCTTCATCTTGTGCATGCAATTAGGATCCAAGAATTCTACATCTGGAAGGGCCTACAGGTCATTTCATTTAGCTCAGCTAGACCCAAAAAGCGTTTATTAGAATACTGGTCCCACCAGATGCTCTGAGAATAAAAGAGTTCTGTGGTCAAATTGATTTGGGGAATGCTGCATACATCCTCCCTTGGTAATTTATCCATTAGCATGCACATTAACATCTTAAAAACTCTAAGAAGCCCTGCAGTAAAGAAAGTGGTTTAAGTTTGTTTGATTCAGTGTTTCCTACATTATTTGACCACAGAACAGCCCCTTACCCCATCTAAGAACTAACATTCTCAGATCAGGGGATGCTAATTTCATTTAAACTATTTATTTTATAGATGAGGAAACTGAGGTCCCAAGAAAGGATGCAATTTACCCCATGCCACACCCTAGACCAGTAATAGAACTGAGGCTCCCTGCCTGCTGTGGTGTGATGGCACAGACCCTATTCTCTTTGTGCCAGGCCCTGCACTGCCCTTCAATTTAATGCTCAAGTTCAGTGCGTGGTCGGGGTGGGGAGAAGCAGGGTTGCTGGCTGGGTATGGCCTTGGGAAGGTGGGTGAGGGAGTGTGGGTGGTTTCCCACCAGAGAGAGGGAAACTCCTCTGGTACTGAGGTCATCGGCCCCTTCACAGGGCTGGCTGGGGACCAACGGAGAGTGACAGTGCTAAGCCACTACCCAGTACCCAAGCAATTGCCACCCTCCCACCCCTAGACAAGTACACAGGCTCCCTAGGCGAACATGTTAGTCCTCTGGGAGGGGTGGCAGGATGCACCTTTGGAACTCTGCCACATGGGACTCTGGACCCTAAGGGGATACATTTCCCCCACCTGACCCTGACCGTGCGTGGTCTCCTGCCCATCCCCAATCTGGGGATCAATCTTGGTTTTGCACCACTCAGTTGGAGCCTCCTCTTCAGAGACTAACCCCTCTAAGCCTCATCTCTGACCTGGTCCCTGCCCTGATCCAGGGGAATCCCGGGCAGGAATCACGAGGATCTACATTTGAAGCTAGAAGCCAGCAGGGGGCACTGGCACCAGGCTAGGTGCTTCCTATTCTATTAATAATTCAGACTGCCCTCCCCTTACCCTTTTGCTGGCTGTCGTGCGGAAGCACCAGCAGGCCTCCTCTTCACTGGGCTTCCCAGAAACAGCCCTCCAGGTGCTGGGGCTGTTCCTGGGCTCTGCCACTCTTTCCTTTGCTGCCAGAACCCAGCAGGACCCACCTCGGTGCTGACCTGGCTCAGCAAAGCTGCCCAAGGGCTGGTAGGGCATGAAATATATAGAAGGGGAGATTCCCCCCAGGCAATAGTCTCCACGCAGGACCACGTTCGACTCAGAGCCCCTCAGAATTCTGCCAGCAAGGTCCCAAGGGAGAAAGAGGAAGACGCTGAAACTGGGCCCCCTTTCCTCCACCATGAAAAGGAGGTGTGTGAACCAGGTGTCATCTTTTCCTCCCACAGCCTCTCTCAGGCCTTGGGAACGAGCCTCAGGGAGGAGAGTGGAATAATGAGTGTGCAGCTGGCACGTCCTGGGATCAGGGGGAAGCTGCAGCAAAGCCTCAAGTTTTAATCATTAAAGTTTATTTTTTTTTGTCTTTTTACTTTCTTTTTATTTTTAATAGACAGATAATAATTGTATATATTTATAGGGCACAATATGATGTTTTGATACCTAAATACCCTGTGGAACGATTAAATCAAGTTAATTAACATATCTCTCATCTCACATACTTATTTTTTTGTGGTGAGAATATTTAAAAATCTACTCTTTTAGCAACTCTGAAATATATAATGTATTATTATTAACTATAGTCACCATGCTGTGCAATGGATTTCAAAAACTTACTCCTCCTAACTGAAACGCTGTACCCTTTGACAACATCTTCCCTAAACCTCAAGTTATCCCCAAATGACAGTTTTTGTTTGGAAGCCATCCTCTGAACAACATAAGATGCTGATGTGGGACAGCGTTCCTAGAGGTTGCCCAGGACAGCTGAGCACCTGGAGCTAGAGATGGCATGAGCAGGATTCAGGCAGGACCAGGCCTTGCTGATTTGATGGAGGATAAACTATGGGGAATCTGTTACCACTGCCCCATGCCCTCTCTGCTCCCCTGCACACAGGCACCTTATGAGCAATGACCCAGAGACTTAGGCGCCTCCCTAATCCGGAAGCAAAGAGCAGCGACCCAATCTCTGGCATGTCACTCATGGGTGGGCATTTCACGTGACTCTCCAAGAGACTCTGACATTTGACCCCTGAGAGTAAAGCAATTTTTCACCAACTTCACCAGAGCCCCGGCAGTGGAGCAGGAAATCAATATTATAAATAAAACCCCAGCCCCACCACCCAGGCACCCGGCACAGACCAAACCAGCCACTCACCAGTCTCAGTGTTTTCATGCTCGGTGTCGGTGAGTGTGAGATTGGAATTGGCCCGGCTGGACAGGCAGGAGCTGCGCCCTGACCGTGTGCTCCGGCCCCACAGACGCACGGGGTGCTCAGGGGACAGCACCGTGTCAGCCTCCATGTCGGCATCAGAGCCAGCCCCCATGGAGTAGCCGCAGTGGGGGAGGCCAATGTCTGTCCGGTACAGGGTCCCGTGAGGGGGCGTTACTTCTTCCAGCCCCAGCTCCCGCAGGGTGAAGTTGGCACCTGGGAGGAAACACAGGTGAACTTGGTTAGGGCACTGAGATGAGGTCTGCGTCTGCCTCTGCCTGAAGCCTGGCCTTCTTACCCCAGGGCTCACTGTCGTTCTTTGAACTTGCTGTGGCATTCTATGCCCATGCCTTTGTTCAAGTGATTGCCTCTGCCTGGAGGGCTTTTTCTGCCCCCTCTTCATCAGCCTGAACCCTCCATTTCCCTTAAGCCTCAACTCAAATGGCACCTGCTCTGTGAAGTCTACCCCAATACCAACACCTGTGCAGAATTCATTTTCACTTTCTCCAAGCTCCTTCCAGAGTCCTTGGGCCTGGTCATACTGCACAGTAGAGTTGTTTAAGGGTCTACCCCTCTGCTGGAGGTGACCTCAGCAAGGGCAGGCACCATGTTTTGCTTATGCTTATTCTTAAATCTCTTTCCCTAGAACAAAAATGCAGTACTCAGAAGGGGCTCAATAAATGCTTGTTAAAATGAATTGAGGGCTTCAGGTCTCCTTTTCCAGGGAGGACTTTTCAGCAAGTCCTGAGCAGGGCAGAAGCCCAGTCGATGAGATCTAAATGTCTCCCTTGGGGCCAGAAGTTCCTTTCTGGCCAGGTCAAGAAAGCCTGAAGCTTGAGAGTGAAGAAGATGGGGACTGGCAGAGAAAAGTCAGCCTCACACCAGGAAAAAGGCTCTGCCTGCTGCTTCCTTATCCCAAGTGGGTCTGTGATGGGGAACTGGCAGAGACAGGTCTCTTGAGGGCTTGGGCAGGCCTGGCAATGCCTAGGACAGAGGCTGGGTAAGAGAAGGTCACCTAGGAGTAGTACCTGAGTGACAAAGAGAATGCTGACTTCATGGAAAACTAGCCTCCCTGTCACTCCTGCATGTGAATTCAATGTCTATTCAGGGACAGCTTCTCCTGTACTTCTAGTATTCCCAGGAATGTGTTGCAGGGAAAAGGAAGAGGGAGTATACAAAGTCAGTAAGGGTCAGATCCCACTTAACGTGACGATCTGGAGAACTGGAGTTATAATCAGGCAGAACCCACATTTAAACCAATTCATGCCGGCCCTGGGCCTGTACTGAGATACAGCAGTGAATAGGATACAGTGCCCAACTTTACAGAACTCTCTGGCGGGTAGGAGAGACACAACCAAACACATGATTAAGTGTGCAAGTTCAAAATGGGGAGATCCACAGAGTGCTCTGGGAGCGCAGGAGCAGAAGGTGGGATATTGGGGTGAGGAGCTTAGAGGAGAGGTTTGCGATGAGAGTGAATGTGGAGAATGACAAGTTAGAAGGCAGAAGAGGTGGATGGCCAAGCTTTAAAGGCCTCCTCGGCCAGGACTGAATAGGACAAGCCTGCAAAGGAAAGCAAGAAAGAACTGCCGGAGGGGTAGGAGGCGAGCCAGCAGAGACGCCATCTTATTATAATGGTGTGTCTCACTCTTACAGATAAACTTGTGCTCCCCTGGTGTGTCCTAATTATCTGAATCCAACACCTATCACACCTGCTGCAGAGTAGGTGCCCTGTAAAAGTTAGGTAACCACACACATGCAGACACACACAGACGTGCACGCGCACACACACATGCACACAAGCACACACGCGCGTGCACACACACGTGCGCACACACATGAACACACAAGTGCACACACACGTGCAAACATGCACATGCACACACACGCACGCATGCACACTCGAGCACACACACGCATGCACACTCGAGCACACACGCGCACGCACATGCACACACGCACGCACAAGCACGCACACACACACAAGCACATACTCTGGCAGTACTCTGGACAACAGATAAGGGGACAAGGAAGCGGGGAGGAGAGACCAGCTGGGGTGCTGCTGAAATGCAAGCTGCTATGCTAGGCTGTGGTGGTGGGTGGAGGTGTATCTCAGGCCTCCTACTCAGCTGGCTCAGGCTGGGACAGCCTTGATGCCAGGTTACAGTCATGAAGTACTTCCACACAGCTTGGTAAATAACTTGTGCCAAGCCACCTCAGTGCCTCCTTCCACACCCAGTGCCTTTCAGCCTCTGCTCTGGCTGTTCCAGCCCCTTCCCAATACCCCCAATCTCCTCATGATCCAGTTACTAAACAAAGGGTTAATGTCCGCGGACCAGGCATAAAAGAAGCCCGTGGGCTCTGCTCAGTGGCCAGGCAGACATTCTGATTGGTTAGAGGCTGGGCCAACCAGATGTTAAGTATTTTGCATACCACTCCTCCGTGCCCTACTCCAATCTGCCCTCCGATTTTGCTCTCCTTCAAAGAAAAAGAAAATGCCAAATTAGAGCCTAAATTCCTCAGTCGGCTTCCTGCTCTCCCTGCGTATCACACTCCCTGGCCGCTCTCTGATCTACACTCCTCTCTCCTGTCCTGCTCTCGCCCCCTGTCCCCATCCACAGTTCTATCTGTGCTCTGTTCGGCCGGCCCTCTCAAAGAGAAGCCACTCACGTGTTATGAAGAATGACTCTTACATTAAGTGAAAAATCAAATTTATTTGCAACAAACAGCCTGGGCTGCATTGATTTCCATCTGGCTTGTCCTGCATGCCCTTTTAAGCAGCCAGACTCAGCATCAATACAAGTGAGTTAAGACATCTCGGGACTAGGATGTCTTAGGAACTTAACTCCTAGGAAAATGCAAGGTAAGGGCTCACTCTAAGGGTTCCATGATCCTGTTGAGCCAGTCAGCTCCTCTGATGTGTGAGTTTGGAAGATTTACTTCATCCAATTTAAGAAGTCCTCATGGTTTACTTGCTTTATGTCCTTTTTGGCCTCTTTTCTGAGGCCCGGGGCATGAGTTGACATCCCATCTCACTCAACATCTAGCTGTGCAATCTTGGGCTTGTGATCACCTGAGCTTCAATGTTCTTGTCTTTAAAATGGGATGATAATCTATGACCTGCTACCTTCAAAGGATTTTTGAGGATCCAGGGTGATAATTTGAAGGAGAGTATTTTGTAAACTGCTACGCACATGCCTGCCTATGAGATGAGAATGCTTATTTGTTATTTACAAAGACAAGGAGCCGCCCCTTCCCTGAGCCTCATGTGCTAGGTCCAAGCCAACCGGGGCTCACTGAGCTCTGTCACTTACGGACAGGACGGAGCAAAAGAAAAGCTTTCAGAGACCATTTTGTCTCTTCTCTTCAGTGAGATCCAGAGATGACAATGAATAACAGGCAGCATTTCTGAAGCATCTGTTCTGTGCCAGGTACTGGTGTCAAGTGTTTCATTTATAGTTCTCATCAATCCTCACCACCTATTAGGTACTGTTTATCCCTTTGCACAGGTAAAGTAGCTGAGAATACTAAAAATGGCAGAGCCACAGTTCAAATCTAGGTCTGTTTGATGCCAGAGTTGGAGCCTTAACCATAAGCTGGGAAAGGGACTGCTCATTTTTCAAGCCTCACAGGCAGAACAGGTCAGCTTTCACATGGATACAGGCCTGTGGGAGAGAATGGAAATGAAGAGGTCATAGGTGTGCTCTGTGTGTGTGTGTGGCCAGCTCCTCTTACCTCTGTGATCTTGGGCAAATGATTCACCCTGGGGTTGTTATGAGAATTAAATAACACTGTCAAAATGCATATACATTACATAGCACAGTGCTCAGCTGACCCTGTCTGTGAAGGGGGAGAAGGGCAGAGCAAATCAGGGTGGGCTGCACAAATTGTCAGGCATTGGTCATGACCCAACAGGCATCAAAGAGGGCTCAAGCCTCTGCAGGCAGAAAAACAGGAATCACCGAGGCACCAGGGTAGGAAAGAAATATCATGGCAGGTCTGGAAACTTGAGCAGTTCAGCAGGGCTGGCCCATGAGTGGTGGAGTGTGGAGAGTTAGGGGACAAAAAAAGTCTAGAAAAACAGAAACAGATTTGGGGAAAGAGTTCTATGCTAGGGGGAGCTCAGTTTAAGGGCAACAGGGAGTCACCCCCAAGCTTCATCTGGCTGCAGTACAGAGAATGGCTAGAGGCGGGCAGCTCTGGGTGAAGGGGGGTGGTTGTGGTTAATCCTCCAAGAAAAATGATAATGGTTTGCACTGGGAAGTATCAGAGGGAATGGCTAAGAAGAATGGATTTGAATACTGGGGCAGGATGGATAGGCTTTGGGGACTACTGTAGGTAGAAAGTGCAGGAGAGGGAGCCAGGCACCAGAATATCCTACAAATTACTAAGTTTTCATGTCTAACCATCTCGGGAAGGTCTTCCTCTCAAGGTCACACAGGGCTTGACACAAAGAAACTGCTAAATATGTTTGTTGAATGAACAGCAAAACTAGGAACTAACATTTATTCAGCGCTTACTTGGTATTATCAGGCTTACCACTTAAAGGCCATCTCATTAAGTCCTCAGGACAATTCAGTGCACTAGGGAGGCTTCTCACGGCCATGTAACAGTTGAGGACTGAGGCTTAGAGGGGAGCCTAACTCAACTCTAGGCAGGTAGACAAACACTGGAGCCCAGCTCCTAACCACCTCACTATGCCAGGGAAGTGGGTGAGCGAGAAAATAAATGAACTAAGAATGAACTACAGGGCAGGCTTTTTACCAGGTCCAAGTGCCCAAATGGCAGAAACTTGCTGTTGATATGGCACCCCAACTGGTGTTCCAGCTCACCTGTGCCACGCCCACCTGCGCCACGCCCACCCGAGCCCATGCCTACCTGAGCCAAGCTCACCTGCGCCTGAGGCCCGCCCCCTCGGCCTTGTCCTTACCTGTGCGGCAGAATTCCTCGGCCTCCTGCGGCACAATGTCCTTGACGCGGCTGCCATAGGCTAGGCGGGCGTCCTGGTCGTAGGCCTTCAGGGTCTCGCTGGAGCTGTACGATTTCTGCGGGGCTTTGCCCTCCTCGCTGTCCGCGGACGAGCTGGTGTAGCGGCGCTCGGCGTCGCGGCGCCGGGTCAGCGAGCGGTAAGGCTTCCTCTCCTTCACGTCCATGGCCTCCGGCCCGCGCTCCTCCACATCCACAAACAGGGTCCTCGCCGCACTCAGGGCCGAGTGGTCTAGAGCCAGGGAAACCAAAGATAGGGCGTGAGAGGCAGAGAACATTCCCGGGTTCATCCTGGTCCTGGATTCACCCTTGCAGCCCTGTGGACAGAGAACCCCAGGCAGTGGAGGAGAGGGTACCGCTCCACCACTACGCAGCCCATAAGTGGCAAAGGAAAGTCGCACCCAGGACCTCTAATTACAAATCCTGGCCCTTTTTGCTACTTAGCCTATTCACCTTGAGGAGGCCTCCTCCAGTGATGGGCACCGAGGAAGCTGACAGCAAAGGCCAAAGGGCACTGGTGGTTAGTAATATTCCTAGGTAGGAACCAAGCCTGTTTGGTTCCCATCACATCCCACATGGAGCAGGGCCTGACCCAGCTCTGGCCCAGGGCTCCTTAAAAATCTGTGAGATGAATGATTGCATGCAAACACTGGGGTAAGCACTTTGCATATATTATCTTAGTAAATCTTGATATCTTCTGAGATGTTATTACTCTCTCCAACCTCTTTTGGAAACGAGCTAAGGTATAAACAACCAACCCACACTTACCACTACCAGATGATTATATAATTATTTGCTTTTTGCCCATCTCCTTCTGCTAGTCTGTAAGCTCTATGAGAGCAGAAACTTTACCTGTACTGCTCACTCCTGGTCTCTAGCACCTCGAACAAGGGCTGGTACACAGTAGGCGCATAATAAAGATGTGTTTAATTAACCAGCTAACCATCCCCATCTGACAGATGAGAAAACTGAGACTCGGAACCCCCTTCAAGGTCACTTAGGTGTCAAGTAAAAAAGCCAGGATTGGAACTCTGATCTGTTTGGCTCTAAAGCCTGCATTTTTCCTATTCCATTCTGCCTCCCTGAGACGTCTCCCTCCTACTCTTAGTACACAAAAGTGCCCTTCCAGTTACTCAGAGAATGTCCCTCACCTCCAGACTTGCCCATCTCCTCAGTGCCACCGTCAGCACTGGGCAGCACAGTGTCTGCCCCATCCATCTGGGTGTTGCTAGAAGGTCTGACTGGTGGGAAGCTCCTAATAGCCCTTTCTCCTCTTTTCCCCATCTTGACCCTTCTGCCCTACACTGACACCCCTGGATTTTTGAGTTGTGATAGCACCCTCTTTCTCCCTCCAAATGTCTTCTTTGAGCTCTGGGGTAGCAAACACAACCATACAGGGCCAGGAGCTCAATACAGAAGGAAAGCAGAATATCCTCCGCAGAGACATAGGGCATCACTTAGTTTTTATGAAACACAACCTGCTCAGTTCTGGCTTTCTGTTGCTCCATCTTTCAGAGCAGCATGGGTACACAAGACATTCCCCTGCTTCACTATCCAATTAGAGAGACAACAGAGCAAGAGCTGTGATAAATGCTGCCAACATCAGATCTCAGTGTCCAGGGTGGGGCCTTGACAGCTGGGAGGGTGGGTCTGTCCAAGTGCTTGCCTGTGCTGCAAAGTGGGAGTGTGGGTGGGAGTGTCTGGGGGGTGGGGGTGTCTTGTGAATTTTTAAGACAAGCTGGAAATTTGGAGTTAGATATAAAAGCTATGACTTTAAAATGTTGATCCATTATTATTATTTAATTTTAATACTTTGCAGGCCAAACAAAAGAGACTTCTGAGTTGAATTTGCTCTGAGGCTCGTAGTTTCCAAATTCTGCCTTTGACCATGGACATCAGAGGTAGCTCTTTGGCCCGTTTTTCCAAGAGTGCAAACATTTGTGATTTTATTGGTGCCTCACAATAACTGTGAAGTAGAGATTACAATTATTTTCATCCCCATATTATAGATGAAGCTACAGTGACCCAGGGCCATATAGTCTCCTGCCTAAGGCCACATGGTGAGTTAGTTGCAAAGCTGGCACTAACTACATAGACTGCAATGCCTCGGGATTATACCTAGATCCAATTAAGATGAATAGTTGACACTGTTTTGGTTCCCGATTCTCAAAATATCCCTGGAAATTAATGCTGGGGCAAGGGGTGTAACTCGAGACACACAGAAATCAAATTATATTACTGAGGCTCAAACCCAGAGCTCTGAGCTCTGCCATCCTGATGCTCAGTGTTCCCAATAGCTGGCAAGATGATAGTCCTCTGAGTGTCTGAGAAGCAGGACCACAAGGGAAGATCAGTGATAGTACCTTCTACTCCAGGGTTTTAAAAACTTTCTTGACTGCAGTCCATAATTAGAAAAACATATTATGGCCAGGCATGGGGTGGCTCACATCTGTCATCCCAGCATTTTAGGAGGCGAAGTGGAAGGATCACTACAGGCCAGGAGTCCGAGACCAGCCTGGGCACAGCAAGGCCCTGTTTCTACAGACAAACAAACAAAAATTTAGCCAGGCATGGTGGCACATGCCTATAGTCTCAGCTACTCAGGAGGCTGAAACGGGAGGATAGCTTGGGCCCAGGAGGTCAAGGCTATAGTGAGCTGTGATGGTACCACTGTACTCCCCGCTGGGCAAGAGTGAGACCCTGTCTCAAAAAAAAAAAAAAAATTACAATATCTTACATAATGACCCACTACACACATTGATGTATGCGAATGTGTGTGTTTACATGTATAAAAGAGAAACAAAAGATTCACAAAAGTTATTGCATGATGAGAAATGCACTCTGATATGTTCTATCTCATTCTCTTTCATTTTTAAAAAATGACTGATTATAACTCTAAATTGATATCACAACCCAATACTGGCTTTCAACGCAAAGCACTATTCTGGTATAATTTGAATGAGGATTTATGGCAACTGCTGCCTCTGCCTGTTTACTTCTAACCCCTGAGTGACAATAATGATGATGATAATAATAAGCATAAGTACTCCATAATGTTAGCCATTATTAATATGACTCACTAATAACTCATATTAATAACTCATAATATTAATAATGGTTTGAACAATATAGCTAATAGACTCTTAGTAGCTAATATTTAATTATTGCTTGCTTTTACTATGATTATATATAACATCTTTAATCCTCACCCCAACCCTGTGATATAGGTATTATGATTCTCTGCAAACTGCAGATGAGAAATTGTGAGGTTAAGTATGCTGCCCAAGGTTACATGGCCCTGGCATGGTGGAGAAAAAATTGTGATCCTGAGGTTGAACTCAGCAAATGGGTATAACTGCTGTATGGGCTGTGCCAGGGGAATTTTTGAGGCCCAGGTCATGCTATTGTCCTGCTTATGCCCTCTAGCAGCCCTGCTGAGCCTTTGGGGTCAATTCTGGCTTCCTGGTCAAAATGAAGGCTCTTGTCAGTCTGGCTCACCTCGCTTCCATCTTGCTGAGCCACTCACACTTTCCTGGATGTGAATTCTGTGGCCTCTCTGACTTTGTGCATGATGTTTCATCACTGCACATGCAGCCCACTAGATGATCTTTTTTTCATGTCTGCCTCTCCCCTTGACTACGGTTCCTTGAGGGTAGGTAGGCTTGGTATCCGGTGCTCACAAAATGCCTGTTAAGTGCATGCATGAATGAAACTACTTGGCAGCTACTTCATGTCTTCTTATTAAGCCTCAATAACATAAAATATTAGTAGTTCACTACCAATTAAGTAAAGTATTACGTAAATCTAAGGCTGAATTAGAGGCGTTGCTCACATGTATTCTTTTTTTAAATTTCAAAGGTAGCCCAGGCTTGCGGTATGCATCCCCCACTGACCGGCTGAATGACCTTGGGCAAGTTATTTAACCTCTCTGTGCTTCAGCTTTCTCATCTGTAAAACCTCTTAGGGTTGTTTTGAGGATTAAATGAGTTAAGATGTGCCCCTAGCATATACAGCCCCTGATACACAATGAGTGCTCATAGATGTTAGCTATTATTATCATCAGAAAAAACAAACACATTTTCTGTTTAAAAGGCATAATGTAGAAAGCTACGGGTAAGTGTCAGTTATAACTGGGGAAGGGGCATCCCCTCAGAAGCATATGTAAATAAGGCTGAGAAACGTTTTAGGCTGTTAAATTGGTGGGTGACTATTTCCTCTTATCAGTGTGTGCCTGTTGACTGAAGACATTGGCATCAAGGCAAAGGCTCAGTAATCACAAATTATTAAGAACATACACACCTAACGCACAGCTTCCCTGTCACAAAGCTGAGGCAGGGAGAACATTCGCCTGGTTCTCATTTCCTTAAAATTTTTTTTTCACATTTTAGGCTTAATATAGTAATTCAGCAAATATTTACTGTTTTTGAACAGATGGGAGGTCAGTTATGGTTCACACTCAAATTGGCATTTAACAGAGCGAGAAAGAAGAGGTTGGGGTGAAAGAGGAGTGACAGTGGAGAAATGCTCCCTCTGGAGCAAGGGACTTCAGTACAGTGACCTGGAGCCCCCCGGCAGAAGGACAGAAGGAATGCTGGGGAAGGGGCCCACCTCAGACCCTGCAACCCCCAGCCACAGGTTCAGGGACAGAAGCACATGGCACATATCCATGCCTAAACGTGTTCGCTCCCTCCTTACCCACCAACCTCTGGGTTCCCCATAAAACCCATGAGCGTGACATCCAAGGCTTCTGGAGATCTGAACTTTCCTTGTCTCTCTCTGCTTCCTCTGGCTGCCACAGAGCAACCTGTCTCTCGCAGACTCATATGCTCCATTTCAGTCATGCAGAACTGCCTGCCATTTGCCAGACATCCCATACTCTTTAACATTGCTGAGCCTCTACAAGTGGTGTTGGGTGGACTCACCTAAGGGCGGCACCAGGAGGAGATGGGGGCAGGGTCACATTAGGTGAGAGGCCAGAGTGTGTCTTCCCTGCCCCCACTAGCTCTCTAGTCCTCTGTCCATGCCTTCTCTGACAGGTAGCCCCTCCTCCAGGCCTCCGCTTCATACTGGGCTCTGCTAACATCTTCCCCTACCCTCATCTGTGCAGGACCAGGGATGTGCCAGTTTCTTGCTGTTGCTACAGCCCAGGCGTCTCACCATCAGGGCTGGCTCTCAGACCCTGCTGCACCTCCGTCTCTTCATTAAAGTCTGCTCCTCTAAGCCATCTAGAGTGAACTGTTTCCTGTTAGGATCCTGACCAATGATACAGCTTCACCCCTTACTTTCTGTTGGCTTTCAGCAATCATCATCGTCATTGAACTAATAATAACACCAGCCACCACTTACTCAGGGTTTGCCATAGGCCAGGCACCGGTCAAGTGCTTGAGATGATTTCATTTAGTTCTCATCATTTCTACCTCTGTGAATCGGTCCCATTTTATTGATGAAGAGCCTGCGGCTTAGAGAAGTAAAATAACTGGCTTGCAGTCACACAGGAAGAGACTCAAGAGCTGGAAGTGTCCAACTGCAAACCTTCTTTCCAGAACCCTCTATCCTGACAGTGATAGAATGAGCTCCAGGCTAGGAGTAAGGCCTGTCCTGGCCACCTCCTAGCTGTGTGGCCCTGGGCACAGGACATTTAACTTACTCCAAGAGGCTGAGTTTGTTAGATGTTTTGTAAACTGTAATGTACTAAATTGGTATAAGGGATTGGAAAATCATTACTGTCAATGCCATCATCATTATTGTGTTGTTATTTCTAAACAACAAATTATGTAACTACTTTAAACCTAGACCAAATTAGGCAGGTGAGAATGTTTTGGGAAGCTCAAGTAGCAAATATATAACTAAGGACCAAACTAGTAGCTCAGTCATTGTAGGCCTCAGGCTAAACAAAGAGGCTCCAATCAAGACGAAGAGCATGTGGCCCCCAGGTGAGCACATTGCCACTGACGCCATCTGTGAGATGTGTAAGACCCTGGCAGGGACTCGGCCTGTCAGTCTGCTCCAGACATGGCGCAGTGTTCTGAAACTCTTCTCCAAGCAAAACCTGAGTACCACAAAGGTGCCTTAGAGAAGAATTCATTTTCACAAACTGTTGCAGACCAGTCTAGTGCTGGGCACTGGAGGTTCCAGAGAGGAGCGGGTCACAAGCCCTCCAGTGACAGCTCACCATCTCTCTGGGGTGTCAGCCCTAGGGACCATCACCATCAGTGACAAATGCTTTGATAAAGTATAAACTGCAGTTTTATAAGCTTGTTCTTATGCTAACGTGGGTCTTGGTTTTGGTGTGTCTGTGGAGAAGGAGAGTAGGCCCAGAGGAGAGGAGGGAAGAAGACATATGTGTTGAGCACAGTGCTTTTCACATACCCCCATGAAAGCCATAATTATTTCTCGTTTTTGAGGCCAGGCTAAAAGATCCAGTTATCTGATCAAGTTCACACAGCCAGTAAAGGACAGGGCTGAGACCTGAACCCAGACCTTCTGAATTTAAAATCCATGTTTGGGTGGTTGTATGAGTTTGTTTTCACGCTACTGATAAAGACATACCTGAGACTGGGTACTTTATACAGGAAAAGGGATTTAATGGACTTACAGTTCCACGTGGCTGGGGAGGCCTCACAGTCATGGCAGAAGGTGAAAGGCACATCTCACATGGTGGCAGACAACAGAAGAGAGAGCTTGTGCAGGGAAACTCCCCCTTATAGAACCATCAGATCTTGTGAGACTTATTCATTACCACGAGAACAGCATGGGAAAAACCGGCCCCCATGATTCAATTACCTCCCACAACACGTGGGAATTCAAGATGAGATATGGGTGGGGACACAGCCAAACCATATCAGTATTTTTTTTGTTTTTGTCTTTTTCCTTTATGTGAAGCTGGGCTTGGATGGATCTGGAAGGTTTCAATAGGGACGTGAATGTGGGGAGGCCTGGGAGCCCCCTGGTGGTGATGGTGATCAGGGGATCACTGAAGACAGGAAAAGAAAGGGCTAGTAATGGTAAGATAACTACTGTTAATTGAACACCTCCTCATGTGCTTGGTACTGTGTAAATTATTTCAAATCCCTATAATAACTTGGTAAGTTAGGTATTATTCTTTTATTCTTTATTTTCTCTTATTTACTCTTATTTTATCAATGAGATAACAAGCCCAGAGATTAACTGGCTTGCTCTAGATCACGTGGCTTCCAAGTGTCAGGGTCTAGATTTGAAACTGAAGAAAATGTTTGAACCTCAAGAAAAGGATCAAAAACCTAGTTCCATAGGCTCATTCATTTGGTAATCATTGCTAAGTCCCTTTTCTGTCCTAAGTGCTGCAAAAGATCCAAGGAGGCGTCATAGGAGACTCCCTTCTTCTCTCCTCCCCGAACTCCCAGTTCCTACCCTCCTGTGCCAAGCCTTGTTGGAGGCATCAGAGGACAAGACAGATGTGCTTCTGACTCCTAGATGCTTCTATACACTGGGCAAGTCAGACAGAGGGAGAGGCAGGGAAGGACACCACAGGGGCCTGCCCCACACCCAGGCCAAGGTGGGTCAAAGGTGGAGAGACCATCAGGGACCACTCCCCAGAAACAGTGACATCTAAATGAAAACCAAAGAATGTCAAGTAAAAGACGGTTTTGAGGTAAGGAGAGAAAAAAGTTTAGATCTGTGGCTTTCAAATTTCTCTTGCCTACAGTAAAAATACGCTTATATTGCAATCCAGGATACACACATCTACAATTTTTTTAACTAAAACAAAAATTTCATGAAAAGATGCTGAACCTTACTGCAAGGGTGAAATCTGATATTTTATTCTCTACTTAACTAGAATTATGAATGAGATGCCAATCTACAGTCTGAAAAACACTGTCCTAGATCACAGCATGGAAAAATGAACCTGGCACAGACAAAGGCCCAGTTATATTCCGAGAGTTCAGACTCTGGGGAGGGAAAGAGGTTGGAGAGAAAGCTTGAGAAGTGAGGAGGGAGCAGCCTGGTAGAAGAAATAAAGTAACATCCCTACATGGTAAATGTAAGTGGACAGTAAAATGCAAAATGCATGTGGCAGAGAGAGCCTGCCCTCGGAGGACCTGGTAGGGAGCGTGCCCTGCAGCTAGTTTTCAGAGGCCCTGCTGCCTTGGGAGGCTGGAGCTGGTCTGGAAGAATGGCAAGAGTGTGGGGCCCGGGAGAAGGGGAGATATGGGAAATAAAGCTTTTGGTGTTTGAGGAGAAATTCAAGAAACAAACCTGGCCCCTTCACATGGGTTCCAGCAATATTTATGAAGGGGCAGGAGCCTGGAGCATTCGCAGAGAGACTTCCACAGACAGTACAGTGCTCGAAAAAACCTCTGCCCCTGCCAAAACCCGCAGGGAAATGGGGGCTGTTATCACCCCGGGTTACCTCGCAGCCTCAGATACAGCCAGAAACGAGCCAGGAAATTGACTGAATTCCTACTGGACTAAAGTTTTATAAGTTTTCCTTAACATAAGCACAGGGTGATATTTTTAGTTCTTTGTGTGTCAAAAAGGGCCCATAAATATTTCAGAGCTAAAATGTGTTCCACAAAATATAAGTCCTGGGTAGCATCTGTGTGTGTGTGTGTATGTGTAAAATCGTGAATTTTACTTTTCTTATTCCTTCAAAGTGTGGTCTTTGAGTCCTTTATTTTAAAGTGGGGGTGGGGAGGATGGCTTGTGGTGGTACCTGTTCTTGTACCAAGTATTGTGTTGGGCTTTGTGCAAACCAGAGAAGGAGGCACTCCTATCCCCACTTTACTGATTTAGAAACTGAGAGTAGCAAAGTGATGCTCAAGTTCACACAACACACCAGGACTGGAATCCGGGAGCTCTGCTTCTGAGGTCTGTACTCTCTGTTGTAGCACCCAGAGCATATTTCTCTGGCACTGTCACTTTGGGGAATCCCTGGCCTTTTTCAACAGTGAGACAGTGATTATAATAATGGTGGCTAAAAGCAAGGTCTTTATATGCATTACCTCACTGAGTTCTCACCACTCCCAAAACCATCCCCATTTTATCGACAAAGAAACCAGGATTTAGGGAGGTTAAGTATCCTGCCTGGAAGGCCACAACAAAAAAGTGACAGAGCTAGGATTCAAACCTGTGTCTGTCTGACCCCAAGGTTCAAGCTTTTAATCATAACCTACACTGCTTCCTGCATACGTCATTCTATATTCTAATTGGCTTAAATGTTCTATTTGTTCTTTCACCTTTTTTAAAAAACATTATTAATTCTTCTGTTGAACTGAGTCAGCACCTGGCCTGGACTCCTGGGAGAAGCGCTTTTACAGCTGCTGCTTGATACGTGCCCTGTACAGAAAGAGAACTGTCGGGACAGAGACAGGGCTTTCCTGGGAGCGTGGTGGAGTGTGGCTGTGTGCCCAGCCTGGCTACAGGGACATCCCTAATCAGCGGCTGGCAGGCAGGTGACAGATGGTGCCGCTGTCTACAGAAGCCATCTTGCCCTTCTGTTAGAGAGCTTGTCAGAGGCCAGGTATCAAAGGGCAGACAGCTGCTGTATGGGCACTGCTTCTCTGATCCTGAGCTGCGGAGCTGGGAGGGCTCCCCCCAGAGCTGCCTGACCCCCTAGAGGGCTGGGCATGTGCAGGGCCTAGGACACAACAGGCCTTCCATCAACAGATGGTATTATGGTAGCTGTGTCTTCCAGATTCCTTTGGTCTACATCCTTCCTGCCCCCAAAGTCACGTAGGAGCCAATGATTCCCTTTGACAAATGGTGGCATCTTAGAGTCAGAAAATGTGTTAGGCTGGGCACGGTGGCTCACGCCTGTAATCCCAGCACTTTGGGAGGCCAAGGAGGGCAGATCACTTGAGGCCGGGAGTTTGTGACCAGCCTGGCCAATGTGGTGAAACCCATCTCTACGAAATATACAAGAATTAGCTGGGTGTGGTGGTCCACACCTGTAGTCCCAGTTACTCAGGAGGCTGAGGCATGAGAATTGCTTGAATCTGAGAGTTGGAGGAGGTTGCAGTGAGCTGACATCGAGCCGCTGCACTCCAGTCTGAGCAACACAGTGACACTTTGTTTCAAAAAAAAAAAAAAAAAAGAAGAAAGAAAATGTGTTCGGATTGAAAACAACATCAAAGGTCAGCTGATTCAAGCCCCATCAGGTGCCCAAACCCTCCTCAGTCCCATCCCTACTGAGTGGTCACACCAGCTCCAGAGCTGGGGACTTTACTACCTCAGGGGGCTGAAACCTGCCTCCTTTTAGCTTCCTTCCACAGGCCTCAGCTCTACTCCTTGGGGTCTCAGGAAATAAGCCTAATGCCTTTGCCTCAGCAATAGCTCTTCCAGACTGAAGACCGGGCTGGTCTGGGTGTCTGCATCCTCTCTTCAGATTTAACATATCTCCCACAGTTTTCAAGCCCTCACCTTTCTGGTGACCTTTTCCTTGGGTTTGTCCAACCTCGTTCCCTCTTTCCCATCCAACAAGGCTTTATGAGATCCTAGGGTAGACCCGGGGACAAGGGGTTGGAGCGGATGCAGTCTTGATCCTCGAAGAGCCCACAGGAATGTCAGAAGGACAAACACGTCTACAGGTGATTCCAGCACAAAGGATGCAAAAGAGCAACTGACACAGACACCCGGGGTAGGGGGGCACTGCATCAGGTGGGGTGGGCAGCAGAGGCTGCCTGAAGGAGGAATCCCTGGGCCGGGTCTGAAAAGCCGAGCAGGGGTTAACAGGGCAGGGAGAGGAAGATGATCCCGTTTGCTGGCCTGCCTCTCCCATTGTGTTGACTGGAATCCACTGGAAGCCTCTTGGTGCAGCCTGAATGTCCCCCCTGCACCCCTTTCTCCTGTATCTGACACATGTTGCCTTGGGGCACTCAGTCCCATGTGGCTTTCTTGGAAGCCAGACCCACTGGGGCCCCAAGTACAGCTGGCTGTTAGGACTCTGAGTTTCCTTGTAAGCAGCACTTTGGGAAATTGCCAGTCTCTTCTGTACTTCAGGCCCCAGGGAAAAATACTTCCTTCCTTCTCCCTAGAAAAACCCTTTTCCTAGAAAACCCCTTCAAGGGTCAGGCCTGAAACCCAGTTTATTGGATTGCCAATTCTCTGTAAAAACATTTTTTTCCTGACTTTCTCTGGGCTTATTCTGGGACCACACTAGGAAGCAGAGGGAAGAGGGAGAGAGGCTGATTAATCACACGTCCCCTACTGCGTCCAATCTTAACCTGTAATTACCTGGGTGCCCTATTAGGCCTCCACTCTGTGAGGTGAGAGAGGAGAGAGACAGAAGGGAAACCAACATCCCAGAAAGGCAGGCATCAGTTGAAGGATTCTGGAAATGGTGAAACTTAGTTTTAACACAAAGGCCTCCTCAGCCTGAAGGAAGTTCTTGGTTGAACACAACAGCTGGAGGAAGGGGTTAGTCCCTCTTTTCCTCTGTCTTCTCAGCCAGACGCTGGGCCTGAGTTCATACAGCTTTGGGTCTGTGGCTAAGGGAGGATTTAGAGACATCCTTTCTGCTCTTTAGGCCCAGAGAAGATGCTCTGTTGAGCAGGGAAGGAATATCACAATGGCTTCTCCGGGTGCCATCAAGATACCTTGTGTGCACAATAGCTTCTTGTCTTATAAAACTCCAGGTCCAGACACATGTAGTCTATGCCCTGGGCATACCTGACACTGATGCTAAGCTGAAAGGATAGAAATCTAGAGGTCACCATCAGCCTCTGATCACAGCTGGGAGGACAGCAGGGATTACCCAGGCTGTCCTTCCTGTCAGAGGTGGTGTGTGTGTGTGTGTGTGTGTGTGTGCATGCACACATGCTTAATGGCTGCTGGCCCACTGCTGTGATTGTTCAGAAACCAAAGGCTCTATTGTAACTCTGTTCACCAGGCCTTTTGCTATTGAGCCCTGGGGATGGAACTGGATCAAGCTCAGAACTGCTGCCCAATGGATGTGGGCTCGGAGTGCTCGTGGCTGACACAGGTTTCAATTTTGCTGGTGGGGCAGGGGCAGGGCGGGCCTAGAGGAAGAAAATTTCTGTTTTTATCCCCCCAGCCCTTATATTTCCTCCTCAGTTACTATGACTCAGGCCGTCCCTCAACTCGTGATGACTGAAGCCCACACAATAGCGGTTTGAAAGTGACCTCGGAACAGTCCTTCCCTCCCTCAGCTGGTGCTCACATGGGCTCTTAGAGCAGGTGGGTTGTCCTTGGGAAAGTCCCTGCATTGCTCTGTGCCTCAATTTCATCATCTGTTAGGAAAATGCCCACACACCTGGATCATTAACTTCATTGGTACTTATAACATCTCGATTCTTCCCCAATGCTAAGAACAGCTTAGAGGTGCATCCAGGGTTTGCTGGGTTGAACCAAAGTGAATAAAAATATACAACTCTCCATATGCCACCTCCATGGTCCTTCTAGGTGCAAAGCTCTCTGACTTTCTCTTTGCCTAATGAAAGCCCCAAAGCTGGAAACCTTTGCGAGCCAACCCTCTCCCTTGGCATCCTCTAAGTGGCTCTTTTTCGGTAGCACAAATCCACTCCCTCGGCCCCACACAAGCTCCCCAGGTTTGTGAAGGGGGCAACTGATTGTGCCCTCCTGATGCTGCTTGAAATTTTGTTTTTAGAGAGGCGGGAGCTAAGGCTTGGGGGGTTGTGACTGGCAGTCAGCCGCATCCCAGCAAGTGAAAAGCCAGAAGCTGTCAGCTCCATCCTGCTTCCTTCCACGGCCTCAGTTTTCTCTTCTGCAAAATGGGTTGGTGTGGGGTGTCACATTTAATCTATGCCTGAGAACTGCCCTGATACCCCAGAAAAATGCACATATGTGTGCACCCATGTGTGCACACACACACACAGGAATTTAAAATGCTCCATCTAGGGCTCCAAGTTCTGTGAGATGCAGTGATTGCAAAGGCCCTTGGGGAGGTGTGACTATGGGTCCTCACAGCAGGAAAGGTGGATTAGTAAAGGCATCTTGGAAAGGAAGCTATGTAGAAAGCAAGGGAGAGATGTAGCTTTGGCAGAATTTCACTGACATCTCTGGGTATCCAAGCCTCAAAGGGGTGGAGGAAAAGGCCCATAATGATAGGAAAACCCTAACTGCCTGAAGCTGCCTCCATCTCTAATAATTAAAGGCAGACTTAATAGATATTAAGGCCCTCTTTCCAGCAGCTGGGTGGCCAGGCAACTTTTATTTCAATAATTAGCCGCTGTAAGTCACACAGAACTGGAGACAGATAAAGGCAGGGCCAGTCTCTCATGGAGCTAATTGTGCCCAGAGTTCTACACGCCTAATCAAGCCTTGTGCTGCTCCCATTCCTTTCATCCAAGGCCTCAAAGGACTTTGCCGTTGGTAATTAAGTCTTATAAGTGCCGTAAAGAAAGGGATTCTCCAGGGCAGTCTGAATGGAGAAGAGGCTGCTGGGGTGGAGGTGGGGCAGGCAGTGTGCAGCTGCCTCCAAGATGGGGACAGGGATCCAGGAATAGGCCCCAGCCTCACAGCCTGTGCCATCGCAAGCCTTCGGCCTCCGTGCATTCTGTCCCTAGACAAGATAATGGCAGACTGGGTGGCTTCAGCTGGCCACCTCCTCTTGAGACTGGTTCGGTTTTGTCATCCAAAGCCTTTATACGTTTCTCAACCCGGGGGATATATTTGTTAAAAACTCCCATTCAGGCAGGGCTAATTCAAAAACCACACTCCCAAATTCTTAGTTAAAAGGGAACATGAGGGATACAGTTGCCCAAGCCCCATCTGATGCTTGAATTCCTTCTGTGAGTCCACGTGGATAGCAGCCAGCCCTTGTTTGAGCTCCCGTGACAGGGAGCTTACTCCTAACACATTTCATTCTCTAAACTTGGCCTTGGACAATTCATTCTGATAGTGAGCTGAAACTTACCTCCTGTGAGAGCCTTCCTGGCGGCCCTAACTCCATATGCCTTAGAACCTCACAAGCAAGCCAAAGACCTCCTCCCAAACCAAGACCTCTCTTCTCCAGGCTCTGGGAAGCAGTGGAGCACCATGGTTAAAAACACAGGCTTTACATCAAAGGCATGATCAAAAAAGGAAAATTTGATAAATGGAACCTAACCAAAATTGAAAACTTGTGCTCTGAAAATACCCTTAAAAGGAGGAAAAGGCAAGCTACAGGTAGGAGAAAATTTTTGCAAACCACATACTAACAAAGGAAGGCCTAGTATCTAGAATATATATATATGTGTGTGTGTGTGTATACACATATATATATGAAACTTTCAAAATGCAACAGTGAGAAACAAACAATCCAATTAGAAAATGGCCAGAAGACGTGATCCAATATTTCACCAAAAAGGATATATACACATGGCAAATAAGCACATGAAAAGATATTCACCATCGTTAGCCATCAGAGAAATTCAAATTAAACCACAGTGAGCTATCACCATACACCTATCAGAATGACTGAAATAAAAAATAGTGACAACATTAAATGCTGGCAAGGATGCAGAGAAACTGGATTACCCATACATTGCTGGTAGGAATATAAAAGTGTACAGCCCCTCTGGAAAGCAGGTTGGCAGTTTCTTAGAACACTAAATATGCAATTACTGTACAACCTAGCGCTTGTATTCTTGGGCATTTATCCCTCAGAAATAAAAGCTTATGTTCATGCAAAAAGCCGTACAATGATGTTCATAAAAGCTTTATTCATAATAGCCGAGAAATGGAAACAACCCAGATATCCTTCAACAGGTAAGCAGTTAAATCAATGACAGAATGCCATGGAATATGACTCCGTGATAAAAAACAATGAACTAATGCTACCAATAAATCACCAGGGAATTATGCTGAGTCAACACATAGCCAATCGCCAAAGCTTTCATCCTACATTATTCCATTTATATAACATGTTTAAAAGAAAAATGATAAAACTTTAGCAATGGAGAACAGATTGGTGGTAGTTAGGGGGTTAGGGATGGGGTAGGGGTGGGAGGGAGGTGGGTGTGGCTATAAAAGAGGACTGCGAAGGAAACTTATGGTGATGGAAATGTTCGTTGTCTTGACTGCATATACTCACCTACACATGTGATAAAATAGTATAGAAGTAAACACGCACATGCATGCACACACACTCATTCAGATAAATGCAAGTAAAATGGGGAATCTGAATAAGATGAGTGGATTGTATCAACGTCAACATCCTGCTTGTGTTATCTGTTCTTTTGCTATAGTTTTGTAAAATGTTACTATTAGGAGAGACTGAGTAAAGGGTACACAGGCTATCTCTTGTTATTTCTTATAATTGCATGTGAACTATAATGTTCCCAAAAATTTCAATGTAGAGAAAAGGGTTTTTTTTGGCCGGGTGTAGTGGCTCATGCCTGTAATCCCAGCACTTTGGGAGGCCAAGGCGGGTGGATCACGAGGTCAGGAGATCGAGACCATCCTGGCTAACATGGTGAAACCCCCTCTTTACTAAAAATACAAAAAAAAAAATTAGCGGGGTGTGGTGGCGGGCACCTGTAGTTCCAGCTACTCAGGAGGCTGAGGCAGGAGAATGGCGTGAACCCGGGAGGCGGAGCTTGCAGTAAGCTGAGATCGCGCCACTGCACTCCAGCCTGGGCGAAAGAGCGAGACTCTGTCTCAAAAAAAAAAAAGGGGGGTTTTTTTTTTGGGTCAGGCTTTTTTGAGTCAGGCAGACCTTGATTTGAACCCTGAATCTCTTACATACTTCTCGTACAACTTTGGATGATAAACTCTCTAAGCCTCAATTTCCTTATCTGTAAAATGGGGATAGTATATACCACCTTACAGGGTTGTCTTGAGGCTCAAATGAGGTGATGCATAGAAAGGCTCAATCCTATGCTTGGCACTTAATAAAGACTCAGTCAATAGGTGTAAATGTTGCCTTGTTATCCAGGAGAAGTATTTATTTGCCTTCCCCTGATTCAGTCCTCACTCACGTTGTCTCCATCCTGGCCATTCTTCTCTGAAAAAGTTTCTTTTGGCTAATGTAAAACACCAAGGTTGAAAATTGAAGTCAGATGCAGTCTTATTACCTGAAACTGCTCTGCATATACCCATAACCCCACACTTTACATGCTGTTTTGGCCAATTGCTTGCCACTTATTTCCTGTGTAATGTCACTTTTCCTTAATAAGGTAGCAAGCTGCTCAGATTCATATTGACCGACCAATTCTTAAACATCTACTATGTACAGTCACCAATATTCATACAAACACCACAAGCACAGCATCCTGTATTTATTACTAAGTCACCAGAACGACTCTGGAAGTGAGGCATGATGGTAGACTGCCATACTAATGGCTCCCAAGGAATCATACCTCCCTGTTTCCAAACTCTTGTGTAGTCCCCCACACTAACTCTGGGGTTGGCCACATGACTTGCATTGGCCAGTGGGCCAAGCGGATATTAGCAAACTTGAATCAGAGGCATGAAAAACACTTGAGCCTTTGGGATTGCCTTCTCCCCCTGCTTTTGGAAAACAGCTGTCATATAAAGAGGCCCAGGCTAGCCTACTTGTTGCTGGAGCCACAGGGCTGAGCCAACCAACACCCGGTAGATTATAGCCACACAGGTGAACCCAGGGGAGACTAGCTGAACCACCTAGCTTTGCCCAGCCCAAATAACTGACTCTTGGAAACAGGAACCAACATGCAGTCATTTTAAGCCACTGCATTTTAGGGTGATATGTTATATAGCAAAGGCTGGCTGACATAGGTATTTTTATAATTCCCATATTACTGGGGAGGAAACTGAGGATCAGATCATTAAGGTATTTTAAAAATAAGAGGAACTGGGTCAGGTCTGGTGGCTCATGCCTGTAATCCCAGCACTTTGGGAGGCTGAGGCGGGCAGATCACTTGAGGTCAGGAGTTTAAGACCAGCCTGGCCAACATGGTGAAACCTCATCTCTACTAAAAATAGAAAAATTAGCTGGGTGTGGTGGCTTATGCCTGTAGTCCCAGCTGCTTGGGAAGCTGAGGCAGTGGGATCGCTTGAACCTGAAAGGCGGAGGTTGCAGTGAGCCAGGATCATTCCATTGCACTCCAGCCTGGGTGACAGAGCAAGACTCTGTCTCGCAAAAAAAAAAAAAAAAAAGGAAATATTACGAGGGTAATAAGGATAATGCTGCCTAGTGTTTAAATAGTACTTTAGAACTTATACATTTCTAACACATTTTAATGTGATTTAATCTACCATTCTGTACCTTTTTTTGATAACTTACCAAAATTATATTTAAGTAGTTGCTTAATTATATGCTCTAAGCTCTACAGAGTTGGGAACTGTGTCTCTCTTGTTCGGCATAAAACCCAAGCTTCTGTCCTTGCAAATGTAGGCACTTAATAAATAATGGCTAATTGAACAAATGAACAAATGTTTCTGAGTAGCTATGATCCTGTATTAAATAAAGAACTGAAGCTTAGAGAGGCAAAGTGCCTTGTTTCCAAGTCACACAGCTAGCAAAAAGCAGGAACCAGGACTCAGATAAAGCCCAATTCTTTTGACTCTGAGTGCAGAGGTATGTCCTTAAATTTTCCATGCATTCCGAGGGTGAGACAGACAAGGAAATGATTAACTACCCCCCAGTTAGAAGGGAATGTCGTTGGATGAATTCCATATGTTTGAGGAATGCCAGTCCCCATGCTGAGAGGATTCTGATCAAACCAAGCTCCCCGCTGGAGCAGAAACATGCTGCATGGGAATCCTATTGCTTGGGATCAGAGATCGCTGTTAGCACAAGTCCTGCATGAACTTGTACCATCCAGCCTCAAATCCCTACAAGGCTTCCAAATCAAACAAAAAACCATCTAACAAACACAGAAGCGCTGAAAAGATCTGTCCTCGGCCCTGGGCCCAGTCGCATGTTCCTTAGTGAGGGATCGAGGGATGTTAGCTCTGAGCTCTGCATTCTCCTGTTTCAGATGCCCCCTTCCCTTTACAAGGTCCTTCCTGCAGCTCACTGTACAGAGGTGACATTCTCAGAATGTCCTTAATCACTCTGCACTGGGGGTGAAGGAGGGGCCCCTGACTCTAGCTGAGGAGGCCCTGTTTGCCTTCCTAGCAGTCACCAGGGTATACAGGACAAATGCTGTGCTCCTCTACAGCCTCCAGGCTGCACACGCACTACAGTGGGCTCTTGTGGGCTGAGCAGAGCCTCCCTCAGCAACTGTGGCTGCCTCTCTACCTTCCAGGAGGGCCCCAGGCTGTTCTTTCCGTGGGGAAGCTCTGGCCCTTGGCCCCGCAGCTGGCTAATGTTACACCTGGGTCACTGGAGTCTGGCTTCCCAGGGCCCGATCCTCACTTTGTTCTCTTGATTGTAGTTCTAAATTTGTTTTCATTAAGACACTCTGCCTGTCACTCCATCGGTTCTGCTTTTATGGGTCTTTAATCTCAGTTGTGAAATGTACCAGTCTTGGAGGCTCCTCCAGCTGGAGTGGGGCTGCTTGCTCTCTCCAGGGCTGAAACCCAGAGGGTGATGGTATCTAGGGCCCAGCCTGGCCTCTGCTGGCCGGCAATGGTCCAGATTGTCTAGTATGGTGTTTCTAATGGAAAGCTCCTTCACATCTCATGTCACTGAGACCCTGTATTGCGGGGAGACAGGGAGGGTGAAGGTCATCACCATCTGAACCTCACAGAGGAAGACATTCCTGTTAGAAAGAAAGGGGTGCATAGCAGCCCAGACATTGGCTCTGCAGTCAGGAAGCCAAGGTTCGACTCCCAGCTCTGTGCGCCCCAGCTGTGTGCCAGGCACAATTCACTTAACCTCTTTATTCCTCTATATCATCTTTGAAGTGGAGATAATTGACCTACCCAATAGGGTTGTTGGGGGGACTGAGTGAGTTAGAAGGAGCTTAGAACAGGCTTCGCACTTGGCTGTTTATTATGACTACTATTGCTAAGTATTATCAAGTATTTAATACTTCACTCCGGCCCAGATGCAGTTCTGGATTTCTCCGGCCCATTCACACTATTGCATTAAGACGAATGTTCCTGTTCAGCATTATTTGTTTATTCAGTCATCACTGAACAAATATGTACTAGAAACCTACTATAGGCCCCATCTGTGCTGGGATTGAAGGTGACAAGGGTTTGGTTCTTGTCCTAGAAAGACAGAGCAGGCACCAGTTTTGAGCAGGTATGTTGCAGTTTGAATCTCAGCCCTGCATAGCCATCCCAGGCCTCACTTTCCTCATCTGTAAGATGGTCAGTTGTTTATATCCCTGCCATCCTGCCTCTCCTGCAGACCCACATGGTCATCTGGGGGTCTGGAGCGGGAAAATGTGATGGAGCCTTCCCAGACAAAGCCCTGGTCTTCCTCCAGCTCTGGCCAGCAGGGAGGAGAGGAGAGCAATCCTTGAAACAATTACCTTGGGTCACTGTGCAGGCCTGTGCTCTCTGGGAAACCTGAACCACCTTCAAAGGGAGGGTTTTAATTGGCTTAGACTCTGTGCCTGCTCCAAGGGAGCATCACAAAGGGGATTAGCCCCCAAGAGGGCCAGGCCCCACAACAGGCTAGATGGCTGGAAACTGGCCCTTTTTGCCTCGACCTTCCCAAGTTGTGCCTGCTTTGGCCTGCTAGCTTCCTTCTCCTCCCATTCCACGAGCGCAAGGAAAGGGTGTTCAAGTCAGAGCCTGGTGCTAAACAGGAAACAGGAAGGGCCCAGAGAATGATTTTTAGCATAATCTAAAAGAAAGAGTCTGGGCTTATAATTTGGTCTATAGCAAGTAATTGGATCTACCTCACCAGAGGGAAGTGCCCAGTCCTTACCTGGACCTGGCACTTCATGATGTACACAGCACTGCCAATCACACTGCCCCAGCTAACCCAAAGAAGCAGGTTTCATATCCTCATCCCAATGGTTCAGTGAGCGAATAGCAAGTAGTATCCTTGCTACTTAATGTTTGGCCCACAGACTAGTAGCATTCCAATGGCCGCAGGCAAGAGTGTGGGGTCTGGCTCAAGAGAGCTGACTTTGAGACCTGGCTTTGTGATGCTAGACGAATGACACTAATACACCAATAACAAGTACACACAGTGGTTCTCATTTGCTGGGCTCCCACTAGGTGTCTGGTGATATTTGTGTGCTGTTGTGTTGCCATTTTATAGAAACTGAGAATCACAGAGGGCAAGGATTTGCTCTACATCACAGCACTTCTTAAGGGAGCTGAGATTCAAAGCCCCACACAGAGAGCCTCCATTTTTTTAGCTATATCATGGAGGTGATAAAGGTCAGCTACATTTAGATGGAAATGTCACAGGGGCAGGCAGATGTGGCTTTGAAGCTGTGAAGCACTATACAAATATATGTTTTTCTTGTTGAGGAAATTAAGCCTGCACCAGGAGAAGTGACTTGTCCAAGGTCACCTAGCTGGCAAGGAGCAGAGCTCGGACTCTACTACAGTGTTCTGATGCCCAATGTCCCTTCCACAAGGCTGCAGCTGCCGTCTGCAAGAGGATTTCCCTGGTGCAGGACAAGGGCTATGAATCTGCAGGAGCAATCAGGCTGATGTTATTTAAATACTTGGCTATTTGAAAAATATAACAACAGGCAGTTGAGAATAAATGCCAAACCTCTAATTGGTTACAAACACCACCTGAGGGCACAGATATTTGTCAGCGTGACTGATGCTTCCTGCTTAAATGCAACATGCAGACACCCGTGCAGAAGAAAGGCAGGTGGCGAGCTGCCTATGGCAGCAAGTGAAGAGGGCTGCACTGTTGAGAAGGCATGGCTTGCATCTGGCAACTCATTCGTTCTGCATTGCATTCCACTGAAGGGAGAGTTGTTACACTCCTGTTACTGATGAGAAGCCAAGGCACAGAGACGCTCAGGACTTAGCCAAAGTTGTATAGTCAGTAAGTGCCTGGGCTGGGATTTGAACCCCGAACTCCATCCCCTGTGCGCCTCTGCCTCCCATACTACTTTTGGCACTTAAGAGGTAAGAGGTAACATGTTTGGGGTTTTGGGAACTCAAGCCCTGGCCTTGGGACTTGGTGGCTCACCACTCCATCTCTGCCCATCATCCTTTCCTAAGTTCCCTATTCAACCGACGTCCCTGTGTTGGGCATGAGGCTGCCAAGATGGGTCTTTTATGGTCCTATCTTGTGGGACTTCACTGTTTAGTGGGAGAAACTGAGCCAGAAACAGATAATCCCCATCCCAGATCCTGCTGAAGGGCTGCCTCCCTCACCCATTCTGGGGTTGTGGGGGAGTCAGGCTGGCTTTTTGGGGTGGCTGATACTTGTGAGAGTCTGGAGGTACAGTGGGAAATGTCAGACGCTGGCAGTCAGGAGAAAGGGGAAGGAGTAGGTTGTTAGGTTTCAGAGCTCTTACTCCCGGTCCAGCCTAGGCGCTTACTTATTTTTTATGTGATTCACATATTGGGCTTCCATTTCGAGTTTCATTTAAGCAATCAGATCTTTGTCTAAAAACAAGCTAGAAAAACCACTGCCTTAAGACCTATTCTCTATTTGGACTGGCCTGAATGAATGATTTATAAAGTATCAGCTTGTCAGCCTGGGATAACTTGATTCATTCATTCTTCCTGTTTTCTCATTTAAGAAGTCCGTCATAAATGGCTAATTTATTCCTTTTACATATATCTATTGATTATCTGTTATGAGCCAGACACCATTCTAGGTGTTGGAGATATAAAAAAAAATAAATCTCTCATCCTGCCTGCATTCCTCTACCCTGCGGAGGAAGCTTCTTTGCAGTCTTCAGCGTAATTTTTCTAAAAAGCAAATCAGACCACAATCCTGTCCCTGCTCAGAACCTTAAATGGTTCTCTACTGCCTAAAGTCTTGCTACTCAAGGGGTGACACATAGACTAGTAGCATCAGCATTACTATGCTTGTTAAAAATACAGAATCACAGGCTCTCCCCAAGACCTACTCAATCAGAATCTGCAATTAGATCCCCAGGTGACTCCTATGACACTGAGGTCTGAAAAACATGGGACTGCAGGATGCCAACACAGACCTTCACATCCTCACACCTGATGTGACCTCTCCTATTTCATCTCCACCCTCTTTTTTCAAATATACTTAGTGCCACTCTGGCCTGCACACCTGTCATCTCCTGCATCCAAACCTTTGTACGCATGCTGCCCTCCCCTAGAATAACCTTCCCCTCATGGCTGCCAGCTGTAATTCCTTCCTAACTTGGGAGTCACGCTTAAATCCTCCAGGAGCTTCCTTAGATGCCCTCCCACATGCCCCCTGACTTCATCGCCTCATCATCCCTCACTTCCCCAACCCAGTGCTCCTGGATTCTGTTGGAGAGCTCAGTGCTCTGCAATTTGTCTATTATTTAGGTGGGTGTTGGTCTCATTCAAAATATGGTGAGCCCTGGAGGCAAGGGGCAGGCCTTTTTTTCTTTACATCCCTCCATTCCAACTCCATCTCTGCTGCCAGGCACTGGGGATGCAGATGGGATTTAGAGCCTGCCTTGGGGAGCGCCCAGTCTGGTGGGGCAGACTGACTTTCAAAGTAATGAGTGTACGTACATGTTCTTGACACAGGTTTGTGGCAATGCGTGAGATGTTTACTGAGCTGAACCATTTTCAAGGCTGAGGGAGCCAAGTGAATGATCACTGACTCCCCTCCTCATGCACCTTTCCCAGTAGATCTTCCATTCTCCCCTGATGGAGACCTCCTGACTCCTAGGCCAAGTTCTCGGGAGACTGCGTCATTCGCATGGACCCAGCTTTGTCCCCCATCACATCCTGGCCATCAGTGGACCTTCTAAGTGTGGCCTCTATCTTCTCACATGGCTAGCAGAGTGTGCACAATTGGTAGGAAATGAAATGCTCACAGCCAGCCAGGCCTGGAAAGGGTTCATGCTGCTTATTTTAACTAAAGAGTAGGCGGCCAGTTCTCTTCATTCTTATCCCCTGCTCAATGAGTCAAGTTAGTACATTAATAAAGTAATGCATTAATTAATAGATCCATCAAACATTTACTGAACACCTATTTTGTGCCAGGCCACAGAGGCAGATGTTTAGAATACAAAGATAAATGGCTTCTGGTTGCTGCTCCCAGCTGAGGCTTTTCTCCTGGTTCGTAGGAGGAGGCTCTAGAATCTGGAGAGCTGGCTGCTAGCCCTGGATCCCTTGTTTCCTGAGGTAAGTTACTCTAATTCTCAGAGCCTTGTTTTCCTTATCTGCAGTATGAGGATTGTAACCACTGAGCTGTCTCACAAACTTGAGAGGCTCAAACAGAATTACATGTCAAGAGTACTTGGTAAGTTGCACAATGCTATACTAATTGTGCAATGGTTACTGAGACAGGTGGTGTTAGTGACTTAACCCAAGAATCATTCTCTACCCCATTTTCCAGGCTAACACAAGCCAAATTTTGCTGGAGAAAGCAACACACTTAGCCCTGGGGCAATGACTCATAATTTGGCTAAGGCAATCAAGACAAGTCTGTTTCCTCTTTGCCAGATACTCAACTTCCCAGCCTCCCTTGCAGCTAGTGGTAATCATGTGACCCACTTCTGGCCAGTAAGATGAAAAAAGGAAGTTCACTGGACTGGCAGAGGGAGCTTGGGAGGGCTTTTGCTGATGCCACTTGTTCTTCTTGCCATAAAGGTAAGCTCTGCTGGCCATCTTGGGATTGGAAAGTGACAGGCATGAGGACTACGAGCCACCTTTAAGGACGGTGGAGTAGAGCAACTTTCCCTTTCTACTTCCCCCATTCCTAGGGCCCCACTCAAGGCACCATCCTCTCCTGGGTGGAGGCTACAGCCTCTGATCATCTGCTGTATGATGATTCACTGTGATGGCAAAGTGGGAGGAGATGCTGATCCTGAAAACAGTATTTATGGTCCAGTGTGGGAAGTCCTTGGGGCAAAGAAAGCACTAGACACAGTGGGAACAAAGGAGGGGGAGGCCCAATCCAGAGTGGGGATGGCTTAGAGGTCAGAAATGCTGGGGGAGGAGTTGGAATGCATCCCCTTGTCTCTGTCTCATAGGTGCAAATCTCATCCATGCAACAGGACAATTCCAGGGCTTACGTCTTCTCCTCCTGGAGCCTCCATTGCTCTCAACTCAATAAACACTAAATAAGACTTGCCCAAGGCCATGTACCTTGAGCCAATGCCAAGCCAAGTCTTCACATCCCATCTTTACGGTTTAGGCTTATGCTGTCCAATATGGCAGCCACCAGCCAGGCACAGGTAGCTGAATTTAAGTTTCTAATTAAAATCAAAGTTACAAATTGAGTTCCTTAGTCATACTAGGTACATTTCAAAAGTACAATAGCCACATGTGGCTAGTGGCTACTGCATTAGAGACTGTAGACATAGCCCATCTCCATCATGGCGGAAGGTTCCACTGGACAGAGCTGGTTCAGAAGCTTGAGATAATCAGAAAATAACTCACAGATCCCTGCCTAGAGAGCACAGGACTGCACAGCAAGCATGGGTTTTGGGGCCAGACAGCCTGAGTATTTGGATGGAGTAAGGAAAAAGGAGGGGAGAGAACACTTCCTGAGTGCCTGTGATGGGCCAATCACTGTGCAGTATGCTTTATATGTGCTGGCCCATTTATCCCTCACAGCAGCTCTGTGCAAGTGCCATTTTTAAATTCCATGTGACTGATGAAGACACGGAGCTCAGGGGTGTGAAAAGAGTTGTCCAAGACCCCATGCCTAGGAAACAGTAGGGCTGGGATATGGATCGAGATCTGACTCCGAGCCCATATTCGTCTACCATGCCTCTTTTCCAGGATGTCAGGTTTGGAGGTGTTTCCTCCCCTCACTCCCTTGTGAAAGAAAGGGGTGAATCAGTGAGAAGTGTCAAATTCCAGTAGGCATTGGGGGGTGGGGGATATTGTCCACACAGGCCCAGAGAGAGGTAGTCCTCCCTTCAGCTCTGACTGTCTCCCCAGCCTAGGAGGCTAGGTCACAGGGCAAAATCATTCTTTCCTGGGCCTCCTCTCCCAGGCTGGGCTGTTGCTATTAGAGGCCTCCGTAAATCAGGCCCCAGTCACCCCTGGAGACTCCAGACCAGTGGGGGAGGAGCTCCTACTGCAAGAAGATCAAGGTGCTAGGGCTCTCCCAGGGAGTTTGCGGAAGATTCAAAGGCTGGGGCCTGATTTACGAGGCTGCCTGTGGCTCCAGGCTGTCCCAGATCAATGCCTGCATCATCCTTAAACTCTGCATTAGTCTAGAGATGTGTCAAAGGATCTGAGGCCAGACCCAGGACAGGGGCAGATCTGTCCCTTCTCCCCTGCAAGGAGGCTTGGAGTCAGCCATGCCTGGCAGGAGATGTGTCCATGTCCAAGATCTTGCATCAGCCTGGGCATTTTTGGCTCTGCCTGATAGGGGTGGGGAGAGGGGGGTGAAGGGGCAGGAGCAGGCCCCTCTTGGAAATGGGGTCCAGGCTGCAGTCAGGAAGCTCTGCCCACAGAAATAGCCCTAGAGCCAGCCTTCACTCCTCATGGCAACCCTTTCAGGGAGGGAGGACTCTCCCTTTTTCATATGAGGAAATGGAAGCTCTGAGAGGGCAGGTGCCTCGCCCAGGTGGTAAGCAGCAGGGCAGGATTTGAACCCAGTTCTGACACTGAAATCTCTGCTTCTTGCCCTCTGCCTCCTTGCACAGTACCCCACACTTAGCGAGTCTTTCTCTACCAACTCCAAAGACAAAACTTACAAGCCATATCATTAATAGCAAGTATATATTCCTTTGTACTCTTCCAAGCTCTTCCATAGCCCTAATGAGTGATGAGAGGACACTGCATTATCTGCCCTGGGAAGTTTATAAAACGGGATGGACTCCCTTACCAAGGCTGACATCCAGGCCGGCAACCTGCCAGGAGACCCAGGGACCCGGTGACCTCCAGAGGCCCTTCCAGTTTGAGGCCCCTCTGGTGACTAACCTGGTCCTCCTACCAGGAAGGAAGCAGACTCCCCAGTGCTCACTGAAGCCATAAAGTTCTCAGTTCTTAGCCATTGTAGTACTAGTTTCCATTTAAAGACACATGCCCAAGAGGTGCTGGGTCACTCAGTCATCAGTATTTCTTTCAGTAACCTGGCAAAGTATTTTAAATGTGATTTGCAGAAGCTTATAGGAGTTAATGCCTCACAGATAGTAAGTAGCAGAGTTAGGGGTCAGCCTGGCTTCATTTACTTCCCACACCCTGTGTTCCCATGGCAGCACCTGGCCTCTAACAGCAGGCCAGGCCGGGAGAACCCATTGAGGGTCTCTCATGTGCCATCCGATTGCTATCTCTTTGTTCCTCTGCCCAGACGGTGTCTGACTTCCAGGCAACAATGCACACAGAAGTTACAAGTGTGGATACTAGAGTCAGAGCCTGGATTCCAATGCTGCTTCTTAACAGCTGTGTGACTTTCCACAAGTAATGCAACATCTCTGGGTCTCTGTTTCCTGTTCTGCAAAATGGGGGTACTGTCTACTTGCCCCAGGGACCTGCTGTGCTGAGGATCATTCCCAGGAAGCACCTAGCACCATGCTGGGTCCTGGCAAGCCACTGACAAATGTTCACTGTCACAATGGCCCTGCTTCCTCTGGTGCTCGGCACCAGGCTGACATCGAGTACACAGTCAATGAAGAAACAAGGAGACTCTGCAAGGAGATACATTAGGATGATGTACTGACAAAGCCTTGGGAAAACTGCTGGTGCCTTTGCTGGGGGGAAGATTTCCAGATGGAGCTCCTCAGGATGGCCTGCCAATCCAATAAACTCAGGTTCCTAGAAAGCCTCCCCCACCCCACCCCACCCCCACTCTGTAAGCCCCACCCAAACCAGGACAGCAGCAATTCTCCCCTTCCCCTGGTGTGCCTTCCCCGGTGGTCTGTTTCTTTAGGACAGGAACGCAGCTGTCTGGAAGGCACCCAGGGAAGCCATTCCTTGGGACATGTCCCCTGACCCACCCCCGGCAAGGCTGGGATGACAGAAGGACAAACCCAGCCAAACATATGGACCCGTGGCCCAGGATAGGCAACAGCTGGGCCACTGCCTGACTTTTCTTCTGCTCCTTGGAATATTCTGGCAATGAGAAGACATAGTCTCAGCAACTTATAGACATTTTCCCAGGAAATCCTAACCGCTAAGGGAACAATTTGCTCCATTCTCACACATTTCAATCTACTTATTTGGAAGACCAATCCTTGCGTGGGCATGCACGCACATGCGCGCGCGCGCGCACACACACACACACACACACACACACACACACACCCTTCATGTGGTCTTGTGTAGAAGTACACAAACCTGATAATAGCAACCACTAATATTTAGTATATGCTAAGTAATAAAAGTAGCTACTATAGTCATCATCTCATATAGTCCTCACAACAAGCATTGAGACAGGGGCTCTATCCACATTTCACAGATGAGGACACAGAGGTGGGCTGCCTTTCACAGAACAAGCTGCTAGCCATGCTGGGGCTGGCGTCGGAGCCCAGGTCTAAGAACTCTGGTACAAGGAATCCACTCCCTTTCCCGGATTTGCCTCCTCCACCTGTGCTTAAGGAGTTAACCTTGTCGGAGAGGTTTTCTTTCCTTGGTTATGTTTTCTATTCTTTGGGTAAGTTTGACAAAGTGGGGTTCTTTTTCATCGCCAGAGTCTGTGTCCCTGGAGGCTGAGGAAGGAACCAGAAGTTGCACTTTCCAACATGGATCGCCTGCTAATTTTCCAAGGCAGCTCAGCCCCTGCCAGCGTCCCCTCCCTCCTTTGGGCTGAGGGCCCAGGAACCCAGCCTCAAAGTTCAGCTTGCTTCCTCCAGCACGCACATTTGGAAATTGAAATTTCCCACATTTTCACCACACAAAAGCCAGGTTGTATTTTTGTTCTCTTCAAAATATGCCAAAGGAATTTTTCCTACCCCTTGAACTTTCTCCAAAAATAAGTAGAAAAAGTCAAGACCATTTTGCCCTGTAAGCTGAGAATAGAAAAATCAACATGCAGGGTGCCATTTCCAGGATGTTACGAAACAGCGAACATGTGAATCCGTCTCAACACCATTTGGCAACTTTGGGGATACAGTAGATGATATTTCTCACCCACAAACTCCTCACTGAGTTTATATTAACATTTTGCTTTTTTTTTTTAAAAAAAAAGAAAAAAGATTCTGAAAAAGGTAAGAAGCCTTGATAAATTACCACCACCTGGATTAAAATTCAGAGTCAGCACACTGACCACCAGCAAATAAAACATGAAACTATACAGATAACTTAGTAAAACAAAAAACGATAGTGGCCCAAGATAAATTAAACTTGCAGCATAAAGGTTGAAGCCAAGGAAGGAAGGGAAGTATTTATCCCATAACTAATGAAGACTGCAAAGAACTAAGTATAATCGTAAAAGTACATGGATTATTCTCAACTCACCAGATCATCCATTCCCAGGATTGTCTGCGATCCTGGTCTGGGCTTCCCAGGCCCCTGTATCTGCTGCCTTCAAAACCCTGCATGCGGGTCTCTTGTGTCTCCCCCACCCCCCCCCATCTCCCAGCTCAGTGAGAATCATCTTTCACAGTTTGATCACATCACTCCCAGCTCTGCTTATCTCTCCTGGCTTCCCTTCTCAAAGCCAAACAGCTAGCTCTGCCCCCAGGGCCCTTCTCCTGACCCCTGGCTCCTGACAGCCTACTCCCCAACCCCTGCTCATCACTTCCCAGGAATTTGCTTTAAGCAAGGGACCTGCCTGTGCACTGGCCTCCACTCAGCACGAGTCTGAGAGAGTCCAAGTAGAAAACAGGACACTTAGCTACCATCTACTCCCAACCTCTCTCCTGAGGAGGACTCACCCTAAAGGTAAGCTGGCTGAGTCCATCAGAATTTGCTCCCATGACTCGAGTAACCGGGAGCTCATGCACACCTGTACGGAAGAAAAGCAGACAGAGGACAAGGCTTGCAGACGAAAAGTGTACATCCAAACCCATCTCTCCCAGCTACCAGCTGTGCCATACTGGGCAAGCGATGGGTCTTCTCTGGGGCTCAGACCTTCCGTCTGGAAAATGAGGCTAATGAGTCCTACCTCATAGCCATCAACGACATCAGGAACATCATCATCATCATCCCTGGACAATTTCAGTGTGAAAGGAACGTGGTATTGCAGCTAGTAAGACCTGAATTGGAATCCCAGCTCCAGAACTTGGGGAAATGAGTCAACTTCTCTGACCTTCACTTTCCCCATCTATAAAGTAGGGATAGAAAGGTCTCCCTCAAAGGGTGACTGTCTAGATTGAATAAGATGACACATGTAAAAATGGCTTTGCAAACTGTTTAATTGGAATAAATATACGCATTTTTTTCTGCTGAGCTAAAACCTGACTTACGGTAACTCACCTGGGAACTTTGGTACACAGAGATGTTCCTGCCACAAGGACCTCTGAGCCTTCCCTCCTCCTGTTGGAGGAGCTCCGTTCCTTAGTCATTCCTGGGGGTCTCTGGTTTGCCTTGGGCACCACCTGGATTCCCCTCCTGCCAGGGGTGCATCTGAGGGAGTGCTGCTGGGATTTCCTTCTGTGGGGATCTAGCCCCAGTGCCTTTGCTCCAGACCCTCTCTCCTTTGCAGGCCCCCCATATAGTCTTCTGTGGAACATCCCATCCCATTGTTCATGTCCTTTTCCCTGTCGTTCTCATGGTGTGAATTTAAGGTCCCATGGGGAGAGGTCAGAGTCATGGTGTCCTCTTTGCCTCTGTGGTCCTGAACTAGTCATTTCCCCTCCCAAAGCACTTGCTCCCCTGGGTCTATATCAAAGAGGTGGATGATATCATCATCAGGTCTACTAATTGCAATGATCATCAAAACTATTTCATGCAGATTTTCCCAAAATGAATTTGACCTTGAATACTCCCCCACTTTCCCCTTTAATTTTTCAGTAGAGCTTCTCAGGGATTGTTTAGGAAGGACTGGGACTACAGCTCTTCAATGCTGACACCCTATACATCTGTATGCTCTTTAAGGCAAGATCCCCAGAGACCTTTTTGTAATCCTCACCACAAGGAACATAAAAGTTGGCCATAGCCATGATTGCTTCTAGATTGACAGAGAGCACAGCAAGCTCTGCTGTCACCACGTGGCTCTTGTTAATCTGTACCCATCTATCTGCCTAGCAAACACTTGTACTGTAACCTTCATGGGTGCCCATGGGGGTTTTAACAGCTGTGGAGCTTTTTGTTTCTCATGCATTTGTGCAGCCATTTGCTGCCCCAAGTATGGGGAGATGCTGTTCATAGCAGTTTAGCAGCAGTAAAGGGCTGTCTGGTTGAGCACTTTCACGCCAGGGCCGTTTTTAGCATCTTTAGCAATCTTTGCCTGGTACTCTCAGGTGGAGGAGGGGAGACAACCACTTATATCCCTCCCCTGAGCACGTTTCCCTGTCTGTAAAATGGGTATAAGGATATGCAAATCATAGGGTTTCCGTAAACATCAAATGCTATAACAAATACATGGAGAACAGCATATAGCACACTGTAAGCAGTTATTTCGCACTTTTCTCAACTTAAAAAGCTCATCACCCTTAGGTCCCCGCCCCCTCCTACACATCACTGACATCCAGTGGCAGATCTGGGTAACTACAGGTGTGAGTACCCAAAGCTCCAGCCTCTTCCGTGCCCAGTGGACCTCGTTTCAGGGATTGTGGGGTGTCTTCTAAGTAGTGTTAGCCAAGACCTGCCTCTGATTTTCCAGGCACTTCCATATTTATCATCTAATTTCATCCCCACCTCAACCTTTAATGGTGAATAGCTTACAATGACAAAGGGAGGATCATAGCTAGTTGTGGGGCAGGACTGAGGCCTGCCCTCGATGGTAAATTCCTTGAGGTCAGGGAATTTGTCTGTCTCATTTCCCACGACATCATCCCTGTACCTATGGCGCTGCTTGGCACACAGTAAGTGCTCAGTAAATATCTGTAGAAGCAATGACAATTTTAGGAAACCCCAATCTGTGCCAGTCCCCCTCCAGTTTAGAAGTCCATATGGTGAAGGGACTTGCTCCAAGTGACAAGTGGCAACCTGCTCCAGGAATAAACTTACAAGGAAGCCCCTCCCTCTCTCCTCCCAATGTGTTTTCAAGTGGACAAAAGGTATTTAGCAGGGGTGTTCTTAACCTTCCACTCCCCTTATCTGGAAAGGAGTCTGCCTGTGTCCTCTGTCCATTTTCTCCAGGCCCTTTCCCATCCCCCAGAAAAGGTCACACCAGACTGGGGTAGGGAAAGAAGCAAAAATGGAAGCTGCAGAGGCGTGTGGGCTGGACTGGGGAGAGTGCTTCTCTGGGGGAGGGTTGCAAAGCATCCAGGATTATAAAGAAAAGCAAGAGAATAAGTGTAGGAGGGCAGCTACCTGGGAAGAGGGGAGGGTATTGGGGGCCATCCCCAGGGTTTCAAAGGTGGCATCATGTTCTGTTTCTTAAGCTAGCTGGTGGGGCCATGAGAGTTTCTCATTATTGTTTACACTGAACATATTTGTTATAAACACTCTCTGTAGAATATAAAAAATTTTCATAAAAAATATTTTAAAAGAGATATAGGAGAAGCTGATGTCAGTAAATGCAGTAGAGGGCAGAGAGAAAAGGCGGATTTTAAGCAGTTTTTCTGTGGATTTGGTGGTTCTTGATAACTTCTGAGAAATATTAGGTGGAAGTCTGAGTTATTCTGATGTTATTTCTGATTGTTGGGCCATGTCTTGACCTTGGCATGCTCCAGGACTAACACACAGGGTCCTGGCTTTACAGCCCTTACTTTGGCTTGACTTTGAAATGGATTGACATGGCGGAGAGGCTCTTGATTGATAGAAGCAGAATTAAGAAACCGTTGCGTCCTGGAGGGCTGAGTAATCCTGCACAGTGCTTTACTTCTCTGGGTTCCTTGTGTTACGTGGGTAAATGATGCTCTGCGCCTCACTTTCCTCTCAGGGCTGGTGTGAGGATTTAATGAGAACATGCAAATGAGGGTGCTTTATAAACCAGAAAACATGCTGTAACTGTGGGACGACTATTACCATAAGCACTGCTGGCAGAAAAGTACTCTGAAAATGACATAAAGTGCCCCCCAAATGTGAGGCATTTATGTTATAACTGGGCATAACTTTCAGCCAAGGTTTCCTGGAACAGAATCAAGTTTTCATACCACTCCAGCCAAAACAGGTGGAAAGTGCACTTGGCAGCTGTCTTCTAGCTCCAGAAGATTTATGATGAGAGACTGGATAGTGCCAGGGCTAGGAACCAGGCTCCAGGGCCAGATCGTGTGAGTTTGAGTCCTAGCAACACTTTCTACTGGCTTGGGCAAAGTATGACCTTGGGAAATTTCTTAACTTCTCCATGCCCCAGTCTCCTGATGTATAACATGGGCAAAACAATGGTAGCTAGAGCATAGAGCTCTTCTGAGAATTAAATGAGTTGGTATGTACAGTGATCAGGACAGTGTCTGACAAGGAGGAAGCGTCCGTCAAGTACAGCAGTTATCAATGTTAGTACAATATAGGCTCCATTTTCTGAGGGAAAAATAAACAGAAGGAATAGGCATCTGTTGCAGTCATACATTGGAAAGCTGGGTTAGACACTTGGAAGAACTTCCTGAGAAGGTCGCACAGTGCTCATCATGAAATTTGGGGGATCCCCAGGGAGCTCCCTCTTGTTCAACCATGGGCTGGTGCAATGGTAAAGCTGAAGCTCCAACACTCCTCAGCCACCCTTCGAAAAATATAAGAATATACTCTGGCTCCTGGAGAAGCCAGCGCTGAGCTAGGTAAATAATCGGGAAATGCTGAAAAATGACCCACAGCCTTGTCCCTGCTCCCAAAGCTCCTGGTACCTGGTGGACATCTGTGAGATGTTATGAGGGTTCAAGGAACAGCACATGTGAAGCCCTTGGCATGGTGCCTTGCACACCGTAAGCACCATGGTCATTGCTATCGCTTTTGTCTGTCCATCCATCTATCCACCCATCCTCAAGTGATCTTTCCAAAGCAACTCTGTCCAAAAAGGACTTTCTGTCACAATACACACATTCTGTATCTGCACTGTCCATGTGGCCAGCTAGCCACCTGTGGCTGTTGAGCACTTGAGATGTGACTAGTGTGACTGAGGAATTGAGTTTTTCATTTAACTTTTTTTTCCAGATGTTCTTATGGATTTTTTTTAAGGTCACTTTTAATTAATTTAAATAGCCGCCTGTGGCTTGTGGCTACCACATTAGACAGCATAGTTCTAAAGCCAAAACATAGCCATGTCACTTCTTGGTGTCGAGTCTTTCCAAGTCTCTAGTCCCTTTGATATGCATCCAAGACCCAGTACAACCTCCAGATGAGGGGTGTTCCCTGTGCTCATCCTGCCTTGAAGCCAGATGGAACAGCTCACTGCTCCCTGAATACACTGGCGGTGCCGCTGTCCCTCTGCTTCCAATGCCCTTTCTGCCTTGTCTGCCTGGTAACCTCTTCAGGAAGCTTTCTTAGGCTCTCCCCACAATCCAAGGAGGGTGGGGATGCCCCCTTGGATGGCTCCCCCAACCTCCAGGACTCCCCCCTCCCCTGGGATTTACCCAGCATGGATCAAATGCATATTAGAATAAAATAATGTTGTATGATTATAGAAATAACACATTGTTATTGCACATAATTCTGATTGCTCCCTGAAGGATGACCAGGGCCATGTTGTAAGCATTTCTGTGGCTGGTGCTCTGGGGTGCATAGAGGTCTAGAAGACTCAGTCCACTGTTGTGGGCCCACAGTGCATCCCCTTTAGGTGGAATCATGGACTTCCACCAAGGCCCTTCCACTTCCCAAGGTCCGTCCTCTTAGCATCACTCGCATACATTACTGCATTTCATCAATCCTAAGATGCCAGCAATTGCAAGATGCACCATCGATTCAGTAATAGGCTTTCTGAGACAAGAAAACAAACAAAGCACTACCTTAATGTACACATGGATTGTAAGATACTTTCCGATTTCATAAATGTCAAAATGTAAAGAAAAAAATTGCTGAAAATCAAGGAAAGTGAGGCAAACTGTGAGCTGGCCTCTTGGGAGATGCCCCTTCTAGAGACTCATTCTGCAGTGGGCACTTGAAGGGCACCTTCCTCTGCTCCCCACTCGCTGTCTTAGGCGAACTGCTATCTGATTGGGCCTCCGGAATGGAAGGATTCAGATGGGTCCTATGGTTTTTTGAATGGACCAAATGAATATTAGAATAAAAATTTTTCTGGATCATAGAAATAATACGTTGTAATGGCACCTAATTCTCTTTCATCCAGGGCGTTTGTGTTAGCTGTTTCTTCTTCTTAGAACACCCCTATCCCAGATTTCATTTGGGTCTCTCTTCCCTATTTTTCTCAATTAAATGCCCCTCTAAAGAGTGGTCTTCCCTTCCTAGCTGAAATTGGTCTCACCTCCCCCTGCTCTGTCAGTTTTTCTCAAATTAACCATCTCATTTTCTTCCCAGCACTTATCAGCATTTGGAATTAATTGTCTAATTATTTATTCCTTGTCTTTCCCCAGCAAGATAGTAAGCTTCTGAAAAGCAAGGATTTTGTCTCATAGGTATTCAAGAAATTTTTGTGAGTAACTGAAAGTACAGAAAAGAATAAAGAAAATAATAAGGACTCCCTGTGTCCTCACTACTCAGAATCACAATTAACATCTTAGCGCATAGCTATCCTTCTAGACATTTTCTGCATCTACGTATGCTCATACGATCACGTTTTTAACATTAGAGATGTGACCTTTCTATTTAGACTGCTTTCTAATCTGCTTCCCCACCTCACTTACTATACCATGAGTATCTTTCACATCCATATCACAGCTGGGCCTCACTGGTTTTAAAGGAGGCATGCTATTTCCCCATATGGAGTAACCCTCATTGATTTAACCGGACCCTGCAGGTGGACACTTAGGTTGCTCCAGGTCTTCCCATTATGATAAGCAATGCTGCCAATGAGCATCTTGCTGCAAATGCCTTTGCATGATGTTCTGCTTATTTCCATTAAAACGTTATTAGTGGGTCAAAGAGTATGTGATATTACTAGGCTTTGGCTAAGTAGTGAGAATGGGGCCATTTCACAGGTGAGCGATCCTACTGTACACAAAGCACTTTACAAGGCTCCAAGGGGGTTGAGAAGGAGATAGGAGGTGGGCTCATCTCCATCCCTTGGGCAAATACTGTCCAGCACCCTTGTGAAGTTTCTAAGCCTCAACTGAACGGCTGCTTGGAGCTAGTGACTTAGCCATTAGAGGTTTTAGTCATAGACATTATTTTTACAAAAATGATTTTAAAAGGTTTTAGAATACATAAATACATTCATGCATGTGCCAGAAAGATGCAATTTACAATTAAGTTCTATAATCACACCTGACCAAACCCACAACTCAATATAGCACAGGTGTGAGCCACCAACGAACCCCAATTTCAGTTCGAAAGGGTGAAATCATTATTTTCACCCTCTCAACATATTTAATAGTTGTTGTAAAACAAATGAATATAATTTGGCTTCATTTGGAATTCCCTTTTCTGTTATTGCTTCCTTGCAATTCTAGTTGAGCTGAAATCTATTAAATACAACAACTTCCCATCACCTGTGTGCTCAAGCAAATCCAGTCTGACACTGGGTGAAGAACTACAGTTTGGAAACACAGGAACAAAGGATGTGTGGAAACACTGACTTCTCATCCTCTAGAGTTCACATAATTCAAATCCAATTCTCCCCAGCCCTCCCAGCTCTGCCCTGCCTGCCTTCATTGAGGTCAGATAGCAGAGTGATGCTGATCCTTCATATAAAAACAGCACATCACAAGCTATAATATAAGTTCCACCTTTGTTGCTCCTGATGCTGGGAAGGTTGGCTGAGAAAACAAGGGCTCACTTTGCAGATGAGGCTCAGGTCAGGGAAAGGTGGAGCTGGTAGGGGCCTGCCAAATGAGGCAGGCTGGTCAGTGCCTATGTCTTTCCCCCTTCCCCAAGCTGGTTTCAGCCCCATGGTTTGAAGTAAAGAAGTCCCCAAACTTCAATTTGGCAGCTATTGCCCTAAACCAGATGACTAAAGGGCTGACTCTGAGCAGCAGTTTGCAAGAGCAAGGTAACAGTGTTGCTGGCTGGTTGAGAGAACCAGCTTATGCCGGGTGAACTCTACTTAGTATTATGAATTAATGGTGCTAGGAGATGCTAATTATGTTCTAAAGGCTTACCTAAGTAAAACAAAATGTTGGAAACTTTTATTTTGACATTTTGCTTTTCCATGAAATCTTAAAATCAGAACCACTGATTCATACAACCACAAACAAGAAGTTATATTATTTTTAACAAATTACCTAGATTCTAGTCACCACGCTAATGTCTCACACATGCTCTCTTCAAGCCTCAAGATAATCATATGAAGTGGAAATCATTATCTCCTTTTTATAGACCAGGAAACTGAAGCCCAGAAAGTAACATTATTTGCTCCAAGTCACAGAGTGAAGAAGTGGCAAAGGCAGGATCCTAACTCAAGTCTAGCGCCAGAGCATAGCTACCTAGATGAGGGAAGGAGGGCAGGAATCTCCCCAGCATAGCTGGGTAATGATGCTTTTATTCATGGATCACACCTTTGCAGAATACCCTCTGGGAGGAAGCCCAGCCTAGTGGAAAAAGGCTGCTTAGGGACAGGCAGTCCCAGGCTGGGGTCCTTGTGTTCCCCCTACCAGCAGAGTGACCAGCTGGCTGCTTAACCTCTCAGGGCTTCAGTGTCTCCAAGTGTAATGCAAAGATATGCTATCTTCCTGTTGTGTTGCTGGGAGGACTACAGGAAGAAGCATGTGAGGAAAGAGCTAAGCAGTGCCTGCCACATAGTAGGTGCTTGACAGACGTCGGTCCTCTTGCCTGTCCCTGAAGGGAAGCCACTGAGCAAGTCACCAACACTCAGGGCTTAGGGTTGGATGTGCTCTTTGATGTCAGCTGGCTCAACTCTCCCACTTTACAGATGGGAAAACCGAGGTTCAGAAAGGAATGGCAACTTGTCCAAGATCACAGTGCAGGGCAATGGCAGAGATGGGACAAGAACTCATCTGCTGACCCGCATCTTCTGCTTTTTCTACAACAGCCTGTTGGTAACTTTACCTCTTCATGGCAGCTGCCAAGTGAGCTATAATGTAAGTAGATTAGAGATGAAGAACAGCATGAATATTTTGATGGGTTAGTGAAAGGAAAACAATAACTATTTGACCAAAGAGTAATTGTCTAGAATATACTTTCTTATTTATCAAATAAGTATGCAGCACTTACTCTGCACCTGCCCGGAACTGTTCTAAGGCCTTCACAAACATGAGCTTGCTTCATCATCAGTACAATCCTAGGAGGAAGTTACTCTTTCTATCATCCCCATTTTATGGATGAGGAACAGGTGGCACAGAGAGGTTAACTTGCTCACGGTTCTATTTCTAGTAAATGGGCAGAGCTGGGATCTGAATCCAGGCAGCATGGCTACAGGGTCCATATCATAATCACTATGGCATGCTGCTTCTCACAAGGAATAATGAATTTATTTTTACTGTATACAAGACTGCACATTACTTGAGAATACTAATCATAATCATAATCATAATCATAGTGGCATTAATAGGAAAAAATACAAACAGACGATCCCCTCTGTGAGTTTCTTTGGAAACTTAATGGTACCTCCCCAAGTTTCCAAAATTCTCCTTCCCCATCTCTCCACCCACCTCTGTGGCACATCCCATTCCCCTCACCTGGAAATATTTTCCTTCCTTGTCTGACTTCCAGTCTTATCCTTCAAGACTCAGCTAGGATATCACTAGCTTTGGGAAAGCCTTTCCAACAGTGTCTCAATCACAGAGGGTCAATGTTCCCTGATTCAGCAGGGTTTGACCTTGTGTCCATGATGAGAATGGCTAAAAAAGATAATGACTTTCCTCAAAGAACCTTCCCAGTGGTCTCAGATCACTCCGCTCATCAATGATGCCCAGGAGTAAGATCATAGTCACTTCACTGAGGCATGGATGTGTCTAATGCCCTTGATGCCACACGCATTTATGGGATAGCTTCTTTGCACCTGGCATTTTCACACGTTATTGCATTTAATGAACATTCCAAGCTTTGAGGCAAGTACTGTCAACCCTATTTGAGCAAGAAGGACCCTGGATTGGGAAAATCAGATAACTTGTCTGAGGCCACACAGCCAGCTAAGTGATAGCACTGGGATCTGAAGCCAGGTTCCCAAATCCCTTCTCCAAGAGAAAGCTATTTATGTAACTGTCACAGTAAAAATTGATCCTGGCAAGAACTAGCAATAGATGCTTAATTCATGGGGAAAAGGTTGGACTACTTACATAGTCTTGAAGTTGTCTCCCTCCAAAATTCGTATTACAAAAAGGAAAATGATAATGGGAGGAACTGGAGACCATCTGGGATGCTTAGTTTTGTGTCAATGTGGCCAGGCCTTAGTGCCCAGTTATTTAGTCCAATGCAACTCTAGGTGTTGCTGTGAAGATACTTTGCAGATGTGGTTAATATCTACAGTCAATTGACTTTAGGTAAAGGAGATGACTTGATAATACGAGTGGCCTCATCCAATGAGTTGAAAGGCCTTAAGAGCAAAAACTGAGGTTTCTCAGAAAGAAAGATGTTCTACTTCAAGACTGCAGCATCAACTCCCGCCTGAATTTCCAGGCTGCTGGCCTAGCTGACACATTTCAGACTTGCCAGCCCCACAATCACGTGAGCCAATTCCTTAAAATAATATGTATGTATATATTAAGAGATTACACATATGTATACTGTGTGTGTGTGTATATATATATATGTAGAACATATATATGTAGGTATACATAATATTCCATTAGCTCTATTATCCTGGAGGTGGCTGACTAATATGCCATCTTAACCAACTCACCAAAATTAGCATCACCGATGAGCATAATGTACCTCCAGATGTTGTACCCTGAGAAGGAGACAACATCATTCAGGTAGTATTAACATTTGTAATTGAAAAAAGATAAAAATATTAATGAAAAAGAGCTATCCTCCTCCCTCCATGGCTCACAGGCCAGCAATAGTAGTGGCCACTGGACCTAGTGATCCTGGGTGCCCCTGACCTGGAAACGGTGGAAAATTTAGCCAAGGATCTCCTGGGCTCCTGCCCAGTTCCCTGTCTGCTTTCCCTTCTCTTAGCCCCTTTCCTCCTTCCCTTCCACTCTCTCCCCTTCCCCATTCCCCACACAAACACACACCGACTCACAAACACCCACCGCTTGAAATTTTCTCTCTGCCGCCCAGAAGGCCTGGGATAATTCCATCTCCTCGATTTTATGAAGCCAGAGTATGCAGTGAGTCACTTTGCACACATCTGTGGATTCCCCTCAGAGCTGGTTGTCTGCCTACAGAGGGATGTTAACATTTACGGCCGTGAGCAGGGACATGCGACACTTCAAGGAAGCAAGGTGCCAGCTACCTTTCCAAGCTGCAGGTGGTTTTTAATGGAAGCAGAATATTGCTATTTATTATTTATTTCACTTCTTATTTTTAAAATATGATTAATATAGCTCACCAATAAATCTAGCCAAGTACAAGCACTCGTGAAGCACCCTTGGAGGGCTTGGTGTGACAAGGCCTGATAGCTGTGAGGGCAGAGGCAGCCAGGTGAGGGGAGCTTCCTTCAGCCTGAACATGAACCAGTCTTTTTTGTGTGTGCCTTTGAAGCAGTGATTCTCCTTGTGAGGTGCCCAGGGGACAAGCCAAGGAGGCCTTCTAGCAAGCAGGCCAAGGTGCAGGAGACAGATAGAAGTGAGAGGCTGGTTCTGCGGTTGCCATGCAGGGGAGAGGGTTTTGGAGCCAGGCAGGCAGGCCGAGGTTCAAATCCCAGCCCACGCAAGCGAGCCAGGCAAGCTGGAGAACCCCTCTAAGCTTATGTTCCTGCATGTAAAATAGCTATGAAGTGTCAAAGGGTTGCCGAGTAGGTAACGAGTACATGTTTGGAAAGTTCTGAACCCGCTGCCTTCCAAATCACAGACACTCAGATATCTTTAGCCTAGTGTTTATAAAGACAGTGGACAATGGAACAAGAACAGTTTGGTTTTGAATCCTACCTCTGTCACTCACTAGCCATGTGACTCTGGGCAATTCTGAACCTCTCTGTGCTTCAGTTCTCTTGGCTGTGAAATGGGGCTACCCACAGGGTTGTAGTAAGCATTAACTGAGATAATCCACACCTGGCACACTGTGAATGCTAATGCAGCTATTGTTGCTTTCGTTACTCCTTCCTTTACTTTCTATCCACCTTCTTCCATGGTCTGATCCCAAATGACAATTCCTGCTGGCACATTCCTACTTATTCACCGAAACCTAGTTTAAATATCATCCCTTCTATAAAGTCTTCCCTCACCCTTTTCGTAGAAACAATACCCTCCTCCCTCTCTGTTGCCAGGAAACTTTGTGCAACTCCATCATCATCATAACACAGACTGCCGCCCACCTGATTATAAGGGGACCCTTGCTCCTGCATCCCCTTTAGGGTAGGACCAGGTTTTATCCATTGCCATAAGCCTACTATACAGCCCAACCCTTAACAGCTCACAGCACACAGAGAATCTGGTGCTGTTTGTCTCACACTGCAGCCCCCTCCCTAGCCACCCTGAAGCAGAAGGGGTTGAGAGCTGTGCTCCCCTGTAATGGCACTCACAGCACCCTGGGGACTCACAGCGCCCTGGGCACTGCAGGTGGACAGCTGCAGCCTGGTACCTAGAGTCCATAGCCCCGGAGGTGGAGAGGAATGCATGCTGGTGAAGGAAAGATGGGTCATGAGGATTTTCTCACCAGCTGCCTCCTCTCCCTGCCAACATTTTTGACAGGTGACAGTGCTGGCCTAGGAGGGAAAGAAGTCTCTGGAGTTCCTGGATCTGTAAGTTGAAGCAGAGCCCATAGACCAGCCAGGTCCATAGAAACGTGCATGTCAGGTAAGTTCCAAAGCTCAGGTCAAAAAAGAGGTCAGTTTGTGGCACAGGCTCCCACCTGGGAGGATGGATGGCATGGGTCTGCTTTGGAAAGGGGGACACTGGCACCTGGGACATGGTATCTGAGAGATAGGCCCTTTGCCGGTAAAGCACCCGACCCTGCTCTCCCCGGCTAACTTGGACACTTTCCTGGGCTCTGCACTATGCAAGATCTTTGTTCCTCTTTCAGGGCTAACTCATTCACTAAAAGAGTATCAACAGCTCCACTCAACAACAGCCATTCCTGGAACCTCCTTGATATGGTTTGGCTGTGTCCCCACCCAAATCTCATCTTGAATTGTACCTCTCATAATTTCCATGAGTTGTGGGAGGGAGCCGGTGGGAGACAATTGAATCATGGGGGTGGATTCCCCCATACTGTTCTCATGGCAGTGAGTAAGTCTAACAAGATCTAATGGTTTTATAAGGGGAAACCCCTTTCGCTTGCTCCCATTCTCTCTTGCCTGCTGCCAGGTAAGATGTGCCTTTCGCCTTCCACCATAATTGTGAGGCCTCCCCAGCCATGTAAAACTGTGAGTCCATCAAACCTCTTTTTCTGGCCAGGCGCCGTGGCTCACACCTGTAATCCCAGAACTTTGGGAGGCCGAGGTGGGTAGATTACAAGGTCAGGAGATTGAGACCATCCTGGCTAACACGGTGAAACCGCATCTCTACTAAAAATACAAAAGATGAGCTGGGCATGATGGCGGGCACCTGTAGTCTCAGCTACTTGGGAGGCTGAGGCAGGAGAATGGTGTGAACCCGGGAGGTGGAGCTTGCAGTGAGCCGAGATGGCGCTGCTGCACTCCAGTCTGGGCAACAGAGCTAGACTCTGTCTCAACAACAACAACAACAACAACGACAAAAAAACAAAAACAAAACCCCTCTTTTTCTTTATAAATTACCCAGTCTCGGGTATGTCTTTGTCAGAAGTGTGAAAACAAACTGATATACTCCTTAATGGACCAGAACCTGTGCTGGGCACAGGGGACAGAGACAGGTGAGGCCATGGGCCTGCCCTCGGGAGCCCACATGCTAGTAAGAGAGGCTGCCATGGAAACTCAAATATGATGTGGCAGCACACACACCACAGAAGAACATGGGTCATACAGAGAAAGGAGGTGGGAGGGGGGTGGTCAAGAAGAGTCTCAGAGAGGAGACGTGGGTGAATCCTGGCTTGAAAGAATTTATTAGATGAAGAGCAGTGTGAGAAAAGCACTTCAGGCAGAGGGATCAACACAAAGATATGGAGTTACAAAAAAAAATCTGTGTGGGGAACTCTACATTCACTGCAGGAGGGCAAGGTGGGGGCAGAGAGAGGAAGGGTGATGAAGAGGCTGCAGAAGTCAGCTGGAAGCTGCCTCATTGGTCGTGTAGGGTGCAGAGGAAGTGGTCTTCTCTGCCCAGCCATGAACACGTTCCGCCATCAGCAGTGCCATCTTTGGACACTTGAAAGAGATGCACGTGTGCGCACACACACATGCATATACCCGTGTCTGTAAATTTATATATGCTTGTGCATAAGTAATATGCACAACCAAATTCTAGAATGTGGGATGTTAAGCTCTGAGATGTAAAGATTCTCAGAAATCCAGATAGAATTCAGTGTGGTGGAGCATATGGCATGGTTGGGGGCACAGAGAGTGTAAACTGAGAAAAAGAGAGACCTGGTTGTAAGCCCTGCTCAGGGCTGCTGCATATGGTTGGGCAGGTTGTTCACTGCTCAAGCACACAGCTGAGCGGGGTGATTCAGGACTGTGTTTATGGGAAGGGGGCTGGGGTGGAGTTAGGGTGAGAGGTAGGTGGGTGGGAGATGGACAGGGAGGTTGTCTGAGGGGAACCACTGGTCAGTTCAGGTCAGGCCAGGGTCAGGCTGGCTGTGGTGCGGTAGAGACCCTTCTTTTAAATAGAAGCTCTGGCTTCAGTGACTTCCCAAGTCCTTTACAGCACGAACACACCCATACACTCAAGTAGGTTGCCCTGGTTTCCTCATTGGTCAAGGAGCATCATTCCTAGGGGATTGTTCCCATCTAGCCAGGCTGGACTCCCTGCTGTTCCACTTTCCTTCTCCAAGGATCCCACTATGGTCTTCCTCTTTCTTCAAGGCAGAGCCCCACCTCCTCCAGGAAGTCTTCCTCCCATCCTCTCCCCACCCTTCACTTCCTGGTCACTTATACTTCAAATGTCCTCTCTGCACCAACAAGCCGTTCATATTGACAAAGGCAGAAAAGATCAGTTCTCACTTCCATCAAGCACTAACTTGTCCTAGGAGGAAGAGACACCAAAATGGGAATTCTTACACCCTTGCTGGTTTCAGCAATTTTCAGGCCTCTATTCAAAGTGAAGGACCCTCTCAGATGGGAGAATAGGCTGGCTGAGATGGTAATGAAACACACTTGACAGCTGCACAAAAGCAAAGATGAAAATCTACTCTTTGTTTTATCATCCCTTCAAGTGAGAAAGCAGCCAGCCCTGGGGGTCAGAGTCAGCTGAGGGTCAGGGATATAAGCTGGACTTCATTCAGGAAAGGGAGGAGGAGGAGAAGCAAGAGAGGGAAGGGGAAGGCTGTCTTGGAGTGGATCCAAGACCCACGGAGGGAAAGCATGAAGAAAATTCATATCCTTCATATCCTGAATCTCTGAACTTCATGGGATTCTGTCTGAGTTACTCCCCCGCCTATTGGATTGGTGTGTGTGTGTGTGTGTGTGTGTGTGTTGTGTGTGTGACAGAGAGAGAGAAAGAGAGGGGGTGCTTCAGATTTCACAAAATCCATTTTAATCACCCTCTGCAATCCACAACACTCTGTAATTACAAGTCTCTTACTCTCAAGGACAAAAAAACTCACCGAGAAAGCAACATTAAGCTTGCAAGCGGAAACATGAAAATTCATGAAACGCACAATTAAGGATCCAATGACAATGTTAACTCTCCCCTTTGCCAGCCTAGGCACTGGGGATTAACCAACAAAATGGCAATTCTCAATCCTGAGGTGTGTGTGGTGGACATTGGGAACCCTGGCCCTGCCATGCCTGCTCTGTCTCTGGATTCCTATTTGCTGCCCTCAGAGGCTGTCCTGGGGCCCAGCATTTACTGTCTGACCCTTATAGGAGTGGAGAAGGACAGGCCTAACCTTAGAAGGAAGGAGACCAAGACTTGTGTTTGAGAAATGACTCTCAATGCTTGTTGTTGCCTGCACAACTCCTGAAAGACATGACCAGACCTTGAGACTCTTTCCCATGAGTTAAGGGAATTCATGAAGGGTGGGGGTTGTGATCATTCTCCCATCAGAGTGGTTTCAGCTCCCAAACGATCTCTCCACTCCCACTTCTAACCCCTTAGTCCAGGACCTCCTCTGTTCTCTGTTCCAGGGCCCTAACTCTGCCTCTATCTCAACGCCTTGCTGCCAACCCTGTACCACCAATTCACTCTATGAGCTCGTGTTCAGGCCAATCTCCCTCAACATGTATTTTAAAGCCCCTCCCTCCTCTCTCAATGTCTTGTGAATAAAGCAGGATACAAAGTTGTAGCTGAAGTACAATCTTAACTATGTTACATAGAAAAAAAATAAACTTGGAAAGACAGAAGGAAATCAGCCAAGTGTCCACTGGCTACTTTTGCATTTGGTGTCTGCAAGGCAAGAGGTAGGAAAGGGAGGAGATTAATATCTTATACCTTATAATTATATACCTTTCTGCCCTTGTGCAAATTTTCTTCAATAAGTACGACTTACAGTCAGGAAACAGTGAAACTGTAAAAGTCCCCTCTCTTCAAAATCCTTCTGTAGTTTTTTATTTTCTACATGACAAAATATAAATCTGGAGCCTGGTATTTACAGCCTGCTAAGATCTGGTCCCCATCAGAAGGGCTTCATGGGTGTGTGACCTGTGCAGTCACAGAGGGCCAACACTCAGAAGCAGCCATGCTTGGTTGAATGCTCTGCCATGACTGTCTTGAAATTCTTTATTTTTGAACAAGGGGCTCCACATTTTTATGTTACATAATTTATGTAACTGATCCAGTTCATCAGACTGTCTTCATGCAGAGAAATAATTATCCAATTATACAGGACAGAGCAACATAGAAGCCCTCTGGATTGTTGTGTCTGGGTAAGGATCTCCAAGGCATTGGCCAGGATAGATAGGAAACCCTGCCATATGTGCAGAGTCAGAGAGAATAAGGGGTATTCAGTCTGGGGATGCGAAGAGGCAGGGGATATTTAGCACATGTTTATTAAGCATCTTGAGCACTCTTCTAGGCTCTAGGAATATAGCTGTGAATAAAGCAGATCAAGTCTGTCCCTGCTATACTGAGCTTAAGGGCTAGTCAGGGAGATTGATAATAATAACTAAACAATTATCTATGTATGGAGGGCTATGAAGAAAAATAAAGTAGGAAAGGGAGATAGTGAGGGCTGGTATGGGAGGCAAACTATTTGAGTTAGGACCTGTAAGGAAGTGAATAAGCACTTGGATGACGGAAACTTGGAAAATGTCAACATGTACACAGACAATTACTATACACGGTGGGGTTTGCCATGCAGACACTTGGTGGGACCATAAATAAGAAGCAACCTGCCCAGCCTGGGGTGGGCAGAGGAGAGGGCTGGGGAGGACCTTGGATTTAATCCATGTCAAATTATCTCTTTTTATCTCTTTTCGCCAACTCTCAAATCAGCAGAAACCATATTCTACTGACTATACCTTAGTAATTCTCTTTCCATTCCCACTACCATGGACTAGCTCAGGTCTTCATTTCCCCAGAATCACTACAATAAAGTCAGTTTGTTCTTTTCTTCTGATGCTCTACCCTCCCCTGAGTGATCACATCTCCTCCTGGGTTTTCACCCTGAATCTTATCCTCTAGCCTGACCTCTTTCTTGAGCTCCAGACGTGAGTATCCAACTGTCTTTATTCCTGTGGATTCTGAGCATCTGAATGAGGGTGAGGCTTCTTAATGTTCCATGCTGGCCTCAGATGCTGTCCCTATTTGGGCATTCCAAAGTGCTTGTCCAAGACATCAGAACCCTGCAAGCAAGGTGAGGAAACTGAGGCACAGATGAGTGAAGAGGGCTGCCCAAGGGCCTTCAGTAGCAAATTCTGCTCTTCCTATCATATCTGCCAGGCACCTCACCTATCCCTCACAGGCCAAGATATGTCCTTCTATGTAATCTCCAAGGTCTGCTCTGACTCGAAGAGTCTAGGTTTCTCTACTCTGATGAGGCCCCAGATGGGCAGACAGGAGAGGCAGAATCTGGGGGAATTTTCTCTGCCTTGGAGTCAGGACAATAACTTGGCCCTTTCAGAAACCCAAATTTATCAGCACCCCAATGGCAATAGGACCTGAAGACACTTGAAAAGTTCCTGTGAGACTGAAGCACAAAGCAGAATAACAATATATTAATTGACACTGAGAAACAAAATTGTCCACATTGGTCTTACCGTAGGTTTCTACAAAGAATAAGCCACATTATCCTCAGAATGTTGTTGGGTGGGCATAGTAAATCATAAATGGCATTTCTCACTTATTCGGTGACACTTTGGAACAGAACTTAACATTCATTATGTAAAGTTATTCTGCCCACTTCACAGATGAAGAAAATGAGTCTCAGAAATGCTAAGTAGCTTGCTCAAACTCACAGCTAGTAAGGAGTAAAGCTGGGGTTCAAATTCAGGACTTCGGCACCACAGCCTGCTTGTTTAACCACTGACAGATGCCAAATGCATGCTGTTGCCACAGAGAAAAATAGTGATAAGTTTTTGTCTAAGTCAAGTTGACGTTGAACATAATACCCGTGACGGTGCTGTGAAATAGTAAAATAGTATTGTAGCCTTACAGATGGGAAGGATTATTGTTGAAAATGCTCTCCCCCAAATGAATCTTTATAATCAGGGTTTTATGTTGAACACACTAGGTGATAGTTACTTTTTAAAGGACTCTTCCTATACAGCAAGTAAATGATTTTGTTTCTGAAAATGAATCATCAACCCTGATTTACTTACTGTTTAGCAAATCTGTGGGAGTCCGAAATATATCGCCTGGGGCCAGGTAGACCTCAGATTCCAATTCTGGATCAACATCAGCCATGTTGCCTTGGACACATGAGTCATCTGCTCAGTCTTCCTTATTTGCAAAACAGATGATACTGTCTACCCCACAGGGCTTTTTAAAGAGAAATGGGGGGAAAGGTGTATAACATGCTTAGCATGGATCCTGCACAGGGTAAGCACAAGTTTTACTTTTTATTTTTCAGGGTAATCCAATTTACTCTCCAGTTCAGTTATTCAAGTTGCCTGTGTCATTCTTACCACAGCTACTATCACCATCATCATCATCATTATTATCATTTTTATTCAGCTACCCAATGTAGCTGTTCAATTCACTGTGATGATGGTATTGATAATGCACCTATTCAATATGCTGTCCAATTCAACTCACACATTTGTAATAAACGCCTAACCCTGATGTTGACTTTAGCAGTAACCACCCCACTGGGCCCTGATCACACTGTGCCCATGTGATTTTCCCCTTCATCAGCTCTCTTTACGTCAGAGACAGGCACATAATGGCCGTGCTAGGAGGGAAATCGGAATTCTTTTTGTATTCAAGGGGCATGCATCTTTCTTGGTTGGCCTACATAGGCAGGAGGCTATTTTCAAGCCTGATTTGAAGCCCATCTCATGTCAAACAATCCCAGTCTCTAGAAGAGGCTGTCCTTTAAATGTTGTGATCATGACAGAGCCTTGCCTAATAGTAGCTGGGACTGGAAGGGCTATCAGGGGCTGGGCTCTGAGCACCTGCCAGGTGATGGGGCGGGGGCCAAACATGACCTTGGCTTCATCAAGCCTCCACTTCCCCTAAGGATTCTGGGGAATACTCTTCAACAAACTTCTCATTGCCTCAAATGATGTTCAAGCCAGTTCCAAGTGTAGCTCCTGGCACATTCTCCCTGGAGAGCAGCAGCCACTGTCCACAACCATCTGTAGGCAAACCTGCTTGACAGGGTGTGGTAAGGCCAGCTGAACCTTGCTCTTCCTTGTCTTAGTTTTGTGATCTCAGGCAAGTCATTTAACCTTTCTACACATCAGTCTCTTCATCAGTAAAATGAGAATACCCACTTTCCACAGGTAAATGAAGGTTGAATGGAATAACTCCTAATTAGCCATCAACACACACTAGTTCCCTTTCCCCCTTCCCTTCAGACATACCTGCGCAGGGAACACACATAAGAAGACCCAGGGAAGAGAATGGTTATGAAAAGGCTTGGCAAATGGCAAAGGGAAAAGAAAGAAATGCTTTTGGGGCATTCACTGTGTGTCAGGCACTGTGCTAGTTGGATGCTTTACAGATGATATTTTATGCCACATTGTTTTTCATAGCAGCTACATCATTTTGCTGAATCCATTTTTAAAAATGATAAAATTGAGGTTCAGAGGCTAAGCAATAGGCATGAGACCACACATTTAGGAAGTGGCAGTAAGTGGCAGTCAGACATCATTCTGAGTCCTGTGTGCCATCACTGAGTAGTAATAAGAATATGGTTATGAAAGGACTTGGCAAATGATAAAGAGAAGAGAAAGAAACACTGTCAGGCACTGTATTAGGCTCTTTAGAGATGACATTTTATGTCATTCTCAGAATTACTCTGGAAAGAAGATATTACCTAATCCCCTTTTAAAACATTGAGGTAAAATACACATAATATAAAATTTACCATTTTAACCCTTTTCAAGTCTATACTTCAATGGCATTGAGTACATTCACACTACTGTGCTGCCATCACCATCATCCCTGTACAGAACTCTTCATCTTTCAAAATTGAAACTCCATACCCATTAGACAATAAAGCCCTATTCCCCCTTCCCTCCAGACCCTGGCAACCACCCTTCTACTTTCTGTCTCCATGAATTTGACTACTCTAGGTACCTCTTAAAAGTGGAATCATACATCATATGTCTTGTTGTGACTGGCTTATTTCACTTACATAATATTCTTCAGGTTGATCCACGTTGTAGCATGTGTCAGAATTCCCTTTCTTTTTCAAGGCTGAATAATACTTCGTTGCATATATATATGCTACATCTTATTGATCCATTCATCTGCCAATGGATACCCAGGTGGTTTGCACCTTTTTTGGCTATTGCAAATAATGCTGCTATGTCCATGGACATATAGACCTCTCTTTGAGACCCTGCTTTTAATTCTTTTGGGTTCCACTCAGAAGTACAATTGCTGGATCTATAGTAATTTCATTTTTAACTTTTTGAGGAATTGCCATACTGTTTTTCACTGTAGCTACAACATTTTACCTAATCCATTTTTAAAGATAATAAAATTGAGGTTCAGAGGCTAAGCAATAGGTATGAGATCACACATTTAGGAAGTGGTAGTCAGACATCATTCTAGGTCCTGGGTGCCCTCACTAAATAGCAGTTCCCAAAGCCAGGGCTCAGCCAAGTACATTAGAATCATCCAGCACACCTGTTAAGCAAATAAATTCCTGGGCCTCCATCCAGGTCTAGAGAAATAGAATTACTAGGGATGGGGCCTAGTAGTCTGTATTTTCAAAACAACAACAAAAAATAAGCTAAACAACCAACAAATGTCTGGGTATTTCTGGTGAGCATCTAGGTTTGATAATCATTATTATTGTGATAATCATTATCATTATTGTCCTTGTTGTTATAAAAATCATTGTCATAACAATTCCATACCCACTTCAGGTCATTGATTTATAACTATCTGAAAACAGTGGGAATGCAAGGATAATCAAGGAAAGAAAGTCTCAGAACTGGCTTTGCTCTCCAGCAACTGCTGGCTTTCAAAGGGGGACACATTTAGTATTCTAATCATCAAGGCATCAGCCAGGCGCCTGCCCAGACCTTTCTTAGATTCCTAACGCTCATTAAGCAGTTCAAACCAATGTGTTCCTAAGTAAGTGTGCGCAGAGGCAGGCTGTTGGCATTTTAATCTCATTAGTGAACTGAAGCCCTAAGAGGAAGTAGCCACAACAGCCTCTTGCTCCAATGGGGTAAGACTCTTCACACCCTGAGACTGGCAGCCCGCCCCTCTACTCTCTCCCATCTGTCCTCTCCAGATGTCCATCCTCTCCTGATCCTGGAGCAAAAGGCTCTGGTAAACTAGAGCTTGATGACTTGCAGGGCAGTGGCTGCAAATAGCTCGATAACCAGCTCAGGTAACCAGGCTGTCTATATCCCAGAATAGACATTGAATTATCTACCCCAGCCTGACATATTCCGTTGGCACCAGGCCACAGGCACTGCTCCCTGAATCCAACTGTCTGGGTCCCCTCCCCCATCAATACCCTTGATAGAAGCCAGACGAGGCTTTGAAGCCTTGGGAAGGAAGCATCCACAGGCATCTTCCCAGCACAAAGCCCTCATTGTTGGATGAAGAAGGCATGGGAGTAGAAGAGGGAGTGCTTGTCTATTGTCAACGCAGGACAGCTGAAAGGACTTCAGTGAAAAATGACCTTATAAACCAACAGATGAGGGAATATGCAAAATATGTAACTAGGACCATCTACTTCCCTAAGATAGAGATAGCTGAGGCTTTCTCTGCAAATGCTCATAGAAAAACACACAGTAACACCTGTACTCACTTATTCTGCTGAAATTAAATCAAGAGGCAAATGTAAAACAGATCCATCCATCCACCCATCTGTCTGTCTGTCCAGTTAATTGTTTTGTTCAATAAAACACTAACTTAGTGCCCACCATGGGCATGAACTAGGCTGGAAGGAACAACAATAATCAAAATCAGACGTTTCTAACTAGGGACACATTGTTACTGGTAGGATTTGGGCAGTAACAATGCTGAGGTCTCACCAAGCATTGTCTATAACTGAGTCCATGTCTTATGCAACATATGTAGGAGCTGTTATGATGAATACTCATTCAGTTAAAACATTGCTGAATCCACAGCAGCTTGTTGTCATTACATATTTTCCCAACAATAAAAGTGAAAAATATAAATACTAAATACTGGGAGATTTTGGACATGCTCTAGGCAGATAAAAGTGCAGAATCACAAAGTATGGTTTCATGAATGGAGATGATCACAACCAAAACCACTACCATAATAACTTACTATTATATGACAACAAATAAATAACTTACTATTTGTTGGGCATTATTCTAACTGCTTTACTTGTTAACCCCCACAGCAAATCTATGAGATAGACATTACTGTTATCCCATTTTGCAGATGATAAAACTGAGGCCTCGGGAGCTTATATAACTTGCCCAAAGTCACACATTAGTAATGGGAGAGCTTGGATTTAAACTCAGCTCCAGAGCGATTGCTTTTAACTATCTTTGTAATGGTAGTTGTGATCATATTGTCCAAAACACTCTTAGATGGGGAGACAGAGACTTAGAGAGGCCATGTGACATGCCCAAAGCCACACAATGAGCTCTGGAGGAGCTAGGGCTTTCCTGTCTTCCATTCTAGTTTTCTTGTTTACATAGGCTTTCTTGTTTACATAGGCTTTCTAGGAGCTTTCCTGTCTTCCATTCTAGTTTTCTTGTTTACATAGGCCAGACTTCACCCCAAAGTGGAAGTCAAAATAATCTGGGCTTGAGGACAAAGGAAAGGCAAGAGAGACCAGAAAGTTCAAGGTAAAACAAATGCTGTCTTTTTGTATAATCTGGAACACGGTTTTCTTTTCCTGGGTTGTTGCTTTGTCTAGGATTTCCTTGGGAGAAACCCCTGACACATGGGAAGGAAGACTCAGGCTGTACTGAAAAGACTCTGGGTTCCCAGCCAAGTAGCTTTATTTTAGGCATAAAGGACCATGCGGCGGAGTAGCCCAGCTCTTCCCTGGCCCACACAAGACTTCATTTCTCTCTAATTAGCATCTCACAGTTGCACAGCCAGGAAGCCCTAGGAATGAGGGCCCTGTTCCTCTGAGCAAGTAGTGTCCAATTACATCCCAGTGATCTGTCTGTGGCCACTGCAGCCATGCCAGACTGCACAGTTGGCTCAGGAACCCATCGTTTGCTGGAGGACAGGTCTTAGGGAGGCAGCAGGTGGTGGTGGAAAGAGTTTGGAGTTTAACAATACTGGATAGGAATTCTGGACCCACTGCACACTGGCTGTCTGACCATGGACAAGTTTCCTCACTATTCTAGGACCAGTTTCTGAATCTATAAAATGAGGATAATACCTTTCTTGTTTATGAGTGAACATATGCAAAGCACCTGGCACAGTTTTGCTCTGAAAAATGAGAATATAAGAATAGATTGATGTTGTCCAAACCTTTTATCATAGGATAACCACTTTTTGTTTCCCCACCGCTCAAGAAAAATACTAAGGTAAAATTTCAATGTCTAACAGAGATTCAGGATTGCTGCTGGTTGGTGAGGGGTTTGTGGGGTTCAGGGTTCTGCTTAAAAATGTGTCTCCTTTCTTCCTACAGTGGGCCTTGAGGTTCCTCTAGGGAATGCAATTTGACCAGGTGATTGCTAGTCCCCTTTTAATGTTAATTAATAAAAATAATGCAAGGAAATAAGGAAGGAAGGAGGGAAAGAAAGGAGGAAGGGAAAGCACTCTTTTCTTTTATCACTGGGAGATTTATATTTGTCGGGCACTGTTACTAAGAAGAGAATGGAGCTAATCGTCCACTAGAGAAGTTGGAGCCTGGACAGCCCATTTAAAGATTAAAAGGTGATTTTTAAAAAGTGGGGTTCTATGGGAACACAAAGCAGGGGGTCTGATTGAGTTTAGCAATCAAGGAAGCTGAGACTTGGAAGATGAGAGATGTCCGCTGGGACTAGCTTAGCAATGGCGGTACAGAGAGGGGACTGGATTCATGACCTTTTGGAGATAGCATCTCTAGGCCTTGGTGACTGACTGGATATGGGGTCATGACAGTAAAGGGTGCTACCAAAAAACGATACCCAGGTTTCTGGCCTGTAAGCCAGGTTTGAAGCTGAAAGTAGGGCATAAAAAGAACAAGAGTCCACTGCCTCCATGATCAGATCCAACAAGATCCAACTGGTACCCCTTGTCCACTGCCCACACAACTGTCCATCCTTCCCCCACTAAAGGAACTGATTCCCACCACACCCTGTGAAAAGCATTAAGGTCAGGAGAACTCTACACAGTCTAGAAAACATCTGTAGGCAGAGGTATTTCTGGAAAGTACAGCAACTGCTTGCAGTAAATTAATAATAGATGTGCTGGACTCCCTCAGAAATATTTACCCAGCCTGCATGGTTAAGCACCAATAACCGGGAAGGGAACCTGAGCCTTACCTCAAACAGCCCTGACTACTGGAAATGAAGCAACGTCATCCTGGCTCTTCCTGATGCCAGTGGGGGCAGAAAACAAATTTGCAGAGTGCCTCACTCAGGAATATGAGAATCTTCAGTCTGCTGGGAAACGTTGGGAAAGGGAACTCAGACCCTGGGAGGTAAACACTGGAATAAGACAATAGATGAGGACTGTCTCATGTATCTTATGCTTACATAGTGCTTACTATGGGCCAGGACCAAACCTATATTAACACATTTAATCCTGGGCGTTATTGAGCTGGACACTAAATAGTTATAGCACTATTTTTAGGCCCATTTTACAGCTGAAAATACTGAGATATTGAAAAGTTACGACAACTTTCCCAAGGAACTAGCTAGGAAGTGATGGAGCTGGGGTTCAACCCAGGTAGTCTGGCCCCAAGGTATATGCCCTAAACCACTTTGCTTTGGCTGCCCCTTGTTGCCAGTAGTCAAGAGAGGGGGTCAAGTCAGAGGAAAAAGGCCCTACATTAAACTGCCAAAAGTACACTTGGACGACACCCTGCTATATGCATCCTCTCTGTCTCCAGCCTCTGTTGAGAACTCTGGACTCTTCTCTCCAGACAAACGCAGTAGCCCCTTTTTTTTTTTTTTTTATTAAGAATTTACTGAGCACTCACTGGGGGACAGAGACTGTGCTAGGCTTGGACTGGGCCTTGTGCAATGCACACAAAATGTCCCTTTTCGGGGAAGCCCCATCCTCTCTCCTTCCTTAGAGCTCTAACCTAGCCTTCAGGCCATTCTCTAGGATGAACTGAAGAACAGAGGGGTTTGAATAAACACGCAAAAGGGATTCTGGGGCAAATAAGTTTGGGAAACATGAGGCTAGCACCCTTACTGCAGGCCTTCTCAGAGCCTTTAGTGTGCTAGTGGCCCTGAGATCAACCAAGAGGAGTCAGTGTACAGGGCTTCTCAGATCACTCAACAGGGAAAACTTTCTTTTTCTTCTTCTTCTTTTTTTAAACCCATTTTATAGGGCTGATGTATCACAGAACACAGCTTGGGAGCCTGGGATATTTTGTCCTACAATAATACCTACTATGTCAAATTCATATTGGGTTTTGACTGTGGGTCCGTTGGCAGGACTCTGAGGCTGGGTACTTTGTCCTGCATCTCTGCCAAGCTCCTGCCTTCAGCCAGGCCTAAATCAGAAGAGTTCTCTGCAAGTTTTCTTCCACAATGGTGTGATGGTTAATATTGAGTGCCAACTTGATTGGATTGAAGGATACAAAGTATTATTCCTGGGTGTGTGTGTGAGGGTGTTGCCAAAGGAGATTAACATTTGAGTCAGTGGGCTGGGAAAGGCAGACCCACCCTTAATATGGATTGGCAAAATCTAATCAGCTTCCTGGCTAGAATATAAGCAGGCAGAAAAATGTGAAAGGAGGGACTGGCCTAGCCTCCCAGCCTACATCTTTCTCCTGTGCTGGATGCTTCCTGGCCTCAAAAATCGGACTCCACGTTCTTCAGTTTTGGAAGCTGGACTGGCTCTCTTTGCTCCTCAGCCTGCAGACAGCCTATTGTGGGATCTTGTGACAGTGTGAGTTAATACTTAATAGACTACCCTTATCATATATATATGTGTGTGTGTGTATATATACATACATATGCACGTATATATATATATGTGTGTGTGTGTGTGTGTGTGTGTGTGTGTATACATACATATATATATCTAGAACCACTCCTGGTACCAAAATCTGTATTAGGGTTCTCTAGAGGGACAGAACTAATCAAATATATATATATATATACACATATATATGTGTATATATATGTATATGTATGTGTATATATATGTATATGTATGTGTGTGTATATATATACACATATGTATATATATGTATATGTATGTGTATATATGTATATGTATATGTGTGTGTGTGTGTGTGTGTGTGTGTGTATGTATATATATATATTTGATTAGTTCTGTCCCTCTAGAAAACCCTAATACAGATTTTGGGACCAGGAGTGGTTCTAGAGAAATAGAATATTAAGGATGGAGTATTTTGGTGGTTTCAGGGTTTCTGGAATTGGTTGCTTAATATGATTAGACCCCAAAATGCTAAGGACTCTACTTCTAATCCTGTGGAGAACACTGATAGTCCTTGGTGTGAACTGTTTACAGACTTATGCAAAATAAATCCATTTGACACTCCTGATTCATTGCTCGTGAGAAGCAAGGGGTTTAGTGACTCTATACCTAATACTTTTGAACATATGTGGAGAGCTAAGGAACATAATGAAGCTGGTTGGTTGCTCTTAAGTTCAGTAGACAAAGTGATGAAAGAAAGTAATGAACTCAGGGATTCCATCTCCTGGCTTCAGAAGCAGATAGTGAGCCTCAAATCTGTTAAGACTGCCCTGAATGAGAGTCTTATCTCCTGCAGGGAAAGAGCTGAAATTGTGGAAAAACAGACACAAGCTCTTATCATGTGAGTGGCTGACCTGCAACAAAAGATGCATGCACAGCCTCACCAGGTGTCTACGGTTAAAGTGAAGGCATTGATTGAAAAAGAATGGGACCCTGCAACTTGGAATGGGGGGTGTGTGGGACGACCCTGATGAAGCTGGGGATTCTGAGTTTGTAAACTCTGATGAACTTTTTTGCCAGAAGAAACAGCTTCCCCATCCCCAGTAGTGGCAACATTCCCTCCCTGACCCATGCTGCCCCATCAGCCTTTCCATCTTTGTCTGAGGACATAAACCCTGAGCTGCCTGAGGCAACAGTGATGGCCTCCCCTGAGGCAGTTGCCAGGCAAGATAATGTTGACTCTCTTCAGGAGCCACCCCCAACACCCCTGTTTGCTTCTAGACCTATAACTAAAGTCCCAGCGAGCCCCTAGAGGTGAGGATGAGAGTGTGACCCATGAGGAAGTGCGCTACACTCAAAAAGAACTGCTTGAGTTTTCTAATTTATATAAACAGAAATCTGGAGAACAGGCATGGGAACGGATATTAAGGGTGTAGGATAATGGTAGAAGAAACAGAGTTTAATCAGGCTGAATTTATTGATTTGGGCCCACTAAGTAGGGAATCTGCATTTAATGTTGCAGCTTGGAGAATTAAAAAAGGTTCTAATAGTTTATTTGCTTGGTTAGCTGAAATATGGATTAAAAGATGGCCCACTGTGAGTTAGCTGGAAATGCTTGATCTCCCTTGGTTTAATGTAGAGGAAGGGATCCAAAGGCTTAGGGAGATTGGGATGGTGGAGTGAATTAGTCACTTTAGACCTACTCATCCCAGTTGGGAGGGTTCAAAAGATATACCCTTGACCAATGCTTGTGAAATAGATTTGTGAGGGCAGCACCTGCATCTTTAAAGAGCCCTGTAATTGCTCATCTCTGTATGTCAGATCTAACAGTGGGAACCACAGTCACTCAACTACAAAATTTAAATATAGTGGGAATAATTGGATCCCAAGGTGGCAGGGGCCAAGTGGCGGCACTCAACTGTCAAAGGCAAGGTGGGCATTGCTACCTTAATGGACAGCAGAGGCAAAGTGGAAATCAGAATAGTCTGATTTGTGTAGAGCTCTGGCATTGGCTAATTTATCATGGTGTTACTAGAAGTGAAACTGATAGGAAGCCTACTGCATTCCTATGTAATTTATACAAGTAGAAAAATTCTAGGTCGAATGGACAAAAGACTAATTTGAATAATAAAAAAACAGAGAATCATGGCCCCTCAATCAATTTCCAGACTTGTGCCAGTTTACAGACCCTGACCCCTTGAATGAAGGGGGAGGCCAGCTCTGCTTGAGGAAGGACCCTACTACATTATCAACAATTTATCCAGTGAATCTTTCTCCCATCCTTCCCCAAGGAGACATCTGGCCTTTTACTACAGTAATTGTGCACTGGAGAAAGGGAAATGATCAGACATTTTGGGGACTACTGGACACTGGCTCTGAGCTGATGCTGACTCCAGGGGACCCAAAACATCATTGTGATCCTCCAGTTAAAGTAGGCGCTTATGGAGGTCAGATAATTAATGGAGTTTTAGCTCAGATCTGACTTATAGTGGGTCCAGTGGGTTCCCCCACTCATCCTGTTGCCATTTCCCCAGTGCTAGAATGCATAATTGGCATAGACAAACTTAGTAGCTAGCAGAACTCCCACATTGGCTCCCTGACTGGTAGTGTGAGGGCTATTATGGTAGGAAAGGCCAAATGGAAGCCATTAGAGCTGTCTCTACCTAGAAAAACAGTAAATCCAAAATAATATCCATCCCTGCAGGGATTGCAGAGATTAGTGACACCATCAAGGACTTGAAAGATGCAGGGGTGGTGATTCCCACCACATTCCTGTTCAACTCTCTCATTTGGCCTGTGCAGAAGACAGATGGATCTTGGAGAATAATAGTGGATTATTGTAAACTTAACCAAGTAGTGACTCCAATTGCAGCTGCTGCACCAGATGTGGTTTTGTTGCTTGAGTAAATTCACACATCTCCTGGTACCTGGTATGCAGCCATTGACTTGGCAAATACTTTTTTTTCCATTCCTGTCCATAAGCCCCAACAGAAGCAATTTGCCTTCAGCTGGCAAGGCCAGCAATATGCTTTTACTGTCCTACCTCAGGGGTATATCAACTCTCCAGCTTTGTTTCATAATCTTATTCGGGGAGACCTTGATCACTTTTTGCTTCAGCAGGATATCACACTGGTCCATTACATTGATGACCTTATGCTGATCGGATCCAGTGGGCAAGAAGTAGGAAACATGCTGGACTTATTGGTGAGACATTTGCATGCCAGAGAATGGGAAATAAATCCAACTAAAATTCAGTGACCTTCTACATCAGTAAAATTTCTAGGAGTCCAGTGGTATGGGGCCTGTCAAGATATTCCTTCAAGGTGAAGGATAAGTTGCTGCATTTGACCCCTCCTACAACCAAGAAAGAGGCACAATGCCTAGTGGGCCTATTTGGATTTTGGAGGCAAGACATTCCTCATCTGGGTGTGTTACTCCAGCCCATTTATTGAGTGACCCAAAAGGCTGCCAGTTTTGAGTGGGGTCCAGAAAAGAAGGGTCTGCAACAGGTCCAGGCTGCTGTGCAAGCTGGGCCAGATGACCCAGCAGATCCAATGGTGCTTGAGGTGTCAGTGGCAGATAGGGATGATGTTTGGAGCCTTTGGCAGGCCCTCATAAGTAAATCACAGCAGAGGCCTCTAGGATTTTAGAGCAAAGCCCTGGCATCTTCTGCAGATAACTACTCTCCTTTTGAGAGACAGCTCTTGGCCTGTTACTGGGCTTTGGTGGAAACTGAACATTTGACTATGGGTCATCAAGTCACCATGAAACCTGTACTGTCTATCATGAACTGGGTGCTTTCAGACCCATCTATCCATAAAGTGGCTCATGCACAGCAGCATTCCATCATCAAAAGGAAATGGTATATACGTGATTGGGCTTGAGCAGGTCCTGAAGGCACAAATAAGTTACATGAGGAAGTGGCTCAAATGCCCACGGTCTCCACTCCAGCCACCCTGCCTTCTCTCCCCGAGCCTGCACCAGTGGCCTCATGGGGAGTTAGTTCCCTATGATCAGTTGACAGAAGAAGAGAAGACTAGGGCCTGGTTCACTGATGATTCTGCATGATATGCATGCACCACCTGGAAGTGGACAGCTGCAGCACTACAGCCCCTTTTGAAAGGATATCTCTGAAGGACAGCAGTGAAGGGAAATCTTCCCAGTGGGCAGAACTTTGAGCAGTGCACCTAAACAGTGTGCACTTTGCATGGAAGGAGAAATGACCAGATGTGTGATTATATATGATTCATGGGGTGTAGCAAATGGTCTGGCTGGATGGTCAGGGACTTGGAAGAAGCATGATTGGAAAATTGGTGACAAAAAAATTTGAGGGACTCAAATGGACAGAGCAGTATGCAGAGGCTTGCACTGTGAACTTTAGCTCCAGATTGACTACAAGAACAAACCAGCAATCCTGAGAGGATCCACAAACCCTCTGAAGGAAGCAGACAGCTCCTGCAGGACCTGGGAGATACCCCAAATACTGTGAGTGCCCCAACTGCAGAAGGGGGAAAGGGAGAGCCTCCTCTCCTGAACACATACCCCCACTGGAGAAACTGAAGTTCTGTTTGTGGGAGAAGTTTCTGACCTTACCTGGAACTAAGCCAATTTAGAGAGCTGAGCAAAATACAGGGGTAGAGGAAGCAGCAGAAAGGCCCTGGGAGCTTGCTGGGAGCCCAAGCAGGCCATTCCTGCCTGGCACCAGAGGGATCCATTGGGAGGGTGGCCAGAGGTGGCGGGGTGGGTTGGGGGAACTCCACAGGGAGAAGGAAATCTCCAGCTGAACTCTGTAACAATTTGAACGGGGTGAGAAGGCTCCTGGCCAGAACTTGGGGGAGGGCACAAATCTGGTGTGCAGACTCCACAGGCGGAGGAAGAACCAAGCCCTTTTCTTTTGCAGCTGGGAAGTGGGTAGCCTGGGGCAAGTTTTCAAGCCCAGCTCGCCCACCACCTGGAAACAGACTCGGTGCTGTTTGTTGGGGGGTAGGGAGAGCATGGTGGGAGTGAGACTGGCCCTTGGGTTTGCATGGGAGCTGGGTGAGGCCTGTGATTGCTGGCTTTCCCCAGCTTCCCTGACAACTTGCATGGCTCAGCAGGGGCAGCCATAGTCCGCCCAGGTACACAACTCCAGTGACTTGGGAATCTCACCCCCATCCCCTACAGCAGCCACAGCAAGACCCACCCAAGGAGAGTCTGAGCTCAGACATGCCTAGCCCTGCCCCCGACCTGATGGTCCTTTCGTACCCACCCTGGTAGTGGAAGACAAAGAGCATTTAATCGTGGGAGTTCTAGAGCCCCACCCACCGCTGGTTCCTCATCATACTACCACAGCTGAGGCTCTCTGGAAAGTGTCACCTCCTGGCAGGAGGCCAAAAACCACCAAAATACAGCATTAAACTACCAAAGCTAAGAACCCTCACAGAGTCCATTGCAACCCCCTGCCACCTCCACTGGAACAGGCACTGGTATACACCACTGAGAGACCCATAGATAGTTCATATCACAAGACTCTTTGCAGACAACTCCCAGTACCAGCCTGGAGCTGGGTAGACTTGCTGGGTGGCTAGACCCAGAAGAGAGACAACAATCATTGCAGTTCGGCTTACAGGAGCGCACATCCATAGGAAAAGGGGGAGAGTACTACATCAAGGGAACACCCTGTGGGACAAAAGAATCTGAACAACAGCCTCCAGCCCAAGATCTTCCCTCTGACAGAGGCTACCCAAATGAGAAGAAAACAGAAAACCAACTCTGATAATATGACAAAACAATGATCTTTAACACCCCCCAAAAATCACACGAGTTCACTAGCAATGGATCTAAACCAAGAAGAAATCCCTGATGTACCTGAAAAAGAAGTCAGGAGGTTAGTCATTAAGCTAATCAGGGAGGGACCAGAGAAAGGCAAAGCCCAATGCAAAGGAAAAAAAAAATACAAGAAGTGAAGGGAGAAATATTCAAGGAAACAGACAGCTTAAAAGAAAAACAGTCCAGGTGCAGTGGCTCATGCCTGTAATCCCAGCACTTTGGGAGGCCAAGGCGGGTGGATCACGAGATCAGGAGATCGAGACCATCCTGGCTAACATGGTGAAACACCATCTCTACTAAAAATACAAAAAATTAGCTGGGCGTGGTGACAGGTGCCTGTGGTCCTAGCTACTTGGGAGGCTGAGGCAGGAGAATGGTGTGAACTCGGGGGGCGGAGCTTGCAGTGAGCCGAGATTGCACCACTGCACTCCAGCCTGGGCAACAGAGTGAGACTCCATCTCAGAAAAGAAAAAACAATCAAATTTCAGGAAACATTGGACACACTTATCAAAATGCAAAATGCTCTGGAAAGTCTCAACAATGGAATTGAACAAGTAGAAGAAAGAAATTCAGAGCATGAAGACAAGGTCTTAGAATTAACCTAATCCAACAAAGACAAAGAAAAAATAATAAGAAAATATGAACAAAGTCTCCAAGAAGTCTAGGATTATGTTAAATGATGAAACCTAAGAATAATCAGCGTTCCTGAGAAAGAAAAGAAAACTAAAAGCTTGGAAAACATATTTGGGGGAATAATTGAGGAAAACTTCCCTGGCCTTGCTAGAGAACTGAGCCATCCAAATACAAGAAATACAAAAAACACCTGGAGAATTCATCGCAAAAAGATTGCCTCGGCACATTGTCATCGGGTTATCCAAAGTTAAGACGAAGGAAAGAATCTTAAGAGCTGTGAGACAGAAACACGAGGTAACCTATAAGGGAAAATCTATCAGAGTAACAGGAGATTTCTCAGCAGAAACCATACAAGCCAGAAGGGACTGGGGCTCTATCTTCAGCCTCCTCAAACAAAACAATTATCAGCCAAGAATTTTGTATCCAGCAAAACTAAGCATCATATATGAAGGAAAGGTACAGTCTTTTTCAGACAAACAAATACTAAGAGAATTTGCCGCTACCCAGCTACCACTACAAGAACTACTAAAGGGAGCTCTAAATCTTGAAACAACTCCTGGAAACACATCAAAACAGAACTTCTTTAAAGCATAAATCACACAGAACCTATAAAACAAAAATACAAGTTAAAAAGCAAAAACAAAAAACAAAGTACACTGGCAACAAATAGCACGATGAATGCAATGCTGTCTCACATCTCAATACTAACATTGAATGTAAATGGCCTAAATGCTCCACTTAAAAGATACAGAACCGCAGGGTGGATAAAAACTCACCAACCATCTGCTGCCTTCAGTCCTTACCTAGCAGTAAGGACTCACATAAATTTAAAGTAAAGGGGTGGGAAAAGGCATTTCATACAAATGGACACCAAAAGCCAGCAGGGGTAGCTATTCTTATATCAGACAAAACAAACTTTAAAGCAACAGAAGTTAAAAGAGACAGAGGGACATTATATAATGGTAAAAGGCCTTGTCCAACAGGAAAATATCACAATCCTAAACATATATGCACCTAGCACTGGGGCTCCCAAATTAAAACAATTACTAATAGACCTACGAAATAAGGCTAGGCATGGTGGCTCCTGCCTGGAATCTCAGCACTTTGGGAGGCCAAGGTGGGCGGATCACGAGGTCAGGAGATCGAGACCACCCTGGCTAACACAGTGAAACCCTGTCTCTACTAAAAATACAAAAAAAAAATGAGCCGGGCGCGGTGGTGGGTGCCTGTAGTCCCAGCTACTCAGGAGGCTGAGGCAGGAGAATAGCGTGAACCTGGGAGGCGGAGCTTGCAGTGAGCTGAGATAGCGCCACTGCAGTCTGGCCTGGGAGAAAGAGCAAGACTCCAACTCAAAAAAAAAAAAAAAAAGAGAAATGAGATAGACAGCAACACAATAATAGTGGGGGACTTCAGTACTCCACTGACAGCACTAGACAGGTCATCAAGACAGAAAGTCAGCAAAGAAGCAATGGATTTAAACTATACCTTGGAACAAATGGACTTAATAGTTATATACAGAACATTTCATCCAACAACCACAGAATACACATTCTATTCAACAGCACATGGAACTTTCTCCAAGATAAGCCACATGATAGGCCATAAAATGAGCCTCAATAAATTTAAGAAAATTTAAATTATATCGAGCTCTGTCTCAGACTGCAGTGGAATAAAATTGGAAATCAACTCCAAAAGGAAACTTTAAAACCATGAAAAAAACATGGAAATTAAATAACCTGCCTCTGAATGAGCACTGAGTCAAAAATGAAATCAAGATGGAAATTTAAAAATTCTTCGAACTTAACGACAATAATGACACAACCTATCAACACCTCTGGGATATGACAAAGGTGGTGCTAAGAGGAAAGTTCATAGCCCTAAACACCTACATCAAAAAACACTGAAAGAGCACAAACTGACATTCTAAGGTCATACCTCAAGGAACTAGAGAAACAAGAACAAATCAAACCCAAACCCAGCATAAGTAAGGAAATAACCAAGATCAGAACAGAACTAAATGAAATTGAAACAAAGAAACAAAAAATACAAAAGATAAATGAAACAAAAAGCTTATTTTTGAAAAGATAAAGAAAACTGATAGACCTCTAACAAGATTAACCAAGAAAAGAAGAGAGAAAATCCAAATAACCTCACTAAGAAACAAAACAGGAGATATTACAACTGACACCACTGAAATACAAAAGATCATCCAAGGCTATTGTGAACAGCTTTATGCACTTAAACTAGAAAACCTAGAAGAGATAAATAAATTCCTGGAAAAATGCAACCCTCCCAGCTTAAGTCAGAAAGAACTGGCTATCCTGAACAGACCAATAACAAGTAGCGAAACTGCAATGATAATTAAAAAATTACCAACAACAAAGAAGTCCAGCACCAGATGGATTCACAGCAGAATTCTACCAGACAGTCAAAGAAGAATAGGTACCAATCCTTTTGACACTATTCCACAAGATCGAGAAAGAAGGAACCCTCCCTAATTCATTCTATGAAGCCAGCACCACCCTAACCCAAAATCAGGAAAGGACATAACCAAAAAAGAAAACTATGGACCAATAATCTTAATGAACATAGATGCTAAAATCCTTAATAAAATACTAGCTAACCAAATCCAACAACATATGAAAAAAAAATAATTCACCTGATCAAGTGGGTTTCACACCAGGGATGCAGGGATGGTTTAACATAAGCAAGTCAATAAATGTGCTACACCACGTAAACAGAATTAAAAATCACATGATCATTTCAATAGATGCAGAAAAAGCATTTGACAAAATTCAGCATCCCTTTATGATTAAAACACTCAGCAAAATCAGCATACAAGGGAGATACCTCAATGTAATAAAAGCCATCTATGACAAACCCACAGACAACATAATATTGAATAGGGAAAAGTTGAAAGCATTCCTTCTGAGAACTGGAATAAGACAAGGAAGCCCACTCTCATCACTCTTCTTCAACACAACACTGGAATTCCTAGCCAGAGCAATCAGTCAAGAGAGAGAAATAAAGGGCTTCCAAATCAGTAAAGAGAAAGCCAAACTGTCACTGTTTGCTGAAGATATGATTGTTTACCTTGAAAGCCCTAAAGACTCCTCCAGAAAGCTCCTAGAACTGATAAAAGAATTCAGCAAAGTTTCCAGATAGAAGATTAATATATACAAATTAGTAGCTCTTCTATACACCAACAGCGACCAAGTGGAGAATAAAATCAGGAACTCAACTCCTTTTACAATAGCTGCAAAAAAATAACATACTTAGGAATCTGCCTAACCAAGGAGTCAAAAGATCTCTACAAGGAAAACTACACAACACTGCTGAAAGAAATCATAGATGACACAAATAAATGGAAACACATTCCATGCTCATGAATGGGGAAAATCAATATTGTGAAAATGATCATACTGCCAAAAGCAATCTAAAAATTCAACCCAATTCCCATCAAAATACTACCATCATTCTTCACAGAACTAGAAAAAACAATTCTAAAATTCATATGGAACAGAAAAAGAGCCTGCATAGCCAAAGCAAGACTAAGCAAAAAGAACAAATCTGGAGGCATCACACTGCCTGATTTCAAACTATATTATAAGGCCATAGTCACCAAAACAGTGTGGAACTGGTATAAAAATAGGCACATAGACCAACGGAACAGAATAGAGAACCCAGAAATAAACCCAAATACTTACAGCTAACTGATCTTCGACAAAGCAAACAAATATAAAGTGGAGAAAGGACAACCTATTCAACACATGGTGCTGGGATAATTGGCTAGCGACATGTAGGAGAATGAAACTGGGTCCTCATCTCTCACTTATACAAAAATCAACTCAAGATGGATTAAGGACTTAAATCTAAGACCTAAAACTATAAAAATTCTAGAAGATAACATTGGAAAAACCCTTCTAGAAATTGGCTTAGGCAAGGATTTCATGACCAAGAACCCAAAAGCAAATACAGTAAAAACAAAGATAAATAGCTGGGACCTAATTAAACTAAACAGCTTTTGCACAGCAAAAGGAACAGTCAGCAGAGTAAACAGACAACTCACAGAGTGGGAGAAAATCTTCACCATCTGTACACCTGACAAAGGACTAATATCCAGAATCTACAATGAACTTAAACAAATCAGTAAGCAAAAAACAAATAATCCTATCAAAAAGTGGGCTAAGGACACGAACAGGCAATTCTCAAAAGAAGATATATGAAGGGCCAACAAACATATGAAAAAATGCTCAATATCGCTAGTGATCAGGGAAATGCAAATCAAAACCACAATGTGATACCACCTTACTCCTGCAAGAATGGCCATAATCAAAAAATAAAAAAAAAACCCAGTAGATATTGGTGTGGATGTGGTGATCAGGGAACACTTCTACACTGCTGGTGGGAATGTAAACTAGTACAGCCACTATGGAAAACAGTGTGGAGATTCCTTAAAGAACTAAAAGTAGAACTACCATTTGACCAATGAATCCCACTAGTGGGTATCTACCCAGAGGAAAATAAGTCATTATACAAAAAAGATACTTGCACATGCATGTTTATAGCAGCACAATTCACAATTGCAAAATTGTAGAACCAGCCCAAATGCCCATCAATCAACCAGTGGATAAAGTAACTGTGATATACATATCATATATATACACACACATATATGATATATCATATATGTATGATATATATGATACATCATACATATATGATCATACATATATGATATATACATCATATATACATATATGTATATATCATATATACATATATATGATATATATCATTATATATGTATGATATATATATTCCATCATATATATCATATATATGATGGAATACAACTCAGCATTAAAAAAATGAATTAACAGCATTTGCAGAAATCTGGATGAGATTGGAGACTATTATTCTAAGTGAAGAAACTCAGGAATGGAAAACCAAACATTGTATGTTCTCACTGGTATGAGGGAGCTAAGCTATGAGGATTCAAAGGCATAACAATGATACAATGGATTTTGGGAACTTATGGGGAAGAGTGGGTTGGGGGCAAGGGATAAAAGGCTACAAATATGGTGCAGTATATACTGCTTGGGTGATGAGTGCACCAAAATCTCACAAATCACCACTAAAGAACTTATTCATGTAACCAAATACTAGCTGTACCCCAATAACTTATTGAAATATAATAATAATAAAAACAAATTTGGGGAAGAGGTATGTGATGGACCTCTTTGAGTGATCAAAAGCTGTGAAGATATCTGCATCCCATGTAAGTGCTCACCAATGGGTGACCTCAGCAGAGGAGGATTTTAATAATCAAGTGGATAGGATGATCCATTCTATGAACACCACTCAGCCTCTTTCTCTAGCCACCCCTGTCATCGCCCAGTGGGCCCATGAACAATGTGGCCATGGTGGCAGGGATGGAGGTTATGCATGAGCTCAGCAACATGTACTTACACTCACCAAGAGTGGCTACAGCCACTGCTGAGTGCCCAATTTCCCAGCAGCAGAGAACAACACTGAGCTCTCAATATGGCACCATTCCTCAGGATTATTAGCCAGCTACCTAGTGGCGGGTTGATTATACTGGACCTCTTCCATCATGGAAAAGGCAGAGGTTTGTTCTCACTGGAACAGATACTTGCTCCGGATATGGGTTTGCCTATCCTTCACGCAATGCTTCTGCCAAGACTACCATCCATGGACTCACAGAATGCCTTATCCACTGTCATGGTATTCCACTCAGCATTGCCTCTGACCAAGGCACTCACTTTATGGCTAAAGAAGTGTGACAGTGGGCTCATGCTCATGGAATTCACTGGTCTTACCATGCTCCCTATCATCCTAAAGCAGCTGGATTGATAGAATGGTGGAATGGCCTTTTGAAGTCACAGTTACAAAGCCAACTAGGTGACAATACTTTGCAGGGCTGGGGCAAAGTTCTGCAGAAGGCCGTGTATGCTCTGAATCAGCATCCAATCTATGGCACTGTTTCTCCCATAGCCAGGATTCATGTTTCCAGGAATCAGGGGGTGGAAGTGGCACCACTCACCATTACCCCTGGTGATCCACTGGCAAAAATTTTACTTCCTGTTCCTGTGACATTATGTTCTGCTGGCCTAGAGGTTTTAGTTCCAGAGGGAGGAGCACTGCTATCAAAAGACACAACGATTCCATTAAAGTGGAAGTTAAGATTGCCACCTGGACATTTTGAGCTCCTTCCACCTTTAAGTCAACAGGCTAAGAAGGGAGTTACAGTGTTGGCTGGGGTGACTGACCTGGATTATCAAGATGAAATCAGTCTGCTACTCCACAACGGAGGTAAGGAAGAGTATGCATGGAATACAGGAGATCCATTAGGGCATCTCTTAGTATTACTCTGCCCTGTGATTAAGGTCAATGGAAAACTACGACAGACCAATCCAGGCAGACTACAAATGAACCAGACCCCTCAGGAATGAAGGTTTGGATCATGCCACCAGGCAAAAAAACCCACAAGGTGCTTGCTGAAGGCAAAGGGAATACAGAATGTGTAGTAGAAGAAGGTTGTCATTAATACCAGTTACAACCGCGTGACCAGCTGCCGAAATGAGGACTGTAATTGTTGTAAGTATTTCCTCTTTCTTTTGTTAAAAACACGTCTGCGCATATATACGCTTGTACTAAGAAAATACTTTCATTTTATTTCCTTTCTCCTTTATCATGTGACATAAGATTTATTAACTTCACGTCAACATTTAAGTGTTGTTAACTTTATGTAATAGCATTTGGGTTGGGGATTGGTGCGTCTCCAGTTGTATGAAGGATTGTTGTTTTATGTTAGGCATAATTATGACCTTATTATTGTCTTTATTTGAAGATTATGTATGATCTCAAGAGATGTGCATGGGTTCAGGTTGACAAGGGGTGGACTTGTGATTGTTAATACTGAGTGTCAACTTGATTGGATTGAAGGATACAAAGTACTGATCCTGGGTGTGTGTGTGAGGGTGTTGCCAAAGGAGGTTAATATTTGAGTCAGTGGGCTGGGAAAAGCAGACCCACACTTAATCTGGGTGGGCACAATCTAATCAGTTGCCAGCATGGCTAGAATATAAGCCGGCAGAAAAATGTAAAAAGAGAGACTGGCCTAGTCTCCCAGCCTACATCTTTCTCTCATGCTGGATGCTTCCTGCCCTCAAATATCGGACTCCAAATTCTTCAGTTTTGGAACTTGGACTGGCTCGCTTTGCTCTTCAGCCTGCAGATGGCCTATTGTGGGACCTTGTGATGGTGTGAGTTAATACTTAATAAACTCCCCTTTATATATATATATATATATTATATATATAATATATAAAAATATATAATATATAATATAAATATAATATATATTATATAATATAGTTATATATAAATAAAATATATATTATATTATATATAAATATATATTATATTTATATATAATATATTTTAATATATTATATACAAATAATATATATTTATACATAATATATTAAAATATATTATATTTATACATAATATATTAAAATATATTATATTTATATAAATACATAAAACATATATTTATATAAATACATAAAACATATATTATATTTATATAAATACATAAAACATATATTATATTTATATAAATACATAAAACATATATTATATTTATATAAATACATAAAACATACATTATATTTATATAAATACATAAAACATACATTATATTTATATAAATACATAAAACATACATTATATTTATATAAATACATAAAACATACATTATATTTATATAAATACATAAAACATACATATTTATATAAATATACAAAACATACATTATATTTATATAAATATACAAAATATACCTTATATTTATATAAATATATAAAATATATATTATATTTCTATAAATATATATTACATTTCCATAAATATATAAAATATATATTATATTTCCATAAATATATAAAATATATATTATATTTCTATAAATATATAAAATATATATTATATTTCTATAAATATATATTATATTTCTATAAATATATAAAATATATATTATATTTCTATAAATATATATTATATTTCTATAAATATATAAAATATATATTATATTTCTATAAATATATATTATATTTCTATAAATATATAAAATATATATTATATTTCTATAAATATATAAAATATATATTATATTTCTATAAATATATAAAATATATATTATATTTCTATAAATATATAAAATATATATTATATTTCTATAAATATATAAAATATATATTATATTTCTATAAATATATAAAATATATATTATATTTCTATAAATATATAAAATATATATTATATTTCTATAAATATATAAAATATATATTATATTTCTATAAATATATAAAATATATATTATATTTCTAGAAATATATAAAATATATATTATATTTCTAGAAATATATAAAATATATATTATATTTCTAGAAATATATAAAATATATATTATATTTCTAGAAATATATAAAATATATATTATATTTCTAGAAATATATAAAATATATATTATATTTATAGAAATATATAAAATATATATTATATTTCTAGAAATATATAAAATATATATTATATTTATATAAGTATATAAAATATATATTATATTTATATAAGTATATAAAATATATATATTTTATATAAGTATATAAAATATATATAATATTTATATAAGTATATAAAATATATATTATATTTATATAAATATATAATATATATTATATTTATATAAATATATAATATATATTATATTTATATAAATATATAATATATATTTTATATTTATATATAATACATAGATTATGTAATATATATGTATTTTCCATTAGTTCTGTCCCTCTAGAGAACGCTGAGTAATACAGATGGCATAAGTGAGTGCTATAATACAAAATTTGAAGATGGAACCAACATTCCTTATGTCCGCTTACATCTTTTATTCTGTCTCCTAGGTGACAGGCATTTCTTGCCTAGATGACTCTCAGGCATGGTCTCTTATTCACTCTGGACACTCCTTGTCAGGGCACAGAGCCCTTCACATCTGCCCCTGCCAATGTCTTCTGGATCGTCTCCCATCTCTCCCTATATGCCTCCTCAACTTCAACTCCCCAGAATCATAGGCAGTTCCGGCGTGCAACATGGCTTCCTTTAGACCAGGTTCCCACCTGCTAGCCAGTCCTCAGCAACCTCTGCTGTGTGGTTTCCCTTTCTTTAATCCTTTGCTCAAGCCTCTTGAGATTTGAAACCTTCTTTGAAGACATACCATCCCCTTCCCTCCGGGCTCCCTACCCCCAAGGTTGGGCTAAATGCCCTTACTTTGATGGTCTGGACTGGTCAGTCCTAAGCCTCACCTATTTACCTGAGTGGGTGGGGATGTGTCCTAAGTAGATATCCCATGTGTTTTGTGCTGTGGGTCATAGTCAAAATAGTCAGCAATCCACTGATCTTATTTACCCTCCTGTTTAAGACGCTTCCAAGTCTTGTGTGAGGCTCAGACTGAGCCTTTAAAATCCCCACATTTCCCTTTTCTGGGCTGCTCTGCCTGGCAGAAACAGGGCTACATCTTGTTCTTGTACTCTGGAAGCCTGGTAGCACTGTTTGACCACCACAGAAGAAGTCTGCTTAATGGACTCACATTTTTGTAATAAAATAAAAGCACCAAGCCAGAATAGAAGCCTTCGTTGTCAGATCTTATTCTCCAAATGTATTTTCTTCACAGTTTTCTAACTTCTAAAACCATCAAACAGCTTTGGCATGACAGTCGTCTTCCACAAATGAAAACAGGATTTAGTGCAGTGGCGTTTCTGCTGCTCTGAGGGAAGCTGATTTAGACAGAAGAGGCAGGAAGGAAGAGGGAGGGGATCTGTGGACCTGGAGCCAGGTCCCTGCAGAGGTAGCTGGGCCTCTGACTCTACCGTCTGTGGGTGGAAAAACAATCTTTCCCCTTGGACCAAAAGTACCAGGTTGCCTCCCTGAGATTAAGGTGCTAGACGGAGCCTATTAATGTGAATATACCATTCAAGGCAGTGAAAACAGGCTTAACACAGAATCATCAGCAGCAGGAGACCTAGAGACTTCTTCCTAGCTCTGTCTTCCTCCTACCTCTGCTCCTAATTCCCTTCTTCTCTGGGCCTCAGATTCCTCACCTGAAAATGGAAGGATTAGATTAAATCAGCGGCTCTTATTTTCTGACTGTGACTCAACATTAAGAAATACATTTGAAGACTAAGAAACAGAGAAGACCCAAATAAAATCAGAGATGAAAAAGGAGACATTACAACTGACACTGCATAAATTCAAAGGAACATTAGAGACTACTATGAGCAACTGTATGCCAATAAATTGGAAAACCTAGAAGAAGTGGATAAATTCCTAGACATACACATCCTACAAATATTAAACCATGAAGAAATCCAAAACCTGAACAGACTAATGACAAGTAATGAGACTGAAGCCATAATAAAAAGTCTCTCAGCAAAGAAAAGCCTGGGACCTGATGGCTTCACTGCTGAATTTCACCAAATATTTTAAAAAGAACTAATACCAATCCTACTCAAACTATCCTGAAAAATAGAGGAGGAGGAATACTTCCAAACTCATTCTACAAGGCCAATATTACCCTGATACCCAAGCCAGACAAAGATGCATCAAACAAATAAACAAAACCAAACAAACAAAACTAGGCCAATATGATTGATGAACATCAATGGAACAAAACACTAGAAAACTGAATTCAACAACTCATTAAAAAGATCACTCATCATAACCAAGTGGAATTTATTCCCAGATGCAAGGATGGTTCAACATACAAAAATCAATCAATGTGATATATCATATTAATAGAATGAAGAATGAAAATCATATAATCATTTCAATTGATGCTGAAAAGGCATTTGACAAAATTCTTTTATGATAAAAATTCTAAAAAACTTGGTATAGAAAGAACATACCTCAACACAATAAAAGCCATATGTAACAGATTCACAGCTGGAATCATATTGAGTGGGGAAAAACTAAAAGCCTTTCCTCTAAGATGTGGAACGTAACAATGATGCCCACTCTTGCCACTGTTATTTAACATAGTACTGGAGCTAGAGCAATCAGACAAGAGAAAGAAATAAAGGGCATCCAAATTGGAAAGGAAGAAGTCAAATTATCCTTGTTTGCAGATGATGTGACCTTACATTTGGAAAAAGCTAAAGACTCCATCAAAAAATTTTTAGAACTGATAAACAAATTCAGTAAAGTTGCAGGGTACAAAATCAATGTAAAAATATCAGTAGGATTTCTATATGCCAACAGCAAACAATCAGAAAAAAAAATTAAGAATGTAATCCCATTTATAACAGCTATAAATAAAGTTGTTAAATACCTAGGAATAAAATTTACCAAAGAAATAAAAGATCTCTACAATGAAAACTGTAAAACATTGACAAGAAATTGAAGAGGACACCAAAAAATAGAAAGATATTTCTTGTTTATGGATTGGAAGAATCAATATTGTTAAAATACTCATGCTACCAAAAGGAATCCACAGATTGAATGCAATTCCTATTAAAATACCAAAGACATTCTTCACAGCAATAGAAAAAACAATCCTAAATTTTAGATGGAGCCACAAAAGACCTGGAATAGGCAAAGCTATCCAAAGCAAAAAGAACACATCTAGAGGAATCACATTACCTGACTTCAAATTATACTACAGAGCTATAGTAACCAAAACAGCATGGTACTGGTATAAAAACAGACACATAGACCAATGGAACAGAATAGAGAACTCAGAAACAAATCTGCATACCTACAGTGAACTCATTTACAACAAAGGTACCAAGAACACACACTGGGGAAAGGACACTCTCTTCAGTAAATGGTGCTGGGACATGAAAAAAATGCTCATCATCACTGGCCATCAGAGAAATGCAAATCAAAACCACAATGAGATACCATCTCACACCAGTTAGAATGGTGATCATTAAAAAGTCAGGAAACAACATGTGCTGGAGAGGATGTGGAGAAATAGGAACACTTTTACGCTGTTGGTGGGAGTGTAAACTAGTTCAACCATTGTGGAAGACAGTGCGGTGATTCCTCAAGGATCTAGAACTAGAAATACCATTTGACCCAGCGATCCCATTACTGGCTATATACCCAAAGGATTATAAATCATGCTACTATAAAGACACATGCACACGTATGTTTATTGTGGCACTATTCACAATAGCAAAGACTTGGAACCAACCCAAATGCCCATCAATGATAGACTGGATTAAGAAAATGTGGCACATATACACCATGGAATACTATGCAGCCATAAAAAATGATGAGTTCATGTCCTTTGTAGGGACATGGATGAAGCTGGAAACCATCATTCTGAGCAAACTATCGCAAGGACAGAAAACCAAACACTGCATGTTCTCACTCATAGGTCGGAATTTAACAATGAGAACACTTGGACATAGGGTGGGGAACATCACACAATGGAGCCTGTTGTGGGGTGGAGGGAGTGGGGAGGGATAGCATTAGGATAAATAACCTAATGTAAATGACGAGCTAATGGGTGCAGCACAGCAACATGGCACATGTATACATATGTAACAAACCTGCATGTTGTGCACATGTATCCTAGAACTTAAAGTATAATAAAAATAAATAAATAAAATAAAAAATAAAAATAAATAAATAAATGGTGCTGGGAAAACAAGGTATCCATATGCAGAAGAATGAAACTAGATCCCTACCTCTCACCATGTAAAAACATCAATCAAAGTGGATTAATGACTTAAATGTAAGACCTGAAACTAGGAAACTACTAAAAGAAAACATTAGAGAAACTCTCCAGGACACTGGACTAGGCAAAGATTTTCCAAGTAAAACTCACAAGCACAGACAACCAAAGGAAAAATAGATAAATTGGATCACATCAAGTTGAAAAGCCTCTGCACAGCAAAGAAAAACAATATCAACAAAGTAAAGAGACAACCCACAGAATGGGAGAAAATGTTTACCAACTATTCATCTGACGACGCATTAATAATCAGAATATATAAGGACCTAAGGCAACTCGGCAGGAAAAAAATATAATAATTTGATTAAAAAGTAAACAAAAGATCTGAATAGAAGAATGTCAAAAGAAGACATACGGATGGCAAACAGGTAGATGAAAAAGTGCTCAACATCATTGATTATCAGAGAAAAGCAAATCAAAACTACATGAGACATCATTTCATCCCATTTAAAATGGCTTTTATCCAAAAAGCAGGCAATAATGAATGCTGGCGAGGAGGTGGAGAAAAGGGAGTGAAAATTAGTACAACCGCTATGGAGAACAGTTTGGAGGTTCCTCAAAAAACTAAAAATAAAACTACCATATGATCTGGCAATTCTATTACTAGGTACATACCCCAAAGAAAGGAAATCAGTATATTGAAGAGATATCTGCACTTCCATGTGTATCGTGGCACTACTTACAATAGGCAAAATTTGGAAGCAGTCTAAGTGTCCATCAACAGATGAATGGATAAAGAAAATATGGAACATATTCACAATGGAGTAATATTCAGCCATAAAAAATAAAGAGATCCTGTCATTTGCAACAACATGGATGGAACTGGAGGATATTATGTTAAGCAAAATAAGCCAGGCACAGAAAGACAAACTTTGCATGTTCTCACTCATCTGTGGGAACTAAAAATTAAAACAATTGAACTCATGGAGATAAAGAATGTAAGGATGATTACCAGAGGTTGGGAAGGGTAGTGAGCATGGGGAAGTGGGGATGGCTAATGGGTACAAAAAATATAGTTAGAATAAATAAAATTTAGTATTTGATAGCATAACAGGTTGATTACAGTCAACAATAATTTATTGTACATTTAAAAATAACAAACTGTATAATTTCAATATTTATAACACAAATAAATGATAAATGCTTGAGGTGATGGATACCCCATTTAACCTGATATGATCAGCATGCATTGTATGCCTGTATCAAAATATCTCACGTGCCCCATAAATATATATACCTACTATGAACCCATAAAAACTAAAAATTAAAAAAAATTTAAAAAAGAAATACATTTCATACCTCAACTTGGTCTATACACACATATTTAGAGGGACATGTAACTGAAGTTTCACTTAATGATGTTTGTCCTTATGACCTGCTATATTTTCTCCTCTGTTATGCTCATTTTATAAACTTTTATTGAAGTATGACTTAAGTACAGTAGAGGGTACATATCATAAATGAATAGATTGATGCATTTCTACAAATTGACAACACCCATTTAACCTGCCCTCCTACCTCTGAATTAAAAGGCAGAATGTGACTAGAGAGCCCCTTTGCACTCCTTCCCATTTACCAACTCCTCCCTCGGGGGCAACCACCATCCAGACTTCTGAAAACACAGAGTAGTTTTACCTGGCTTTGTACTTTTTTAAAGTGCAGTCATAAAGTTTCTTTGTGCCTGCTTCTTTCTTTCACCTTCATGCTTCTGAGGTTCATCAATATTGCTATGTGCAATATTCCACTATGTGAATATGCTACCCTTGATCCATTCCAGGGCTGATGGCCATGTGTTTTGGTGGATATCTGTGTACATATCTCAGGGGTATATTCCAAGGAGTGAAAGTGCTGGTATGTATATGTTCAGCTTTAGCTGATATTGCCAAACAGTTTTCCAGTGTCATCAAACCAATTACATTTCAGCTAACAGTGTGTAAGTTTCGGTTGTTTCACATCTTTGCCAACACTAGATAGAGTCTATATTTTTTATTTCAGCCATTCTGATGAGTACATAGTAGTATTTCATTATGGTTTTAATTTGTCATTCCCTGAAGAGTAAAAATGTTATGTGCTTTTTTGGCTATTTGGACATCTTCTTTTATGAAGTATCTGAGTCTTTTGCCCATTTTTCTATTAGGCTGTCTGTCTTTTCTTACTGATTTATAGGAGTTTCTTCTTTTTTTTCTACCATATATATTTGGATATGAGACCTTTGTTGAGTATATGGAGTGCAAATATACAACATCTTTACCCACTCTGTGGGTTACTAGGTTACTCTGTTTTTACTTTAATAAATGCTGATCTTGAGCCACCAAATTAATTTCATGACCTGTTACTGGACTACAACCCACAATTTGAAGCACCCTGTGATACACAATTATGCAGTCTTTCCTGGGTCAGAATAGCCCAGAAAGGGGCATTTCTAGCCTGTGGCATCCACACCAACATTGGCCTGGATCAACACCTCTGTATCTACTGTGAGCCACTGTCTGGAGAACAAGGATGTTAGCTATATTTAATTTCCAAATTTAAAGAAAATACTTTGTCCTATACCTTGAGTGATACCAGTTTCCAATTCTTCTGAATTTAATAATTGCCAGCCCCATGGCCCAGACTGAGGGAAGAGACTCAGAAGGATGGCCAAGGTGTGGAAACACCTCTGAAATTAGCCCTTTCAACAGGTACTAGAGGGTACGTTTTCCTACACAGTCTCTCTAGCCACCGAGGTACCTAGGTCTTCAGGGGCATGGTCTTATGGAACCAAAGATACCTTCAGAGGTTCCTTTTATCTAACGAGTTAACACAACATTCCCTAAACTCTGAGAAAAACAAACAGAAAAAAGCCACTAACCAAGGGAGAAAGACTCTCCCATATCCTAAGCACTTTCTTGGTGTGAGAGATACATCCTATGCTGCATCCTCCCAGCTCCTGAGAGCAGCCCTATCCACAGACTTTCAGCTCCAGGAAGGCGAAAACTGTACCACTCTTATCAAATAATGTGACCAAGGCCACATAACTTGTAAGTTATAGAGCTAGGCTGACTGACACCATAGCCTGTGTTTTCATTCCTCTGTTATACTCCTTAGAGGCAGCCAGTCACTGGATAAAGAGTGGTGACTACCTCCAAAGGGTCAAAGATTCACACACATATGCACAAACACACACGTGTGCATGCACACACATGCATAGACGTGTGTATACAGATATGTACATGCATGCATACGTATATGCTATTTCACTCAGAAATCAGTGGGGCTGGACTCTACAGGTTCATTACACAGTCAGCTCATCTGAGTTCCCCCCTTTCTTCTGATTTGCAAAGTATTGATACAGTCCATAATACATGAATCACACAAAGGCACATATATTTGTAGGAAACTTTACAGTTTACAAAACACTCAATCTCTCATCCAACACTCACCACCAGCCTTCTGAACATATATAAATATTTGATGATTTGCAGGCCTCCCAGTCTGTGTGTTTAAGGACCTTCATTCTGGGGGGCTCTAATCCTTACCATCTAGGACCGGGGCTATGGCATCAGTGAGAGATTGGCAGGATTTGTGCAGCTTCTCGGACCCACTCTAAAATTTCCCTTTTAACTGTATATTTCCATAGCAACCCATCATCCTTGTCTGACTCTGAGAAGTAGAGTTTTAACCTCATGAATTTTCTGAGGTTGGGCTTATGTTTGCATGAGAGTTTATGAGATGTGAACACTACTGTATCCCTAATGAGTATGCCCGTTCTTTTCTCTCCTTATGAGAGTCTCTAGCACCTCCTATCTTCTCCTCTGGCTAAAGGTAAGTAGTTCTGCCATTACTTATAATCATACTAGCAACTGCCATGTTTTGAACACTTTCTATGTACCAGGTACTAGGTGCTTTATGTACATTATCTCAGTACATCCTCACGCAACCCTTTGCAACATTTATTGGCATCCTCATTTAACAAATGAGGAAACAGATGATCAGAGATGAGAAATGGCAGTCTATGGCCACATAGTCAGCAAGTGATAGGGCTTGGATTGGACCCAGATTCCATGGATTCCCAAGACCTGGCCCATTCCAGTGCCTGAGATGGTAAGAAGCAGCAACTTCTTTACTCTGAGTCAGCAAAACGATCCAAGTGGAGGTCAGAGGCATGGTAGTGACTATCTCTTCCTACCTTCCTTGTTTTCACCAAGCTCAGAATGATGAAGTGACTTTCCTGAAAACACAACAAGAGTAGAACTGGGGCTGAACCCAGGCCTGCTCTTTGGGTTTACCCTGCTTTGATTCTCATCCATATACTGGGCAAAGATCACTGGAGGTGCTCTGTCTGTATTCCAAGTGACCAGGGTGGGAGCTGCTCTTGAAACCAACTTATGAGAAATGATTGGAGGAACAAATAACAAGAAAAGATCTTGAGGAGGGACATGCTGTTTACATTCACCTATTTTAGGATGTCTAGTAGAGAAGAAAGAGACTTGGCAAGACGTGGAGTGAATTTCAAGTCCAGATTATGGGAGAGCTCTACAAAAATCCTAAGTGTGGGGAGATACCAACCTCCAAACCAGTCCCTGCAAGTTTCCAAGAACAGGCCAGGGATCTATAGAGATGCTGTTGTGGGTTTCCCAGCATCCAGGAGGGAATGGTCCGTACCTCTAAAACCCTTTTATCTCTAAGATTCCACAAGCCTTTGAAACATATAAAAATCTTGCAGGGAAGGCAAGCAGTAATCCTGCACTCTTTGTTCATTGTTCTTAGGGAAAAAAAAATCTTTATTGTAAAATAAATGAAGATAAAGTCTACCTATTAATGCATATTTAAGAGGTAGAGAAAAAAAGAACCCATAACATTAACTTAAATCATGAATACTCTCTGAAGTGTAAAAAAAATCAACTCACTTTTCTTTAAATCTTCTTAAAAGGGTCTAAGAATAGTCCTTCAAATAATCCTTGAAGTATGCAATTTTAATTTGGACACATGGTAATTTCAGTCTACCTGTTGAAAGAGACAAGAGACAAATCAGTCATTTTTGATGAGGATGCTGTTCTGATAAGCAGTAGAGAAGATTCTGGCAGCTTGGGAGGTGGGGGTGAGACGTGGGCATGGGCATTAGTAGCAGCAGTATGAGCTTTGGTCCCAAGCTGAAGTCTAGTGTTTGAACGCTCAGAGGAAAGATGCAACTAAAGTAGCTACTAGCACAGTGCCTGGCACATGGCAAATGCTCATTAAGTAGTTGATGGACAAGTAAAAGGATGGCTGAGAAAATGAGTGGGATTTATCATCAAGCTTTCATGCAGGGAGTTACTTTGTAGCCTCATCTCTTCAACTCTTAGGGAGAGAGAATCTCCAGGTACTGGGCATATAATGGAAAGCAGCACAGAGAAAGGTACCAGTGGAGTAAAGAGAGTGAGGGATTTGAGCCAGCCATAGCTATGCCCAAATCCTGGCCCCACCACTTCTGACTGCACAACTCTGGGCTGGTTTATTTACTTATATTTGCTGTTGTTCCTAAATTGGATACTTAACCCATTCATTAATTTTCAGCTCTTCTTTTTTAATATAAGCATTTAAGGTGATAAATTTCTCTCTAAGTGCTGTCTTGGCTATATTCCACAACTTTTGATATTTAATATTTCTTTGGTCATTCATTTATAATCATTTTATAATTTCTGTTATCATTTCTTTTTGATCTGAGAGTTAGTTGGAAGTATTTTTATAAATATATCTCAATATAGGTTTTTAAAAAACATCTCATCTTTCTGTTACTGAGTTCTAACTTAATTGCACTGTGGTAGGTGAATATGGTCTGTAGGATACTGACTCCTTGAAATTTACTGGATTGTATTTTACGGCCTAGGATACAGTCCACTTTCGTGAGTGTTTTATATGTGCTTAGAAAGAGTGTGCATTCTCTGGCTGTCGGGTTGATCTTGGGCTGGCTTTCTTTAAATGTTTCTGCATCTCCATTTCCTCACCTGTAATAAGGTATGTGAGCAATACACATTAGTTCCCTCACACCATTTAAAATTATACTCACTGACAAAGACACAGTGCACAAGGAAAGATCAAGGTATGCTCTTTTTTCTTTATAACAGTATCACTAACAATGCCCTACACTGATAAAGTACTTAAAAGTTTCTAAACAATGACCACGTCTGTTATTTGGTCTTAAACCTGTATAATGTCACCTAGGCAGGTAGAGGTGGGAACCCACAAAGAAAAAGGACACACACCAGTTGGTGCAGTGATTTATTCAGTCCTCAATGCCAGAACCCCAGGATCCCTCTGACTCGCCTCTGCCCCTCACTCCTCACTCCTGCTCGGTTCAGCCTTCTTATCATCTTTCAAATCCATCCTTGTTATGACCTACAATGCCTCCATCATTTCTTACCTGCTTGGTTCTCACAGATCATTAAATTCCTACTGTTTTAAAAATACAGCACAGAAAGTAAATCCTGACAAAATCCTCCTGGCAGATGTGGCTCTCAAATAAGCCTGGTGTTAGGTCTTGGGTGCCAGAACATCAGTCTTGCAGGGGAGAGTGATGTTTATGTCTATCAAAGCAGGCATGAGTTTAGAAAGGTCAAAAAACACTGTGTTGAGTTCAAATTTCTTCATCTAGCAAACAGCCCTTCCCATGACCTTGTCCCCTGTCCTGCCCCCAAGTTCCTTTTCTCCTTTTCAGAGAGATTTCCTGAAAGAGTCATCTAGACCACCACTTCCTCCACTCCCACACTCTTCACAAATCGTTGCCTTGTGGCTTTCAGCCTCTTTCTTTAAGATCATAGGGATGTTGTCACTGCATATTCCAGACACTTCTTCTCAATCTGCAGTGGCCTCTCTGGGTCATTTGCTAGCAGGGACCCCTTCCCTCTAGAAATTCCTGCCTCCATATCAGCAACACCAGTTTCTCCTGGTTCTTCTTTCCCCCCAAGGACTTTCTCTGACTCCTTCACAAATTCTGTGGTTTGAATGGGCATTTTCATAATTTAATTAGAAGTGTTTTTTTATAAAATAATAACCATAAACTACACTTTATTAAGGGCATACCAATCACTGTGCTAAACATTATTTTATTCTACTTAATCTTCACAATAACCACACGAGGTAGACATTATTAATATTCCTATTTTACAGATGAGAAAATAGAAGCTTGGAAAAGTGACCTAATTTGCCCAGGATCACTCAGCTACTATGTGGCAGAACAGGGATTCAAACCGCAGTCCATCCAATCATAGCCTGTGCTCTCAGCCACTACATTAACTCATCCTGCCTTCCTATACCATGGCTTCTGTGACTCACCATTCTTCCACGATGTCATGGATTTCATGCTCTCATTTTGCTTCCCTCTGAAGGGAAGGCCTTTATCCATACTGTGTGCTGAGAAAATTCTGTTTATTGTTTAAAGCTCAGCTCTTCCCACAAAGCTATTAGCGAGCCAAACCAGTTTCACTGCTTCCATCTCTTTGCTGTGGCAGCTCTACAATGATATGAAACCATCCATTCATCCATCTGACCATGCATCCATCTCTCCACCCAAGAATTACACAAGTATAGTAGAAGATTGCTTATCTAGAAGTCTAAACACAAGAAGCATCCAGACAAAGGAATTGTTCCAAAGGATTTTTTATGTTGACTCTTTGAAAAAATAATCATACTATGGTCAAAATTGAAGAAAACTTGCTAGAAGTTGTGGTGTTTGGGGAAGAGATGTGCTCTGTGTGTCATGTGTTAATGACTGGTCAAGGACAGTCATCCATGGGACCTGGCCGGGGCGCTTTCCGAGGTTACTAAACTAGATCTGTCCAATTTCCCTTACCCAATCCCCACATTTTAAAATCATATTTACATATCATCCCTGGCTCAAATACCTCATTATCCCTGAAGTCTTCCCTGATTCTCCTCCCCCAACAGGCACAGATGAACCTAGACACTCCCCCTACCCCTCACAATGTATCTCTCTGTGTTCTCTCTGCTGGCACTTGGTATTTAATCATTTGTAGATAATAGTGCATTTCAAAAAGCACTTCAACATTTTCATTGCATGCTTTATCTCCACCTCCTGTCTCCTTGGAGGTAAGAGATGCATCTAATTTACCCTAGATATTTTCAGAACCAACCCCAGTGGCTGGCACACAGATGTCAATGAGTGACTGATTGATTAAAATTAGATGACATTGTCCTTGAATGGAGAAGGCCATCCAAATATCACTCAAATGCAAGCACCAAGCAGTGTATTATGCAAAGAGTACGTGCTAAATAAACATAAAATCCTTCCATCCTCTCTCCACTCCTCAAAATTGAGGACTAGAAAAGAAACGCAATGTGTCCATTGAGCCTGAGGTTTCTGAAGATCTGTGTTCCATGGTTCACAAATATTAATATGTTGGTGTGGTGGCTTTTGATATTCTCCATGATCAACCAGGAACTGAAAACCCATGTTTGGCTACATTCTACTTTGCTTAGTCAGAAAATGAGAGTTAGAGCTTTGAAGATAGACAAGACCTTCAAAGTGAACGGCTACAACCACTTTCTTTTACAGAGGAGAACCGGAGAGGTTCATCGTCTCCAGGTCATAGGCCAAGAAAGGTTGTGCAGATGCATTTTCCCTGTTCCCTCCTAGACTTGCAAATGAAGCCTCTAGGAAACTGAGTGCTTTCTGGATGGCTAAAAATAAACTCCCAGAAACTTCATCTAGATATATCATGGCTGTAATTTACAGCGTCTAGAACTTTAGCATGGTATAATTAGCAAATGGATTACAACAATTTATTTTTGGTTTAAAAGCTCGAATGAACACAACCTTCCAGTGGAACGGGAAAACAAGGGGCTGGGAGCCAGCTGCATTCCTCCAACCCCTTCCAATGCCACAGTGTTTGTGCTGGCTGGCAGCCCTCTACTGATGTCCAATGGATATGCAAAGAGAAGGAACTGCAATTCTGAGCTCTGGGCTCCCTGAAGCATGACTTCCTGGACATAGCCTCCCAAAATGGTCAATGTTCATCCTTTTAGTGAGCAGGAAGATGTCCAAACTCACCTTTTCAATGCACAGGAAAACCCAACGGCATTCATCAAGAGGACAGAAGAGCTGCCAACCTTAAACTGATGCAGAAGAAAGGTATACACTGAACAAAACATACCAAAGACTAATTACATGGATGTTTGTTCTTCTAAAGATTCTGGGCACATTTTTAGAATGGCTTTCCATCACTTGCCTTACTGCGGGGAAAGTTTGTTGTGATGTCTCTGAATAGGCAGTACTAAAGGATGATACCAAGATAGACACTTGTCACGAAGCTAGAAGATGACTAGACTGGGGTCAGAGAGGACCTGTGCTCAGGTTTTGGTTTGTTATGTGTGCCATGAATAACAACCAATTCAAAACCCTTTTATAAAATGTCAGTAATGAGTAACTACCTCACAAGATTGTTATGGGGATTAAATGAGAAAAATGTATGAAAAGGATTTTGTAAATGAATATTAGATGATTCTTCTTGTGTGAATACATGTCCAAAGCAGATCATTCTGATGAGGACTTTTTCTGACCAAAGCACTGTAGAACATTGCAGCAAGGGCCAGGGGCAGAGCAGCAGAAATCCTGGGAAATTTTCTTCTCATGTTTCCTTGCACGGTGTCTGGGCAGAGGCAAGTCACCCAGCAGAACAATCAGAGCTAGGAAAGATGGATCCCGACTTGGGTAAGGAGCACAAGACAACCTGTCTCCCTTCTCTCACACCCCTACCAAAACCAAGTATCTGCCCAAACACCCCTTAACCTAGAAGGTGGCATGATGGTGGCCAGGCAGTGTGGGAAACCGAAGCAGTGGTTCTTGCGGCTGAAAGAAGGGGAAGGGTAGTTTTCTGAGCATCTGCCATGTACGAGGCACAGTGCTGGGTCCTTTCACACTGGGGCTCTTCTCCAAACCATGCAAGGTTCCCCTGACACCATGTTATACCATTGCTCATGCTGTGTGTGGGTCTACGAGGCCCCCTTTCTTCTCTCTGATTCTTCAACCAGCCCCTGAGCAGGAAGACTTAGACCCTCATCCTCTCACTCGTTCAATTCTTAGTGATCTTAGGTAAGGTAAGTCATCCATTTTGGAAGGACTTCAGTTTTCTGATCTGTCAGGTTAGGACAAGAACCCCAAACTCACTGCCTTACCAGATTGCTTTCAGACTCAAAAACACTGGGTGTGAAAAGTTTTAAAAACAGTGCAAAAACCTGAAGGCTTATGTCACCCCTTGTTCAAGCTCCTCAAGAGCTTCCTCTTGCTGCTTGTGCTAGTTGGCTTTTGTGTTGCTATAAAGGAATACCTGATGTTGGGTAATTAAAAAAAAAGAGGTTTAATTGGCTCATGGTTCTGCAGGCTGTACAGGAAGCATAGTGTTGGCATCTGCTTCTGGTGAGGGCCTCAGGAAGCTTCCAATCATCGGGGAAGGAGAAAGGGAGCCAGCACATCACATGGCAAGAGAGGGAGTGAGAGAGAGAGAGGAGGTGCCATGTTCTTCTAAACAACCAGATCTCACATAAACTCATAGAGTGAGAACTCACTCATTACCATGAAGAGAGCACCAAACCATTCATGACAGATCTGTCCCCATGTCCCAAACACCTCCCACTAGGCCCACCTCCAACACTGGAGGTCACATTTCAACATGAGATTTGGAGGGAACAAAACATCCAAACCATACCACTCTTAAATAAACATTACATGTCTACTTTGTCCCCTGACCCCCTGCTGATGTTATGTTCCCATCAGGGCCCCTTGTTCCCCCAGCTCCATCCAAACCAGGCATCTTTCAGGTAATTATGCTCAAGGAGTAAGTGCCGTCCCCAAGGCTGGGAGTCCCCTCTTCCCCTTCAGCTCTCAGCTTAGCCTTACTCACTTGCAGGAGAGCTCCTTGGCCCCTCAGAGGAAGGAGTTTCCTCTACTCTACATTCTCAGAGCCCTTGTGATCACACTTACCAGAGTGATGATCTGATTAATGCCTATCTCCCCAGCTAGAATATAAGCCCTCTGAAGCAGGCCCACCTGTATGTTGTCCACCGGGGTGTCCTCAGGGGGCCAAGCATGCAGTAGACCCTTACCTATTTTGTTCACTGCTCTGGACCAGGGCAGGGCACATAGTAGGTACTCAAAAAATACTTGTTGAATGAGTGCATTTCCATGCAGTTCAAATCTGAAGCTGGGTCAGCTCGACCCTCCCTTCTCTGCTCTCCACAAGCTCTCCCTTCCTTTCCCCTGCACTCAGGGCCCTTTCCTGTACTGTTTGCTACCAGGACCTCACCATTATCCAAGTGAGTAGCTTGTCTCCCCTGAGACCACAACAGCCCCAAGGAAGGCCTAGAGAGGCAAACCCTAGCGGGACCCAGAAGAGGGACAGATCCGGAGTATCTGGGCCAATGGAGGTGGGGCACACAGTAGGGGCTCCTGTGGAACCCACATTTGACCTACTCTGAACTTCTGCTTCACAACCTGTTTCTAGGGCAAAGCTTCCAGCCTTGAGCTTTTGCTTCATGGGCTAAAATATGTCTCTCTCTCTCTTTTTTTTTTTTTTGGCTTGAAATAAATGGTTAGCCATTATGATGTAAAATGCAGCTGTCACAGTCCATAGAACAACAGACAGGTTAATATGGGTTTTTAAGAATGCCATTTCCTCATATTAACCCCAGAGCAACGTCAACCTATCAAGATAGACTCCAGAGTGCTCCGGAAACCTGCTGTTTTTGTTCTTTAATAATATTTGATGTTTAAATAATAGTTGATGTTTGTTTCCAAGTAGTTTAATGGTCCGCCTTTCCCTCCCTCCCTCCCTCCCTTCCATCCTTCCTTCCCTCCCTCCCTTCCTTTTTACCTTCCTTCTTTCCCTCCCTCTCCCCCTCCCCTCCTTTCCTCCTTTCCTCCCTCCCTCCCTCCGTCCCTTCCTTCTCTTCCTTCTCTTCCTCCCTGCCTCCTTTCTCTTCTTCCTCATTCCCACTCTAAGAGTATCCTGGCCTAGGCTTTCTCCCTGAGATCTGGGATATAAACATGAAGATGTGTATCTGGGTCATGTCTGGAATTCTGAAGCCTCCTGACTGGGTTCCTTGACCCTCATTTCTTCCTTTTATCCCCCCACCCTTCCCACCTGCCAGCCATCCCATCCTTCCTACATGTTGTCTACTATAGAACTAATTTAACTTCAAAAATATTTAAACTTTAAATAAAGTGTTTAAGTTATTCCCTAAGAGAGGTGAGCTTCAGTTACATAGAAAATGTCAACGGTTAGGACTGGCCTCTCCCAGCAGAAGTGAAGGCACACTGTGTTCTCCTGCCTAGAGGGAAGACTGGGTGGTGTTAAAGGTATCCAGGAAACTCCAGAGGGACAGGTCTGGGCTTGCACTGTGGCTCCGGCCACTTGGCAGCCTGAGGAAGTGACTGTAGAGTCTGTCCTGCACAGACCATTGTAGCTCCTGCCCAAGTTGGCAGCCCAGCACCAATCAATAAGTCCTGCATGGAAGAGTGATGTGCGAGGTGCTTGTCAGCATGGATAGATTGATTCCTCTCTGGTCCCTGTTCACGTTGTGTGTAACGCATACCCCACCAGGGAGTCTTGGAGGGAAGAGGTGAAGGGCGAGATTCTGGCATCACCAGAAATTACTTGTAGATCCTGAAATGGGCAAGGCTTTCTCAGGCCTCCAGCACTTTCTACATGCTGTTTCCTTAGTCTCAGTCACCCTCATCTTTCCCTGAGTAACTCCTTGTCCTTGAAGACTCAGTGGAAGGTTACCTCCTCCTGAAAGCCTTCCTCACCCTCTGTCTAGATCAGAGGTCCATCCTGAGCTTCCAGCACCCTCCTTTTCTTTCTCCCCTGCTGGTGCAATTGTCCCCTTTGTGCAATGCTCTGCTTATTTGACTGTCTCCGATAAATGTCTCCTGTGAATGCCTACCAGTCTAAGGTGCTCTGGGACAAAGAAAAAATAATCAATACACTAATTAATCTATGTATTTACTCTCTGCCTTGCTCCAAAAATAATTTAAGGAAGCACAAGGATCAAATATGCCCCCAAGTAACTTTGAGTCTGGTGAGACAGCAGACAACATAAGCATTTTAAAAATATATGACAAAGGCTGACAATGTGATCAAGTTGAGGGGTTGGGCAGGAGTGGGGACCCTCTCTCTGATCTCCTGCAGGACCAAGCATGACACACAAGGATGCTCAGTGAATGTTTGCGGAATGAGTGAGATGGGTTGAGAAGGAGGACCTGAAGGGGACTTGGAGATCACTTATTTCAAGGGAGGAAATTGTAGTCAGAGAGGAGATGGGACAGTGCAGGAGCTCCCCAGTTAGTAGCAGTGCAGGACACAGAGCCCAGGACTATACGACATTAGTTGGTCATTCTAAGTCCCATTTATTGGATATGCAATAAGACAAGCCATAACTGAGGCTCTCTCTGAGCCTCAGTTTCTGTCCTGGACACCCAGAGATCCAATACATCTTTGTGAACCTATTCCCTTCATACAGGTCTTTAACACCCTGGGCGGCTGTCCTCAATAATCTGTGCTGCAACGTGGAGTAAATCTCTGACTTCTTTTCCTTCTCTTCTGTTGCTTTCTCTCTTTCTTTCATACCTTCACTCACTTACTCATGCACTCAGCGAATGTGTGCCGAGTCCCTACAGCATGCCTGGCTCTGTGCTCTATGTGCTACAGCTACAGTGGTAAAGAAGACCCAGGTCTTGCCATCTGTAACTCAGTACTCTCCTAGTACTCACCCAGGCAGTTTTCAGAGCTACAGTTTCTTCACTGTGCATTGTCCTTCTATTCCTCCACAATTCTGTTCCTGCTGTGTGTCTGCCTGGAACATCCTATCTACTGATCTCCACACTTCTACTCCTCTTCTAAGGCCTCGTCCACAAGCTGCCTCCTCTGTAAAACCTCCCCTGAGGGTTCCATACCTCCTTGCTTTCTACCATAATCCTACTGTACTGTATTGGTAAATTCTGTCTGTTGGTCCCGCTACTGTGAACTCCAGAAGGCCTTGGACAGTGTATTTTTACCATTGTATCTACAGCAGCAGGGAACCAGCAAATGCTCAGGAAACCTTGGCTGAAGTGGCTGAACTTCCTGACCAGCATGTTCTAACTAGTCTGGGGAGTTCTAACCTCTGGTGAGAGGGCAGAATCGTCCTCATTCCACTACACGTCCTACCTGCAAAGCTAGCACAATTATGCTGTGCAGCTTACCTCTGCTCTCAGAAGTCGATCCCAGCTTGCCCAGGACCCAGGGACCCTCCTCCTGCACTCTGGGCTGCTTGCCCCTGCATCCTTGTGTGTCCCACCTAATCTCTGCTTAGGACTTTCTGCAGATTTGCTGGGGAATGTGCATAATCAAAAGTAAGAAAATCTACTTTTGTAACATTTCCACAAATAAAAAATACTCATAGACACTTAAGCTTTTCTGGCCACACCAGAACATTTTGGTAAATTTCCTTTAGGAAGAAAGAATGATCTCCCCTTGCAAAGTTGTAGTCATACTAGCCAAGGCATAGGAGACTACAGACACAGGCAAGACCCTGCCTTGGAATAAGATGGCTGGGGTTGAGCCTGGCTCTGTCATGATAGCTACAAGGTCTCAACAACTTATTTCTTCTCCCTGAGAAGCCTCCAGGTCCTTACCTGTAAATCAGAGTTAATAGCACAACCCTTGCATTGGTGCAATGAAGATTAAATTAGGAGGTAAGACTCTTGACATATTGACTGTGACACTGTACTCAGTAAGGATTAGTACTCTCATGAAGGAATGGGGAAGGTGAGTAGAATGAGAAGAATATCATTTCTCATTGTAGTTTATACTTCTGAAATTGATTCTACACACACTGTCACATTTACGCCTCAATCAACATGTGATATATGCATGATATTATCCTTTTCTTATAGAGAAGGTATCTGAGGCTTAGGGATGTTGAATAATTTGCACAGGATCATACAGGCAGGAGAGATGGATTCACCAATTCTCTGACTCTAAATCTGGAGTTTCAATGGCCACCAGCCACTGAGGAAGCTGCTAGCATGGGTCTACAGCTGGAGAAGTACTCCTCCTCAGACCATCACCTCTATTGGACCAGGATCACAAGCCCCAAATAACCCTAGTATATGGTAGACATGGTCAGTGCTCACTGAAAAGCCCCTGTTCTTCGCAGCCAATATCCACTTTCCTTATAGAGAGGTTGAAGTGAGTGGCATGGAGATGTGTAATTTCCAGGCCAAGAAACAATGAGCCCCTCTGTACTGTTCCTCTTCTGTGGTGGTGACCCTCAAAGCCATGATTTCCAGAATGCAGAGCTATAAGAGGGGGGCTCTACATGGCCCTCATCTGTGATATGAGCAGGAAACGCATCTTTGTTGAGTCAACATCGCTGGGTTTGGGGGTTCTTTGCTGTTATATCTTATCTTAGTCTACCCGGACTGCTGTGTCTAGGTTCAAACTATCGATTGATCACCAAATAAACACCACAGGGAATAACAGTTGGCATGTAGTATCTGATTTAATCTTACCCTACGCACTAGGTAGCATCACCCTTATTTTGCGAATACAGAAACTGAAATCTAAGGATTAAATTTAAAAATGAAATAAAAAGAATAAATTGCCCAAGATAACATGGCTAGCCTGTTTTCAAATGTCTTGTTTTCAAGCTTTTTGTCATTCCTTTTGTCCTTAGTTTTCGCATCTGTAAAAAGGGGGATGGGGCTGGACCAGATGCTTTTAACATTTATCCCACCTCTCATAATTATAATTACATGACTCTTCCAGCTTTGCCCGCCCTCCTGGCCTCCTAATGTGTGGCTGACCCAGATGTTGAGCCTCTAGGTAGATAGAGCTCCAGTCCTGCCCTACAACCCCAGTCTTGCTGCCGATCGCATCTGTCCAGAAAAGAAGAGTGATTTGACTACTGGTTCACTCACTCGTTCACTCAATCAATTATTCTATTATTTATTCATTTCTACTTAATACTGACTCAGTCATTCATTTACAGATGCCTTCCACTTCCTCTTCCACCACCTGCTGGCCAAAGCTCATATTCAGTTCCCCCAATTTTCACTCATTTATTTCCTCAAAATCACACTTGTTCACTCATTCACTTGTTAGCTTCTTCATTTATTTTCTTGTTGATTTATTTATTCACGAATTCATTTTTTACTTATTTATTTCTTCATTTATTCATTCATTAAGTAAATCATTCATTTACCATTTTCATTCTTTCTATCCTTCATTCACTCCCTTCTCCATGCACTCACTCACTCATTCCCTACTCTCCTTCCTCCCTATTCCCCAGTGCAGCATCCTCCCAGGAAGCAGAGCCTCCATCATGGCTGGGGCCATTAGTCCTCCCTCCCAGAACACTCTCTTCCATTTTAACATCCTGCTTGTTGATCTGTGCAGGCATATCTCCTGGTGTGCAGGGGATATGCTTTCCACTCAGAAACTGATGTTCTTGTAATTACTGTTTTGACTTTCACCCTCTAATGATAGAAAATTCTTTCCACAAACTCCTCTAGTATCCAGGAAGGCAACCGTGCAGAATGGGCAAGGCATGCAGTGCCTGGGGGTTCAGATTCCAGAACACAGGGTATTCCTGGCAGTCAGAGCTCGGGGGACTTGGGGAGAGCCTCTCTTCTCCAGGACTTTGCAACCTGGGGTGCAGGGCTGAGATGGAGATGGGGGCATCTCGGAGAGCAGCAGACTTGGGGAGCCAGGTAAAGGAGTGTGAAGAAAAAGCGGCCCATCTCAAGACTGTGGAGTCATAATCTGTCTGTACTTGGGTTACTACAGTGACAGGTGCCAGGGTCAGGGGTGAATATAGAGGCTTATCAGCATGTCACCAGTGAGAATAAGTTGTCAGCAATATCATGGCAGAAGATCAACATTACAATTTACTGACCTCTTACCCTGTATCAGGTATTTCTCATACTTTATTCTAGTTGTCCCTCAATGATCAATCTCCCCATCTTTCATTTAGAAATTTAATCCTTTGAGTTTTAGCTGGTTCCATGACCTCTCAGCCAAAGACTAGATTTCCCGGATTCCCTTGCAGTGAGGCATGACTGTCTAAGTTTGGGCCAATGGGTGTGAGCAGAGGTGTTATGTGCAACTTTTTGCTTGCAGTTTTAGAAAAAAGCCGGTTGCCTTCCACTTCCTCTTCCACCACCTACTGGCTAAAGCATGGCCCTTTTTAGTGAGCCATCTTTGTCTCTGGGGTTAAGGGCATCTTGAACAGCATGTTAGAAAAAGATAAAAGAAGCCCTGAAGAACCTTGTGAAGTAGAACATCTCTATCCCCCTGGCTGAGATTTTATGTGCAAGAGAAACAAGCTTCTTTTATGCTTTGGCCACCACTGTTCTGATCTCTGTTAAAGCAGCCACGCCAGTGTCTACTAATCCCAGGAGGAAACCTCTTTGCCCACATTACGTCTTCTTGAGGATAAACTTCCCTTATGGGAACACTCTTGCCTTACCTTATTCCATTACTAATTTCTCCTTTTCATGGTTGAAACGTGTGCCTTCAAAATTCATGTCCACTGAAAATCTCTGAATGTAATCTTATTTGGAAACATGGTTTTGCAGATGTAATTAAAAGATTGATATAAGACCACACTGGATTAGGGTGGGCTCTAAATCCAACGAGGGGCTCCTTACCAGACAGAAAGGACACACAAAGACACAGAGGGGAAGGCCATGTGAAGTGGGGGTGGAGACTGCAGTGATGTGTGTCCCCAGGCCAAGGAGTGCTGTGGAGTGCTGACAGCCGCCATAGCTAGGAGAGGAGCATGGAGTGGATTCTCTCAGAGCCTCCAGAAGGAGCCACTTCGCCAATACCTGGACTGCAGACTTTTAGCCTGTCCAACTGTGATAGCATATGTTTCTGTTGTTTTAAGTCAGCAACAACTTGTTCTCTGTGAAAGGAGTTCAACCTTTATCTTGTGGTCAGTGGGGACCCATTGAAGGGTTTGCAGTAGAGAAGAGATGATAACAAGAATGGCTAACATGGGTTGAGTACTAACTCTGCACCAGAAAATGACCCAAGTGCGCACTTAGACATACCACCTCAGCTAATCCACAGCACAACATGGACACAGGTACTATCATTACCCCCAGTTACAAATTAGCAAGTTTGTGGTAATCTGAGTGACAATGATTGGGTTGGTGGGTGTGGGAGAAGGAACCGGACCTGCCTCACCCAGTACCCCCTGTATGGCCTATGAAGTGGCCTATGGAAAGCACAGCTCTTCTCCTCTCCTTGACGGGATGGCCAAGTCTGTCTAACTATAGGTCGAAGTGTTAGCAAGACCCTGTGTGCAGATCTAAAGCTGCCCTGTGGGCTTTCCATGGTAATTGGTGGAGGGCAGTGGTCAAGATCATGGCCTTGGAAGCCAGACCACCTGGCATTAAATCCTAGTCTTCCAGTTACTAGTTCTGTGATATGGGAAAAATTAATTAAACTTTCAGTGCCTTGGTTTCTTCATCCATCAAATGGGGCTAAGAATAGTACCTACCTTATAGAAATGTTGTATTAGTTAACATCATAAAGGGCTTAGAACAGAGTTTGACAAATAGGAAATACTAAATAAGTATTAATGCTTAACTAGTGGTCATGATGCTATAAAGTATTTGCTGTTATTATTTATTTATTTATTTATTTATTATTATTGTTATCTGTCTGACTCCTCTATGTCTTAATTAATTTTGATTTTAGGCCAGGAAGATAAGTATTATTTTCTAGCTCCACCGGAATCCCAAAACTTATTTAATTTTCTTTAGCCTGATTTTGCAGATGAGGAAACTAGGTCTGAGAGAGATGAAATGGCAAGCTCTGGACAGCCTTCGAGTCCTCCTCCACATTCCCTGGCTGCCCAGTCACCCATCTGGTCTAGTTGTTGGGTTTGCGGGCTCACCCCTCCCTGGCACCAGGTGGCAGGTCCTGGAAGGTCTCCCTCCTGGCTCCCAGGCAGTGTGCAGGAGCCCATTGGGAACTCCCTGGGCCAGCTGTTCATCTGCTGCACAGCATGCTGAGCCATGCAGCCTGGTCAAGTGGACATGGGCCCATATGAGGATCCATAGTCCCTGTTCATACAAGGCTGGCTGACTCTTCAGCTCTGAGGGAGCTATTTCTGCAGGCCCAAGGTGCGCTGCAGGGAAAGCAGGTTGCACATACATGCATAAACATGGTCCTTCTGCCTAAAAGGTCCCTAGACCTTGTCCCTGAGTGAAGGCAGCATGTTTAATGTAGAGAACCAGCCTGCTTACCAGACACCTGACCCCACATACCAGTTCATTGGGAGGACAGAATTTCCCTCTGCCCAATGGCACAGACGATCTGAGAGGACAGGGGTGAGAGGGAGAGTGAGAGAAGGAAAGGGGAAGGGACATTTGTTGAGCATTTACTGCAGGCCAGGCACTATGCTAGTTGCTTCACGTTTGTATGAATATAACAATTGTTATATTCATAAAAATCCTATGCTGTAAACTCATTTTAACAGGTGTGGAAACTGAAGCCCAACAAGCTGAAAACACTTGTACAAGCCACATAGCCAAGAAACACTGGAGGCCTGCCGAACTTTTTTTTTAATAGTTTTTTTGGGGGAACAGGTGGTTCTTGGTTAGATGAATAAGTTTTTTAACGGAGATTTTGGTGCACCCATCACCCGAGCAGTGCACCCTATACCCAATGTGTAGTCTTTTATTCCTCACACCCCTCCTACCCTTTCCCCTGAGTCCCCAAAGTCCATTGTACCATTCTTATGCCTTTGCGCCCTCATAGCTTAGCTCCCATTATGAGTGAGAACATATGATGTCTGGTTTTCCATTCCTGAGTTACTTCACTTAGAATAATGGTCTCTAACTCCATCCAGGTTGCTGCAAATAGCATTATTTCATTTCTTTTTATGTCTGAGTAATACTCCATGGTATGTGTATATATATACACACACATACATATATATATACACACACATATATATACACATATATATACATGTATGTGTACATATATATTATATATACATATATACACACATATATACACATATATGTACATATATTATATATGGATATATATCGTATATAGGTATATATCCATATATATCATATATATCTATATAGTACTATATATCTATATATCTATATATAGTGTATATATAGTGTATATATAGTATAGTATATAGTATATATATAGTATGTATATAGTATATATACACTATAAATACTATGTATATATAGTGTATATATACACTATATATACTATGTATATATAGTATATATACACTATATATACTATGTATATATAGTATATATGTATATATACAGTATATATAGTGTATATATGGCATACTATAGTGTATATATATACTATATATAGTGTATAGTATATAGTATACTATACTATATACAGTATATATAGTATATATAGTATATAGATATACTAGTATATATAGTATATAGATATACTAGTATATATAGTATATAGATATACTAGTATATATAGTATATAGATATACTATATAGATACTATATATACTATATATAATATATAGTGTATATACTATATAGATATACTAGAATATATATAGTATGTAGTATATAGATATATATGTACTATATAGTATATATAGTATATATATAGTGTATATATATAGTGTATACATATAGTGTATATATATACACTATACATACTATATATATACTATATAGTACTATATATATCTATATACTATATATACTATATACTATATATATACATATATATATCTATATAGTACGGTTTGGCTGTGTCCCCACCCAAATCTCAACTTGACTTGTATCTCCCAGAATTCCCGTGTGTTATGGGAGGGACACAGGGGGAGGTATTTGAATCATGGGGGCTGATCTTTCCCATGCTATTCTCATGATAGTCAAAAAGTCTCACAAGATCTGATGGGTTTATCAGGGGTTTCTGTTTTTGCTTCATCATTTTCTCTTGCTGCCACCAGGTAAGAAGTGCCTTTCACCTCGTGCCATGATTCTGAGGCCTCCCTAGCCATGTGGAACGGTAAGTCCAAGTAAACTCTTTTTGTTCCCAGTCTTGGGTATGACTTTATCAGCAACATGAAAATGGACTAATACTATATATATATGTGTGTGTGTGTGTGTGTGTGTGTGTGTGTGTGTGTGTATACATATATATACATGCACCACATTTTCCTTATCCACTCATTGACTGATGAGCATTTGAGCTGGTTTCATATTTTTGAAATTGCGAATTGTGCTCTTATAAACATGCTTGTACAAGTATCTTTTTCATATAATGACTTCTTTTTCTCTGGGTATCTACCCAGGACTGGGATTGCTGGATCAAATGGTAGTTCTACTTTTAGTTCTTTAAGGAATCTCCACACTATTTTCCATAGTGGTTATACTAGTTTACTTTCCCACCAGCAGCATAAAAGTGTTCCCTTTTCACCACATCCATGCCAATATCTATTACTTTTTGATGTTTTGATTACGGACATTCTTGCAGGAGTGAGACAGTATTGTGTTGTGGTTTTGATTTGCATTTCCCTGATCATTAGTGATGTTGAGCAGCTTTTCATATCTTTGTTGGCCCTTTATATACCTTCTTTTGAGAACTGTCTATTCATGTTCTTAGCCTACTTTTTGATGAAATTGTTTGTTTTGTTCTTGCTGATTTGTTAGAATTCCTTGTAGATTCTGAGTATTAGTCCTTTGTAGGATGTATAGTTGAGGAGATTTTCTCCTACTCTGTGGGTTGTTTGTTTATTCTGTTATTTCTTTTGCTGTGCAAAAACCTTTTGGTATCATTAGGTCCCATCTACTTATCTTTGTTTTTGTTGCATTTGCTTTCAGGTTCTTGATCATAAAGTCTTTGTCTAAGCCAGTATCTAGAAGGGTTTTTCCAATGTTATCTTCGAGAATTTTTATTGTTTCAGGTCTTAGGCTGAAGTCTTTGATCTATCTTGTGTTGATTTTTGTATAAGGTGAGAGATGAGGATCCAGTTTCATTCTTCTACATGTGGCTTGACAATTATCCAAGTACCATTTGTTGAATAGGGTGTCCTTTCCCCACTTTATGTTGTTGTTTGCTTTGTTGAAGATCACTTGACTGTAAGTATTTGGCTTTATTTCTGGGTTTTCTATTCTGTTCCATTGGTCTATATGAGGCCTGCCTAACTTTTTCTCTGACACCACATTATACTTACCTTCATTCTGAATAGGGAGTGTCCTTAAGGTCCAGAAGAGACCCAGAGCAGGTTCTACTGCATGTCTCAGCCACTAATCATCACCGCCAGCAGCAGTGTTGTGGGCAGCACTGAATCACACTTGACACTCCATGGGGGTCTTTTACTTGTATTATCTCTTTTGACTTGATGTAAGTCAAGACATGCTCTGCTAGTGATTGTACTAAGAAAGTTCCATAGCAGAAAGATGAAGGTATTTCGTCTTCTGGACCCCACTGGCTCCATTTCTGGAAATGCCAAGGGCATAGAGCATGTTCTCTTTTTAAGAGGCTTTCATCAGCAAATTCAGCCATCATTTCCCAATGCCCATTTGGTGCCAGGTACTATGCTTGGGTAGGGGATTCAGAGATGAATCATACAATCCCTGCCCCTGAAAGGTTTATGCACAAGTGGGAATTATAGATCTGGAAGCTTAAGAATATCCATGATGAGGATGATAATAAACACTTATTGACTGCTTACTATTGGCTATTCTAAGTTATTGACCCTTATTACCTTATTTAATCTTCATAAAACCCTGTTATTTGCTTCATTTAATTCAGGAGGAAACTGAGGCACAGAGAGAATGGAATTACTAATAAGTGGCAGAAGTGGGAACTGCATTCAGTCGGTCTAGCTCAATTTTGTAGTCATGCGGTGATTAATTTGCCCAGAATGGGTGAAGAGGTCAGTTACAGCTTCATAGAGAGGCAGAATCAGTGCAGGGTTTTGAAGCATAGGCATTTGCCAGGCAGAAAACAGCTGACAGTGCACTAGGAAGTTCCAAACAGAAGAAGAATGAGAAAAGCATGAACAATGGTTGAGAGGCACAAAACTATGGTGTGCAGAAGAATTTCCATGGAGTTCAGTATGGCTAGAACATAAAGCAGGGGAGTGGAGGGTGGGCTATAGTTTCAGAAATGAGGCTGCAGAGGGAACAGGAACTCTTAGAGGCTCATGAATGCCAGGCAGAGAAGCCAGAACATTTTATTCACCCATTGAACAAGTGGAGTTTATTTGTTGCATATGAGTAGTCTGGGGAGAGGCGGTTCAGGCCGGCACGGCAGTTCTACAGAGTTACCAAAGCCCAGGCTCCTTTCACATTTGAACTCTTCCATACTTAGCATTTTCTGCCTGGTTGCGAGGTGGCTGCCACACCTCCAAGCATCATATCTGAGTTCACAGTGGGAAGAAGGGAGAAGGATAAAGAACAATGGCCTGGTCTTTGTGACAGGAGTTCAACCTTTATCTTATGGCCAGTGGGGACCTGTTGAAGGGTCTGAGGTAGGACAGAGATGATAACAAGGATGGCTAACATATATTGAGCAACTAACTCTGCACCAGAGAATATTCTAAGTGCACACTTATACATATCACCTCAACTAATCCATAGAGCAACCTAGATACAGAAACTATCATTATCCCTAGTTACAAATAAAGAAAATAAGGAGACACAGAAAAGTTAAGAAAATTGCCCAAGGCTGCCTAGCCAGGAGCAGCAGAAACTGGGTAGTCTGCCTCCTGGGTCTTGCTGCTGATCACCACATTCTCGTGTATTTAGAAAGGTCCACTCCGACTGCCAGAAGGCTCCAGGTGAAGGGGATGGGGCTTGAGCAGGGTTGGTAGCCCAGTTGGAGGTGAAGGTGGCAGGGTAGGAGGGGAAGAGTCAGGACACAGAGAGAGACTTGGTGTGGGGTTGAGGGTGAGGGACGAGTGGAGGACACCCCCAGGTCTATCTGACCCTCCCCTCTCTAAACCAGGCTCCTTCTGTGTCCACAGGGCCTGCAAAACTGTGGCTGGGGCACCTACCCTGGATGCATGTAGAGATTTAAAAAAATGAGTCATACCCTTGTAGCAGGCACAGCCTGACTCTGGTTTGACATCCACACTGACACCCACATCATTAACATGGTTCCCTGTGCAGACTCTCACCCTAGACAGTGCCAAGGATGGAAAAAGCATCAGCTAGTTTGCAGAACTGGGGCCATGGTTAGATCATTGTCTTGTGCCTGGCAGGCAGGAGCAGGGTGATGCTGAAGTCTGCTGCTGGCAGGAGCCTGAGATGGGCTCTGGGTCTGAGTAAAGGGGATAGAACAAAGATTTTGGGACTTCCATTCCAGCTGGACCTCAAGCCATCCCTCAGCAATCTCCTAAGCACCTATATGTGGCAGAACTTCAGTGGGGTGCTGGGGTACAGAAACAAATCTGATTATCTCCCAAGTCAAGAAGCTCCCAGTCCTCACAATGTCAGTACCTGGTGGTGGGTGCTGTGACACAGGAAAGCAGAGAGGGTTGTGGGAGAATGACATGGTGATCCAGGGGTGTGGGGGGATGCCAAACCAGTCTGGAGGTCAGGGTGGGCTTCCTGGAGGAAGGGACTGCAAGCTACTTTCCCATAGTGAAAAGTTGGCCGGGCAAAGAGTGGAACTGTATTTACTGGGACCACATGGACTAAAGGGAGAGGAGAGAAAGCTAGACACATAGAGGAGCATCTGTTACATCATCACACTCTGGCTCCTGGCATCTTGGTAGCTGGTTGATACAGCATCTGACTGCTGCAGAAAGCAAAGCTCTTTGTGCTTGCAGTAGATTCACCGCAAAATGAACACAATTCTTCCCCCCTTATATCCACACCCCTTTGCAATGTGACTCTGTAGCTCCTCCCATAGGAGGTGGAGTCCATTTCCCCACCTGTTAAATGTGGGCTCATCCTGTGACTTGCTTTGATCAATAGGACGAGGCAAAGTTGTGATATGTGAGTTCTGAGCCCAGGCTTCAAGAAACCTTGCTCATCCCTGCCTGTTCTCTTGGAACTTTGCTCAGCTGCCCAGGTGAACAAGCCCAGGCTAGTTTACTGGATGACATGAGACACATGGCCCAGTCTACCCCCACCCACGCCATCTCAGTCCTTCATCTCAGATAACAATCAGCCTTCAGCTGATCCACCAGCTGACCTAGGGTGACCAGCTCATCCCCTTTCACCCAGGACCTTTCCTAACTTTAAAACTGGAAGTCCAATACCCCAGGAACCTCTTCAGTCCCAGGCAAATGGAGATGGCTGGTCACCCAGACCCACTTCAGATGCATGAATGAGCCTAGCCAAGCTTTATCTAGATTAACAGAATTGCCCAGCTGACCACACACTCAGAAGTAATAATACACAGTTGTTTTAAAACATCAAGTTTTGGGTAGTTTGTTACACAGCAATAGATGAGGGATACCCTGGCACATCTGTGAATTAAGCCCAGACTTGTGGCCTCAGTAGCAGTTGGGAACTGACCAGATCCCTCTCCTTGAGCATGCCGTTGAGTGATCGCAAGAGGGAGGGCGGTGGAACTTGGGGAGGCTACGCAACCTGTCTGGGATCTCAGAGCCAGGGCATATTGGCAGTGGGAACAGACTCAGGTCTTGGAATCCTTCCTCTTCCCCCAAGCTGCCTCTTTAACTAGCACATTTGTGCTGCAGTAACTCAAGCTCCCCCAGAGACTGTTGATTGAACAAATCTCTGGTCATGCTCAGGCTCTTTGACACAGTTTTCTTGACAAGATCCAGTGTCAGACTGTGTGATGTGACCCCCTCCCCCCAAAAAATGATGAGACCAATACTTAACCACAAGCCACCACCAATTCTGCTGTGGCCAGAGACTAGGGCAAAGACAAACACTTATCAGTCAGCAAAAGAGATATGTTCAGAACATTCTGATGCACAGGTTGAAAAGCCAAACAGGTTTTGAGCATGCATAAGGAGCTGGCAGACAGAGATCTTAGCAGGGTCTTCCCTGGGGAACTTAACTTGTGTTTCCTTTTTTGTGGATAGAGTAAGAAATCTCTCTAGCCATCTTGGGGAGGGCAGGGGACCCTGACAGATTAATTTGGAAAAAATGTTAGTTTGTTCCCTATTCCAAAGACAAATAGGATGGGGCTTTTCTTTCTGGTGCCTGGGCATCTTTGCCCCTAAAGAGAGCTGGCTGGCTTTTTGGGCTTTTTGACATTCCCATGAGCTCTTTCCTGTCCAGCTGCTCTGAACCCTGTGATATGTTGGGACCTTGGGGTTTTTGGAGGATAATGGTACTAAGGGGACCTGGTGGTCTCAGTGGTCTAATGGGGAACACCAGAGGCAAAATATAGCACTGAGAAGACTCCTTTCCTTCCAAGTTCATGAAGGCTTGGGTGGGAAGTTGGGAACATAAGACTCTGTCACATCAGGAGCCCAGCACTGGACAGCTTGCCATGGGCCAGCAGCTGCCTATGATGCAAAATGGCAGTAACCACAGCAGTGGATTGAACAATAACAGAGACTTTCCATACTTGAGAGGTGTTATAGGTCAAACAGCATTGCCCAAAATTGATATGTTGAAATCCTAACCCCTAGTACCTTAGAATGTGACCTTATTTGGAAACAGGGGCATTGCAGATGTAATTAGTTTAGTTAGGATGAGGTTATACTGAAGTAGGGCAGGCCCCTAATCCAATATGACTCGTGTTCTCCTAAGCAGTGGAAATAGTGACACAGACATGCACACAGGGAGAATGTCATGTGAAGATGAAGGCAGAGACTGGGGGATGCCTCTATATACGAAGGAATGCCCAAGGTTGCCAGCAAACCCCCAGAAGCTAATGGAGAGGCATGGAACAAGTCTTTCTCACAGCTCTTGAAAGGAAGCAACCCTGCTGACACCTGCCTTTCAGACTTCTAGCCTCCAGATGGGACACTATGTTGTTTAAGCCACCCAGTTTTTGGTACAGTCTTATGGAACCTAGCAAACTAATACAGGAGTAGGAGCCGGAGAGACCTTTTTATGCGGGAGAGGATTGTATACATTTCCTTGGTTCTAGGACAAGGTGGGGAAGAGGAACTAGGGAAAGGGATCATAAGAGAACCATCTGGACATGCCCCAATCTCTGTGTGAAAGCTCAAGTCAGTTTAAATTTGACTTGAGAAAGAGAGGACTGTGCTATAACTCCCCCAGCCCCGTGAGTATGATGTTGAAGCATCTTTTCCCATTACATGAAGGACATAAGCACAGAGGTAGAAGCACACAGAGGTCAGAGAGGCATCTTCTCCTATCTTACCTGTGAGAAGATAAAAGCCCAGAGAGGGGAAGAATTTGTGTCAGAGTCCCACAGCAGGAAAGGGTAGAGAGGGCCTAGAACCTTGGTATCTACAAATGTCCTTCTCCAAATATCAGCATGCCTCACCCAGTATATGGTATTTGTGTGAAATGCTAATGCCTCTGTGGGCACAACTGCATATTTAGACATCCTTAAGAAGGAAAGGCAGCTGGAAAGTGGATCTTTGCATTTCACAAAGTATTTCAGAGCCAGGATGAGTGAGGATTATCTTCCAAGACTGTGCCTTCCTAGAGGGAAACCCAGCCATGGAAACGCTGTGGAGTAGAAAGTAAGTGGTTAGTGCCTAAACAAAAGCTTTGATCTATGAAACGATTAACCGTTGGGTTCCTTTAAATAGAGAGTCCCCATAGACTGATTAAATATGGTGTTTTAGAAATCTTTAACAACTGGGGAAGGAGAGAGGAAGAGGATCTGGGAAACAGAGTTCCATTCTAGGGTTGGGAGCCACATGTCTTGGAAGACAATCAGACAGGGGGATTGGTTGAATAAATGGATAAGAATTTATCTTATCCATTTATTGCTTGCTGTAGAACGTAGCCTAAAATAATTGTGTAAGTTAATGAGCAAAGAAGAGTCAGCTTTTGGACAAATCTTCATTAACATAGCTAATGCTGATTGACATTTTCCATTTACTGTTTTTCACATTTCAAAGCACTTCCCCAACAATTCTCTAACAAGCTAAAATTCTCTAAGCTGGGGTAACCAAGTACTTTGCCATCCAAAGCAGGTCACTTTTGAGGGTGAAAGGAAGCATTCTTTGATTGTTGTTTGCTTGTTTGAGACAAGGTCTTGCTCCGTTACTTAGGCTGCAGTGCAGTGATGTGATCATAGCGCATTATAAATTTGAATTCCTGGACTTAAGGGATCCTTTCACCTCAGCTTTCTGAGTAGCTGGGACTACAGGCACGTGCCACCACACCTGACTAATTTTTATTTATTTTTTGTAGAGACAGGGTCTTACTACGTTTCCCAGGCTGGTCTGAAACCCCTGGCTCAAATGATCCTCCAGCCTCGGCCTCCCAAAATGCTGGGATCACAGGCATGAGTCAATGCACCTAGTCAGCACTGTTAATAATTACACTGGATCAGCAGATGTAAACCAGGGCTGTCCTAGGCAAACGGGGGCATGATCAGCCCACTACAGCCTCCTAAAGAGACTGGGTGACCAGGGACACCGTTATTCATTCACTTATCCATTTATTCAACCAATCCCCCAAACCAGCCCCTTCTACTTTACCCCTATCCATTCAGTTACTCAAATAAAAACATAGGTCATTCTCAATTCTTTGCTTTCCCTCACAGACCATGTTCCTCCCCAACTCCAATCCATCAGCAAATCCTGCTAACCCTATCTGCAAGTTATATCCCACGTGGCCTTCTCCTTTGTGTCCTTCTCTGATTTCATCCCTGACTTAGGCATCATCAATTCTTGCTTAGACAACAGCAGGAGTGTTCTAATTCATCTTTTCTGTTCCTTTTTTTTTTTTTTTTGAGTCAGGGTCTCTATCTGTCACCCAGGCTGGAGTGTTGTGGTGTGATCTTGGCTCACTGCAACCTCTGCCTCAACCTTCAGAGTAGCTGGGATTACAAGTGTGCACCACCACGCCCAGCTAAATTTTTTGTATTTTTAGTAGAGACGGAGTTTCTCCGTGTTGGCCAGGCTGGTCTGCAACTCCTGACCTCAACTGATTCGCCTGCCTCGGCCTCCCAAAGTGCTGGGATTACAGGCGTGAGCCACCGTGCCTGGCCCTCGTCTCTCCATTTTCATACTTGTCCTTCTTATAATCCATTATTCAAGAAGCAATCAGAGTAATTTTTCCAAAATGTAAATCTCATCATATCTTTTCCTTGCTCAGAATTTTCTAGCAGCTCTCTACTGTACCAAGAATCAAAAACTAAACTTATTTTGGCCCTAACTTTGTTCAATAAGTATTTGTTAAATAAATGAACACACAGTCGACATGTATTTATTGAGTACATTTTATCGACCAGGCTCAGTCAAGGCACATTTTTAGCTTCTGTCACACTTATGTCACCGTTGGAAGGAAAACTTCATCTTTATTCCTGATAGTTATTTCCATGGGAAGGGAGCCCCATTAGTGTTCTTGTGAGCCATCTTGCCCCTTTGGTCACAGGTAGTGGTATGAGTTACATGAATGGTAAACTGAGGAAGAATATGGTTATTCTCGGTTGAGTCTCAATTTTCTTCTTCTTGGCAGTTGGCAACTTTTTTTTATGTTCCTCCAGGAGCTGGCTTATCCTCTGCCTCATCCAACGTGGCCTATCACCAGGTGGGTCAGTCTGCCTAATTCTGGGTCCAATTATCAAGCCTATTTAGCTGTTACACTAAGCTAAATTATTCATTATCAATAATAAACATGGTATTTTAGCTTTCATCTGCTATCTTCCATTTATTTCTCAACACGCTTAGGACTTAGGTAGAGAAGGGTTGCTACTTATTGGGCTGCCTCAAAGACCTCAGATACCCTTGCAAAACAGGAGAAGCCAGTTGCATAAAGCCTGGTGCAGAGCTGCTGGCAACCCAAGGGTATAGCAATCTGGGACTCGAGAAGTGAAAGCTGTAATAGTGCAGTTGCCGCCTGAGCAAGGATCATGTGGGACTCACAGTGAAAACTGAAGTACAAATTTAGCAGCCGCATTTAGCCCAGAAGAATGTCTTCAGGAATGAATCACGAAGGGAATGTTGTCATTTGTGCAAAGAGACAGAGGGTTATAAGGGAAAAGGTGGCTAGAGAGTCTCATTTATGTTTATGAAAACAGATGGCCTTTTTGAAAAACAGAAAGCCAAAACAAAAGCATCATTTATTCCAGGAGTTTAGAGATTTTTCTATTGACATCACATAAAAAACCCATCTCTTAAGCTTTTTAACCCCCTGGGGAATTCATAAATAGCACTTCTTAAAATAAAAGCAAAATGAGTTTTCATAAAGATGTAAGTTACATAAGACTACCTTGGTCTCCCCGCCCCCACAGCTTATCCTCCCTTTGTCTGTTCTTTGCCCGGGTGCTTCTAAAAACCAACACTCTGCTGGGAGGGGTTTGCAAGAGGTGGCAAAGGTGAAACGTTGTACATGATGCTCTCGGGGGAGAGATGTACTGACTCATACCTCCCTATGTCTCAGATACCCCTACAGCAAGTGAAAGACTGGGCTGGAATTTTGATTTTGTTTCCTCACTATCTTTAATTTTTTTTTCTTCAACCCATTCTTCCCTTTGTCTTCAGACTGATTTAAAATGAAAAAATCGATGCCTGTGCTTACAGCTACAGCTGTGCCTAGTGCATGTCTTTCATCGGCTCTTCCAGATCCACTGCTCTCCTTTTCCAGCCTGTTCTGTGCCCTGCAAGGCTGCTCTTTAACCACTGGGTCAACTGGGCTCTCTCTGGCTTGCAGCTGGGTTCAGCCAATGGGAGACTCTGGCAGGAGGTGTGAGGAGGTTGGGAGAAGAATGAGGTTAGGGTTTCTATTCTCCAGATGACCTCCCTGCTGGGAAATTGCTGTGTTGCTATGTAGGAAGGCACGACTCCTTTGGGCAGCCTTTTGCTACAGCTATCATATTGCTACACCTCTCTCTAAGTTGCAGGAACTTCTCCTTCACCTTGCTCATCAGGTCTAGGAGTGACAGCTCCCAGCTGTTGTTAGCCTCAGGGTACTTTGCCAACCTTAGTGGTTGTCCTTAATCCTGCTCATACTTTTAAAATAATCCCTTCACTACACTCTCCTCAGCTACCCCATATGACAATGCCACTGTTTCTTGCCAGGATCCTAAGTAATATACTATCTATCTCTATATCAATATCTCTATCTATACATCTGTCTTTATTTGACTTCAAATAGAGCTCTATTTCTTTCTTTGCTGTCCCCATCAGACTTCTTGAACAAATACCCTAGAAAGTTTGAGTTCAGCAGGGCATATTGGACCGTCAAACCTGGTGTTAACTAGTACAGGTTTTTTAGAGGTTAATTTGCCAAAGTATAGCAAAAACCTGTAAAAATGTCCAATGCCTATAGCTGAGAAATTATAATAATTCTAAAAAATATCCCAAGCAAGCCATGGATTTATATAAAATTTTTTCCACGGGTGATAGTAAAAACATTTAATGACTGGTATGGGCACTCACTAGTTGAAGTGGGGCAGGTTGTATTAATATGTCAATGCCAACTGAATATCAGTGCTGGGTACTCATTGTAGTATTGAATAGAAGAATAAATAAAAGGAGGAAACAATCTAAATGTCTAACAGCTAGAGAAATGGGAATAAACTCTGGCATTCCACAGGACGCAATACAATGCAGCCTTACAAAATAAGCCTAAGAGATGAATATTTAATGACATGGAAAGGTAGACTATATGTTGTTAAATGAAAAAGAAGATCACAAAATTTAATGTGGAATGCAGTCCTATTTTTAGAAATTAAAGGCAAACTTGTGTGTATATTTACAGAGCTCAACGGTATTTATTTTAGTGTGGTATGGTAATAGCTACTTTTAAAATTTTCTTCCATTCTCATATCTATAGTTTCTAAATTTTCAAGAAAAAATAAGTATAATTTACTGATGAGGAAATATCACAATAAAATATATTTGTAAAAATAGTCAGGCTGGGTGTGGTGGCTGCAATCCCAGCATTTTGGGAGGCCAAGGCAGGAAGATCACTTGAGCCCAGGAGTTTGAGACCAGCCTGGGCAACACAAGGAGACCATGTCTCTGCAAAAAATTAAAAAATTTGCTGGGTGGCACTAATGGTGGCACACACCTGTGGTCCCAGCTACTCGGGAGGAAGAGGTGGGAGGATCACCTGAGCCCAGGAGGTCGAGGCTGCGGTGAGCCGTGATCACACCACTGCACTCCAGCCTGGGTGACAGAGGAAGACCCTGCCTCAAAATAAATAAATAAATAAATCACCCAACCAAGTTTTAGAGATGTGCTACTCAGATGTTCATAAAATATTTGTTGGGAATCTCTGATTACAAACTGTTTACTCAATGTACTGCCCATAGGGTCAGTCATTCAACTGATGACTTCTGGTCTCATTAAAGGTGGTTGCATTTCCAAACAGTGAGATGCTGATCCAACAGGGTCCTTGGGCCATCTTCTACACTCCATTTACTCCAGTTCTGCTCAATGGCCACTGACTCCTTGCCAAGAAAAAGATGCATTCCACACTGAATCTGTTGCCTGAATCCTTAGCAATTCTTTTCAGATGTTCTATCTCCTGAACACTTAATATATTCCTAACAGATTGACTACATGTTATTAATAACTATATTGTCTGTCAATCAACACCATCTTCTGAGAGAAACTTTCCAAGTCAGTCATATTAAAAACCCAATTAAAAAAACTATTTAAAAGGCATTCTTTCTCAATAGTACTTTTAATTACTTGACACCTAATTATTTACTCCTTCATTTTTTAGTCTGCCTCCTTTTCCAAAGGACTCAGTGAAACTAATTAGCCAACATGAAGCTGTATGCATATTCATGTGTATGAGAAGATATGTTCCTTTTAATACAGTATTTAGTATATAGTAATATATGTTATATAGTGTATAGTCAGTGATAATAATATGGTATTTAGCACATGTAAATACAATCATTTTATTCAGGAAGAGAAAGCACAGACCAAAGAATGCATCTAACATCGGTCTGAAGAACAGAGAAATAAATGGGAATTTACTGAGGTTCCTGTAGGAGACCGGTCAGGGTGGGGGCAGGTTCCTTTGGTTTTCTGATTGAAAGGATAACATTGCTTTTACCTCTTGTCCAGCTAGATTCTCTGCTCTGGTTTCACCCCTTCTCCACTAACCATACCCCTGACAGACTAAACTTCACAATATGCAGACATGACCGTGCCACTTATCTGTTCTAAGCCCTAACATGGTGACCCGTGGCCTAGAACAGTTGTTTTAAACGAATTGTTTAAACCTTTTTTTTTTCAAAGCAGTGGAAACTTTTCCTCCAAAATAAAATTTATATTGGTATTCAGTATATAAACAGATAGAAGAACTGTTCTCATTAAAGCAGGGGCAAAGGGTTGGAGCCCCCTTGGTTTTCAAACCTAGTGCACCCATCATCCTTACTTTAGTGCTCCTCCACCAGACTGGGTCTCTTTTCTCTTTTCTTTCTCCTTTCCTCTCCCTTCCCCTCCCCTCCTTTCCTCTCCTTTTCTTTTTTTTTCTTTTCTTTCCTTTTCCTTTTCCCTTTCCTCTTCTTTTCTTTTCTTTCTTCTCCCCCTCCATATTTGAAGCCTCTCTGAGCACCCATAGGTATTGCTCTACATTCAGGGATCAAGAATAAACAGACAAAGCCCCTACTTCAATGTTAGAGTCTAAGGTGGAAGTCAGATAACAAACAAAACTCTGACATGTTAGGTGATGATCAATATTATGGAGGAAAGTAGAGTGGGATAAGGAGGAAGGAGGGTATGGTTAGGGCGGGAATGTCTCTCTGATAAGGTGGCATTAGGTAGGAACCTGAAGGGAATGGGGCAGCTATCCCTGCAGGCAGCTAGGACAATAAAGGTCCAGAGGTGCAAGGGTGCCTGGCACGTAGGAGGGGCAGCAAGGAGGCAGGTGTGGCTAGACAAAGGTGACCCAAGGACTGAGGGAGGAGATGGGAGCACAGCATCAGGGTGGGCCCTGCTGTGACAGATGTGTAGAGCCCCATGGGACATGACAGCAATTTTAGCTTTTCCTCTGAGATGGGGAACCTTTAGAAGGTTTTAGGCAGAGGAGTGATGTGAACAGATTGAAGAAGAGCAAAGAGGAAGCAGGAAGAACAGGTAGGAGGCTCCTGGAATAACCCAGGAGAGAGATGGCCAAGGTGAGGGTGTGAAGGTGAAAGGAAGTAGTCCGATCATATACTTCACATACTTTTGAAGGCAGAACTGAAGATATCTGCTGATGGGTTGGATGTGGGATGTGAGAGAAAGGGGAGACAAAGAAACTCTAAGGTGTTTTGCTTGAGTGAAGCAAGGAATAGAACTAACACAGGAAGAGCAGGTTGGCAAGCAGGTGGGAAAAAATCAGGGAACAGGCTTTGTGCATGTTAGGTTTGAGAAGAGCTGTTGCCTGTTTAGAGGGATATATAAATTGGAGTTTAGGGCAGAGGTCCAGACTAGAGATATAAATCTGGGCGTCATCGATAGATAGATGGGTTTAAACCTGGAGGTTGTATAAGATCTCCCAGGGAGTGTAGAACAGAAAGAAGAGCCCTGGGGCACCCCTGCATTCAGAGGATTCATGAGGAGGAAGAACCAGTGAAAGAGGTGGAAGAAGTAGTGAGTAGTGTGGTGAGGCAGAACCAGGGGAGAGCAGAGACCCTCAGCAAACAAAAAGGAAATGCTCCAGAAGGAGCGTGACATCAACCACGTAAATAGTTTGAGTCATATGAGGACTGAGCAAGGACCACTGCATATAGCAACATGCAGGTCCTGGGGCCCTTGACAGGAGCAGTGTTGGAAGGATAGCGGGGAGAAAGGTTGACTGGAGTTCCTCAAGGGCAGAGGCCACCTCTCATTCACTTCTGTCTCCCCCACACCCACCCACAGGGTCCAGCACAGTCACAGTATCTGGCACACAGTAGGCAATAAGAAATACCCGTCAGTGGGTGAGCCATCACCCCCATGAAGCCACCAAACTTTTATTTTTCCCTGTTCATAGGATACACTAATTTCATAGAAATGATCCAGTCTTTTCATATGTGTATGTATCTGGCTAGAAGAAAGTAGCAGAGGAAATCAAATAAAAAATTGTATCTTGCTTCCAGAAAGTCAGTGAGGGCTGCCCTTATTTACAAAAGACTCCATATTATTTCTGCAGAGTAAGGCTGGTACAAGGACGTCAGTACCTTTAATTGCCTATGCATGGAAAATGTTCTAATGTTAGCAACAACAACAATGATGATGATATACTATATTTTGTACATTTTGGAAGAAGCTATCATATGCATCACCTCACTTCTCCTCCTTGCCAACTACCTCACAACGTTTGCAAGAGCTGCTGGCCTTACGTAGTCTGCTGAGGGAACTTTGTATTTAAAGAGCACAGCAAACTCTCTTAGGTCAGAAGTCTGCAAACTGCAAACGATGGCCCAGCACATGTTTTTTAAATAAAGTTTTCTTGGAACACAGCCACAACCACTTATTTGCATACTGTCTATATCTGCTTTCATACCAGAACAGCAGAGTTGAGTAGTTGTGACAGAGTCCCAACAAAGTCAGAAATCTTCACTATCCAGCTCTTTACAGAAAAAGTTTGCTAATAAACTGTTTTAGATAAGCTAAACTGGAGGCCTTCAAAACAAGATGATTAAGATAGTCCATTGAAATTTGGGATAAAATATTTGAACATCTCTCTCTTTTTAATTTTAAGAAAGGAAGCATTAAACTTACCTAATATTTAGTATATGGATTGAGAATGAGTCATGGATGTAATTTATAAATAAAATTGCAAATACTGAGGATGTGTACTCAAAAAACATTTATTGTTAAGGACAGATGATAAAAAGTTTGAAGACCAAGCGAGTGATTCAATAAAGAGTTTGACATATAGAAGGTGCTCAAAATAGTTTAGAATAACATTAGTTAACATTTACTGAATATCTAGCCTGTTTTAAGAGCAGAGCTATGGGCTTTACAAGCATTTTTCTCATTTAAATCAACAACCATCCGATGAAAATGGTATTATATCCCTGTTCCATTTTACAGATTAAGAAACTGAGGCTTAGCAAGATTAAAGATCTCCTTACCATGGGACAGTGAGAAAACGGTAGCTTTGGGAATGGAATCATGATCTCTCTGTCTCCAAAACCTAAGGTCTGGGCTTGCAAATTGCCCTGCAGTTTTAATGGTGCTATTTTATATAAATATGTTTTAGGTACAGGCTTAAAATTAACCAAAGCAATGAGGAAAGGGAAAACATTGACTTTGCATCTTAAGCTTATTAACAAGATTCTAAAAATGCATTTTGGCAAAAAGGAAAGAAAAAAACCCAAGGTGAGAGCAGATCCCTGGAACCTCCCCCGTATTTATGATTCACCCTCCACTCTCAAGTGTCTGAGTGTGGAGCTTCTGTAACTACCATACTAGGTATATGGCCATGAGGTAGACAGTCAAAGCCTGGAATTAGACATGGGTTTCCTCACAGAAACCTTATGGCACATACGATCTATAGATTCCAAAGGTTGAAGAAGCATCATAGTGCAGTGTTCAACAGCCAAGTAGTCAGGCAGAATTGGATTTTGCTCCATTATGAACTAGCAGTGTTGCCTTGGTCAAGTCCTTTAATCTCTCTAAGCATCAGCGTTCTCATTTATACAGTGAGAACAATACCGCGCACTTGGCAAGTTTGGAGACCTTCTGAAACACTTAGTAATTGTGCGTGGGGTTAATCATAACTATACTTATATATATATTTTTATATTTGTTTTTAGTAATTTGTGTTGTCTGAATATTTTTGTAACAATGCAGTTAAACATAAATAAGACTGGCTGGGCATAGTGGTGTGCACCTGTAATTTCAGCTACTTGGGATGCTGAGGCAGGAGGATCCCTTGAGCCTAAGAGCTCAAGACCAGCCTGGACAACAGAGTGAGACCACATCTCAAAAATAAGTAAAGAAGACAAATAGATTATCTGAATAGTCATATATATACACACACATATATATATGTATATCTAAACATATATATGTATGTGTATATATGTATATACATATATAAAAGAAATTGTATTAATCATTAATAATCTTCCAAAAAATAAAGTACCAGGCCCACATGTGTTTACTGGTGAATTCTACCAAACACGTATGGAAGAAACTATACCAATTATCTACAATGTCTTCTAGGAGACAGAAGCAGAGTCAGTTCTTCCTAACTCATTCCATGAGGCCAGCATTACCCTAATGACAAAACCAGCAAAGACATTACAAGAAAAGAAAACTACAGGCCACTATCTCTCAGGAGCACAGATACCAAAATCTTCAACTAAATATTAGCAAATAAAATCCAACAATGTACATAAAAAACTACACACCATGACTAAATGGGATTTATCCCAGGTATGCAAGGCTGGTTCAACATTCAAAAACTGATTAATATAATCCACCACATCAACAGGCTAAAAAAGAAAAACCAAATAATTATATCAATAGATGCAGAAAAAGCATTTGACAAAATTCAACACTCGTTTATGACAAAACCTCTCAGTAAATGAGGAATAGAAGGGAACTTCCTCAACTTCATAAACAGCATCTACAAAAAATCTACTGGTAATACATTTAATGGAGAGAAATTCAAAGCTTTTCTGCTAAAAATCAGGAAGAAAGCCAGGGTGTCTGTCCCTTCACACCACTACTTTTTAATATTTTACTGGATGTCCTAGCTAAAACAATAAGACAAGAAAAGGAAATAAAAGGTATATAGATTGGGAAGAAAGAAATAAAACTTTGTTCACAAATAATATAATTGCCTATGTAAAAGTCCTGAAAGAACTGATTAAAAAAAAAAAAAGAAAGTCCTGGAACTAATAAGCAATTATAGCAAGGTTGCAGGATACAAAGTTAACATACAAAAGTCAATCACTTTCCTATGCATCAGCAATGAACAAGTTGAATTTAAAATTAAAAACACATTACCGTTTACATTAGCACCACCCAAATGAAATACTTAGGTATAAACCTGACAAAATATGTACAATATCTATATGAGGAAAACCAAAAAATTCTGATGAAAGATCAAAGAACTAAAAAAAAAAAAACTGTTCCACGTTTATAAACAGGAAGACTCAAAATTGTCAAGATGTCAGTTCTTCCCAAATTTATCTATAGACTCAATGCAATCCCAATCAAAATCCCAGCAAGTTATTTTGTGATTGTTGACAAAATGAGTCTATACTTGATATAGACAGCAAAAGATCCATAATAGCCAACTCAACATTGGAGAAGAATAAAGACAGAGGACTGACATTACTGAACTTCCAGACTTACTATAAAGCTACAATAATCAAGACAGCATGGTATTGGAAAAAGCAAACATAAATACATCAACGGAACAGAATAGAGAACCCAGAAATAAATCTACATAAATACAGTCAACTGATTTTTGACAACAGAGCAAAGGCAATTTAATGGCACAAACATAATATTTTCAACAAATGGTGTAGGGACAACTGGACATCCAAATATCAAAAAATTTATCTAGACTTAGACCTCATTCCCTTCACAAGAATTAACTCGAAATGTAAAATGCAAAACTACAAAACACCAAGTAAATAACATAGGAAAAAATCTAGGTGATCTTGGATACGGTGATAATTTTTAGATGAAATGCCAAAAGCACAATTCTTGAAAGAAATAATTGATAAGCTAGATATTAAAATTAAAAACTTATGCTCTCTGGAAAATGATATGATGAGAATGAGAAGACAAGCCATAGACTGAGAGAAAAATATTTGCAAAAGACTATCTAGTGAAGGACTGTTAGCCAAAATATCCAAAAAACTCTTAAAGTTCAACAATAAGAAAACAACCTGATTTAAAATTGGGCAAAAGGTCTGAACAGATGTCACATCAAAGGAGATATTCAGATGGCAACTAAACATATAAAATGATGTTCAGCATCATATGCCAGTAGAGAACTGCAAATTAAAACAATACTAATACTAACCTATTAGAATGGCAAAAATCCAAAACGCTGACATCAAATGCTAGTGAGGATGTGGAGCAGCAGGAATTTTCATTCATTGCTCATGGGAATGCATAATGGTACAGCTACTTTGGAAGACAGTTTGGCAGTTTCTTAAGAAACTAAACACATTCTTATTGTATGATCCAGCAGCTGCACTCCTTGGTATTTACCCAAATGAATTGAAAACTTATGTCCAGAAAAAAACCAGCACATGAATGTGTATAGTACTTTTATTAATAATTGCCAAAACTTGGAAGCAACCAAGATGTCTTTAAGTAGATAAATAAATAAATAAACTGTGGTACATCCAGACAATGGAATATTATTTAACACTAAAGTAAATGAGCTATCAAGCCATGAAAAGACATGGAGGAAACTTAAATGCTCATTAAGTGAAGGAAGTCAATCCGAAAAGTCTACATCCTGCATTATTCCCATTGACATTCTGGAAAAAGCAAGACTTTGGAGACAGTGAAAAGATCAGTGGTTGCCAGGGATTGGAGGGAGGAAGGATGAATAGGCAGAACACAGAGGATTTTTCAGAATAGTGAAACTATTCTGTACTACAATGGCAGATACATGACATTATATACATTTGTCAAAACTCATAGAATGTACAATACCAAGAGTGAACACCAATGTGAGCTATGGACTTTGGGTGATAATGATGTGTCAATGTAGGTTCATCAGTGGTAACAAATGTACCACTCTGGTTTGGGATATTGATGTGGCAAGGTTGTGTGTGTGTGGGCACAGAAGACACAAGGGGACTCTTGTTTTCCACTTAATTTTGCTGTGAACCTAAGACTTCTCTTGAAAATAAAGTTTCTTAATTTTCAAAAAGAAAGAAATAAAATGAATGAACGAATGACTCAAAAGGAGAGAAATAAAATGAATGAATGAATGACTCACTCTATTCTTCATGTGCATTAGGATGGCTTATCAAAAAAACAGAAAATAACAAGCATTGGCAAAAATGTAGAAAAATTGGAACCCTTGTGCATTACTGGTGGGAATGTAAAATAGTGTTGCTGCTGTGAAAAAATGCATGGTAATTCCTCAATTTAATTATAAAAGAATGATCTTATGATCCAACTATTCTATTTTTGAATATATACCCAAAAGAACTGAGAGCAGGGACTTGAACAGATGTTTGTACATCTATGTTCACAGGAGCATTATTGACAACAGTCAAAAGAGGAATCAATCCTCGAGTCCATGGTCAGATAACTGGATAATGTGATCTATGCATACAATGTAATATTATTCGGCCTTATAAAGGGAGGAAATTCTGACACATGTTATAATATGGATGGACCTAGAGCAGCAGCCCCCAACCTTTTTGGTACCAGGGACTGGTTTCATGGAAGACAATCTTTCCACAGATAGCGGAGGAGGATGGTTTCAGGATGAACCTGCTTGATGTCAGATCATCAGACATTAGATCCTCATAAGGAATGTGCAACCTAGATCCCTCCATGCTCAGTTAACAATAGGGTTCGCACTCTTAAGAGAATTTAATGCCCCCACTGATCTGATAGGAGGCAGAGCTCAGGCAGTATTGCTCTCGCTGGGCCTGCTGCTCACCTCCTGCTGTGCAGCTAGGTTCCTAACCACTTACTGGTACTGGTCCATGGCATGGGGTAGGGGTGTGGGGGTGGAGGTTAGGGGGGGTGGGAACTCCTAACCCAGGGGACATTATGCTAAGGGAAAGAAGCCAATCACAAAAGGACAAATACCGTATGATTCCACTTATGTGAGGTACCTAGAGCCGTCAAATTCCCAGAGACAGAGAGTAGAATGGGAGTTGCCAGGGCCTGGAGGGAAGGCAGCAGGGAAAGTTATTGTTTAATGGGCATAGAGTTTCAGTTTGGAAGATGAAAAGAGTTCTGGAGATGGACGGTTGTACAACAATGTGAATGTATTTAACGCCCCTGAACTGTACACTTAAAAATGGTCAAAATGTTAAATTTTATGTTAGATGTATTTCACCACAATTTTAGAAATTTAAACAAGTAAGACTCTCAATATCCCATACTAAGCAAATGACAGATACAGCTTATATCTTATATTCTGATCAAAACAAAAAGTACATTTCTTTGAAACATAAAAAAGAAATGTTTAGCTGGGCACAGTGGCTCATGCCTGTAATCCCAGCACTTTGGGAGGCTGATGGGGAGGATCGCTTGAGCCCAGGAGTTTGAGAATAGCCTGGGCAACATGGCAAAACCCTGCCTCTAAAAAACATTTAAAAATTAGCTGGATGTGGTGGCACATGCCTGCAGTCCCATCTACTTGAGAGGCTGAGGTGGGGGGATTGTTTGAGCCCTGAGTGTTGAGGCTGCAGTGAGCTGAGATCGTACCACTGCACTCTCCAGCTTGGGTGACAGAGCGAGTCCCTGTCTCACAAAAAACTACAACAACAACAACAACAACAAAAACCCCCAAAACAAAAAACAGCAACAACAAAAACCCACAAATGTTTAAAATGCAAGAAAAAAAGTCCTTTGCTTCTTAGTCCATGACTTTGAAAAGTGACAGACTAGAAGATTATAGTCTCATATCTGAGGCAGCATCCAACAGGATAACTGGGCCCAGTTAAATCACCAGCCAATTTTCATATTGTATCACCAGCGAATGGCATGGTGCCATTTGACTCTTGGTGCCAGGAGGAGACAATCAATGTGGAATTTTCCACAGAATGCTATTTACCATGAGTATTGGCATATACCATTTAACTTTCACATTGCTTGGACCACATGAAAGCTGAAAAATCATTGCCCAAGTTTGGAGGTGCAATTGTCTATGCCTACCCCCAAATTCTTCATTCTGATGAAATCATAAACCTTAGCAGTCCTTAGAAAAAGTACATTGGCCTAGGAAGAAAAACATCATTTACCCTGCAGAGAGTCTTTCCCTTTTCAAAATTCCTTCTGATATAGTTTCCTAAAATCTCCAGAAACATCTGCCAAAGAGGTAATGTTCATAACGACAATGATGATGATAATGCAGTTATCCCCAAGTCTGAGTGCCATTTCTGTGCCAGGGACAGAGTGTGGCATTTTACATGTATAGAAGGGTTAGTTTCATTGTCCCAATAACCTTTCCAAGCAAATATTTTTCATCTAGCTTTTAAAGATGAAAAAATTGAGTTTCAAAGAAATGAAGTAATGTGTCCAAGGTAAGGTGGCAAAGCTAGGATTTAAATCCAGATCTCTCTAACTCCAAAAACTATATTCTTTCCTTTATACTATGCTACCTTTACTAATATTCCTATATCTTGGATGAATACCACCACCTTGCCATGTCTTATGCTTGTCATTGGCTAAGCTAGTGACCAGGCTGGGAGTTATGGCTCAGAATGGAGGTGCCCTCAGTAAGAGAAATGAGACAGGAATCCACCATACAGCCTCCCGCCCTGAGCACTTCTTCCAACACTCTAAGCCATCAACAGGGCCTTGTAGCAACAATTGCATCTGTTTATCAAGCAACTGTTGTACCAGGCACTACAGCGGAGCCTTTACGTGCTTTATCTCTAAGCCTTATAGCAATTCCAGAAAGCAGGTATGTTATCCTCATTTTATAGATGAGGCTGAGAAAGGTAAATGACATGCAAAACAAAACAGCTAGTCAGTGGCTAACTTTCCTCTTCTTACTGTAATGCCTAATGGCAGTAACCCAGAGCCAGTTTACGGAGAAAAGCAGAGGGTGGTGCGATGATAAACTAGGCTATCACCCATGAGACAGGCAATCTGGAGGAATTAAATATTGGGGGATTGGGTAGGATGATGAGGGCAAAGAGAACCTTGCCATCTTGAATTTTTTAAAGAAATTGCCTAAGTTTTCTAGACCTATGCAAATAAATACCGTGTGTTATTGTTCCTGGAATAAACTGCTTTGAATCTATACTTGAATGCACTGAGATTATTGATTCACCTGCTTCCAGTGTATATTATTATGCACACAGCTCTAATTTACTGCATCTGAAACAGCCCCTCGGAGCCCGATTCTCTGGCTATTGGCTTTGGTGAAAGATTCTTCTCAGATCATGTATTTACATTGCAGGTGATATTATAGAAAAGGTTTTGTTAAGAAACTCTCACTGGAGAGTAGAGTAATTTATACAAGATATTTGGACATCCTCCTTAGCCCCATTGCCCAACCCCTTCCCATTCCTCCCCTTCATTCTTGTTCTGAATGTTAAACTTTTACACACACTGCTCTAATGATATGATAATGCTTTTGGGTTAATATGTTTTTGCTGTTGAACTCCAGGGCAACGACTTGAGCCTCATCTATTAATTTGACTATGAGACGGGTTCAAGATAGAGTAGTTACAATAATCCTTTCCACTGGGGATAAAGGGAAAAGTGCAAGACTAAGAATAGCAGCACACATAAATAAAACACAGTTTCTTCCTATCTGTCAGGAAGACGAGGCAACCACTGGGCTGGCTACTTGCTAACATGGTGTCCACAACTCCTGCTCAACCCATGCATGGGTCCTTAATAATTATCCTGGACCCACTCAGCCAGAAAGTGCTTCCTAAATAACCTTTTGTCAATAGTGGTTTGAATTAAGACCAAGTTCTAGATGCAATAGTGTTCAATGGATAGGCTTTATTCTCACCCTCCTCCCATGACTGCCTCCCTAGGCAGGACACTAGTGAGACTCTACAAGGAAAGGAATTTTACTCAATTTGTTATGAGATGAATGGTGCCTCCCACTAGTTCCTATGTTGAAGTCCTAACCCCCAGTACCTCAGAATCTGATTGTATTTGGAGACAGGGCCTTAAAAAAGTTAATTAAGGTAAAATGAGGTCATATGATTGGGCCCTACCCCAGTACAATTGGTGTCCTTATAAGAAGAGATTAGGACACAGATACACAGAGGAAAGACCATGTGAGGACATGGTGGGAAGACAGCCATTTGCAAGCCAAGGAAGGCCTCAGAAGAAACCAACCCTGCAGGCACCTTGATTTTGGACTTCCAGCCTCCAGAATGGAATGCAATTAATTTCTGTTGTTTAAACCACCCAGTCTGTGCTACTTTGTTATGGCAGCCTAGCAGACTATATATAATTCTACTCATCTGCAAAGAACAGTGTTTCAGTAGAGCTTGGGAGGGAGAAAAACTCACTGTTGTTTAGCTTTGCCTGCATGCCAAACACTCACTCATGAGACCTCATTTAATCCACACAACTGCTGGGACATTTGCACTTTCCAACCAGTGAGCTCTCTTCACGAAGGGCTTCTGTGAACTTACTTTCTCCACAGCTGCAAATTTTAAAGTCAATTGTAGATAAACTATGACTCTCACTTGTCATGGGAATTTGGGGAAACAAGAAACCGAAGACTAGGAATTGAGAAGAGAAGTGGGAGATCCAAGTCTAGAAATCTGAGGATCTGGTAAAAGCTATAAAACTTCTCCCTGGCAAAACACATTCATGGCCATGAATCCAGAATGCTGACTTCAATTTCAAGGGTTAATGCACAGTTGGAAACTCACTCACAGACTCTGCAGGATTCATAGACCCCAGCTTATGAACCCTAGAGTAGAGAGTTTCAGTGAAGTCCTAGTAGAGAGGAGATGATGGAGGTGAGGAAAAGGGAAAAGAGAGGAGGAGAGGAAGAAGGAGGGAAGGAGAGGAGAGATGAGGGGAGAAGGAAGGGAGAATGGAGGAGTGAGGAGAGGAGTCAATGGAGGAGAAAAGCAAAGAAGAAGGAAGGGAAGAATAAAGGAGAAGGGGAGCAAGCAGAAGAGAAGTGAGGATGGGGATGGGGAAGAGGAGAAAAGAGAGAGAGGAGGGAAGGGGGAGACGAGGAGCAGTAGAAAAGGGAGGAGGGGATGAGAAGGGGCTGGGGTCTGTCCACACTTGTCCAGGCAGGGCTAAAGCCAAGGATAGGGTGTGGTGATTGCAAATCCAAGTCTTGACCTCAGAAAGGCAGTCAGTACTGGGGGACCAGATGTGGGGAAATCTTCGCACATGTTACCTGCAAGCATGCATAATAAACATTTAAACATGTCACTGAAATCATGAAAGAGGGAACCTAAGGAATTCCTAGTCCTCATGGAAATTATTAGTATGAAATTCACAGGTACTAAAACAGGTGTAACTGGCACAGTTCCTTAGGTGGGATGCCTTTCTTGTTGAATTTTAGGGAACGTAAAAACATGGGTAGGGGCTTAGCAAGTCATTTAAAATACTATTTTGTATGAATGTAAACACAGATATGGTATGGCACAGAATGCAAAATTTCATGTTGTCATAATACATGATCTTGAATAAGGTACTTTAATAGTTTCAATTCCCACATTCATAAAAAAATCTAAGAGGAACTAAGAAGTGATGTAACACATGTAAACCCTCAGCATTTAGTAGGTATTTGGCAAATACAAGATCCCTTCCCTTTTTCAGAGGCAGTTAGCCACCATCTCTCTGTGTTCCCACCACAGTCTCCTGCTCCTCCATCACACAAGCATTTATCATAATTATATGATTTATGTCTGTTTCTCGAGTGAAGGAGTATGCTTCCTAAGAGTAGGGACTGTGTCCTGTTCTTTTCTGGTTCCCAGGCCTTAGCACCATGTCAGCATACAGTAGGTGTTCATCAAACACTGCAAATGAATCAAACATACCTTTTTTAAACACTCTTGTGATGTCCTGTGACAGCTCTTCCCATGTCATTTAGCACTACTCTCTCTCCTAGAACGAGAGCCCCTTGAAGTCCAAAGCTAGGTCTTAATCGTCTTTTTATGCTCTGGATATGTAGTGCCTGTGTAAGGTGTTGTAGGGCCTCCATAAGTATTTGCCAAGTGGATTTTCCTTTGATTTGAAATGGAACCAAAGCTAATATTGACTGACCACAGCTGGCAAGAATAATAGAAGAGAGGCCTGAGAGCGCAACATCAGAAGTTGCCCAGTCCTGCTGGTTTTGCCAACTCAGACTTGCCTGCGCAGCCTCCGTTGATGGCCCCACTCCTGTTGTCAGATCACAGAGCACTCTGGGATCTCTACGCCACTGACGGTTAGAAGAAATGCTTCAGAGGCAGTCACCTGTAGGCTTAGAGGTTGCTTTTCCACATGTAGCAGGATTTAGATAGAGATGACTCCCATTCTTTTTAAAGGGGGAGCCTTCTGGAACCTTCAGTCCAAGCAACGTGAATCTCTCCCTTCTCTGTGCTCCTACTGCAGCTTGAAAGGAAAAAAGAAATCCTCTAACTTTATCCCCATTACAGGGTACTCCCCTATTTGCCTGTTTGTCTTACTTGGTAGACCTCACCACCACGGCATTTTAAAAGATGGTCACATTTTTCGCTTAGACACAAACTCCCGTGGCTGCCTCTTGTCAGCTACCAGTTAAATTGCCCTGGGCACTGTGTTTATGTCTCAAGTCTCAGCTTCCTCATAAGTAAAATGGGAATAAGAAGGCCTGTGTCACCCTTGGTAAGAGGCTTAAGTGAGATCACACGTGTAAATACGTGGCCTTGCACCTTGTAAATGGCAAATGTCTTTCTTTTTCCTCTCTGCCCTCTTTGGAGGGCAGGACTAAGTCTTATTTTTCTTTAAGACCTTCAAGACCTGGCACAGGACTTGGCAAAGGACAGATCCTCAGTATTTACTTTTAGAATAAATGAATGAGAGTCAAAAATAATACAACACTATCCCCTATTCCCTCAAGAAGCATCATGAAGACCCTAATACAGGCAGCCCATTCAAACAGACATACAGGTTCTGGCCGAATAAATGTGGAAGGAATCACATAAAAATGTAAATAGTCAATATGAATAGGTGATGCAAGTCAAGAAATGTGTGGTTTTGTTAATGTTGCAAAGCAGTTTTCATTATAATTACAGTTTAAAAAATATTTTCGTCCCTCTCCCTCTCCCGTCTCCCTCTCCCTCTCCCTCTCCCGTCTCCCTCTCCCTCTCCCTTCTCCCTCTCCCTCTCCCGTCTCCCTCTCCCTCTCCCGTCTCCCTCTCCCTCTCCCGTCTCCCTCTCCCTCTCCCGTCTCCCTCTCCCTCTCCCGTCTCCCTCTCCCTCTCCCGTCTCCCTCTCCCTCTCCCGTCTCCCGTCTCCCTCTCCCTCTCCCGTCTCCCTCTCCCTCTCCCGTCTCCCTCTCCCTCTCCCGTCTCCCTCTCCCTCTCCCGTCTCCCTCTCCCTCTCCCGTCTCCCTCTCCCTCTCCCGTCTCCCTCTCCCTCTCCCTCTCCCGTCTCCCTCTCCCTCTCCCTCTCCCGTCTCCCTCTCCCTCTCCTTTCCACGGTCTCCCTCTCATGCCGGGCCAAAGCTGGACTGTACTGCTGCCATCTCGGCTCGCTGCAGCCTCCCTGCCTGATTCTCCTGCCTCAGCCTGCCGAGTGCCTGCGATTGCAGGCGCGCGCCGCCACGCCTGACTGGTTTTCGTGTTTTTTTGGTGGGGACGGGGTTTCGCTGTGTTGGCCGGACTGGTCTCCAGCTCCTAGCCGCGAGTGATCCGCCAGCCTCGGCCTCCCGAGGTGCCGGGATTGCAGACGGAGTCTCATTCACTCAGTGCTCAATGGTGCCCAGGCTGGAGTGCAGTGGCGTGATCTCGGCTCGCTACGGCCTCCACCTCCCAGCCGCCTGCCTTGGCCCCCCAAAGTGCGGAGATTGCAGCCTCTGCCCGGCCGCCACCCCGTCTGGGAAGTGAGGAGCGTCTCTGCCTGGCTGCCCATCGTCTGGGATGTGAGGAGCCCCTCTGCCTGGCTGCCCAGTCTGGAAAGTGAGGACAGTCTCTGCCCGGCCGCCATCCCATCTAGGAAGTGAGGAGCGTCTCTGCCCGGCAGCCCATCGTCTGAGATGTGGGGAGCGCCTCTGCCCCGCCGCCCCATCTGGGATGTGAGGAGCGCCTCGTCCCGGCCGCGACCCCGTCTGGGAGGTGAGGAGTGTCTCTGCCCGGCCGCCCCGTCTGAGAAGTGAGGAGACCCTCTGCCTGGCAACCGCCCCGTCTGAGAAGTGAGGAGCCCCTCCGCCTGGCTGCCACCTCGTCTGGGAAGTGAGGAGCGTCTCCGCCCCCCATCCAGGAGGGAGGTGGGGGTCAGCCCCCCGCCCAGCCAGCCGCCCCGTCGGGGAGGTGAGGGGCGCCTCTGCCCGGCTGCCCCTACTGGGAAGTGAGGAGCCCCTCTGCCCAGCCAGGAGCCCCTCTGCCCAGCCAGCCGTCCCGTCCGGGAGGGAGGTGGGGGGGGGTCAGCCCCCCGCCCGGCCAGCCGCCCCGTCCGGGAGGGAGGTGGGGGGGTCAGCCCCCTGCCCGGCCAGCTGCCCGGTCTGGGAGCTGAGGGGCACCTCTGCCCGGCCGCCCCTACTGGGAAGTGAGGAGCCCCTCTGCCCGGCCACCACCCCGTCTGGGAGGTGTACCCAACAGCTCATTGAGAATGGGCCATGATGACGATGGCGGTTTTCTGGAATACAAAAGGGGGCAAGGCGGGGAAAAGATTGAGAAATCGGATGGTTGCCGTGTCTGTGTAGAAAGAAGTAGACACGGGAGACTTTTCATTTTGTTCTGTACTAAGAAAAATTCTTCTGCCTTGGGATCCTGTTGATCTGTGACCTTACCCCCCAACCCTGTGCTCTCTGAAACATGTGCTGTGTCCACTCAGGGTTAAATGGATTAAGGGCGGTGCAAGATGTGCTTTGTTAAACAGATGCTTGAAGGCAGCATGCTCGTTTAAGAGTCATCACCACTCCCTAATCTCAAGTACCCAGGGACACAAACACTCTGCCTAGGAAAACCAGAGACCTTTGTTCACTTGTTTGTCTGCTGACCTTCCCTCCACTAGTGTCCTATGACCCTGCCAAATCCCCCTCTGTGAGAAACACCCAAGAATGATCAATAAAAAAAAAATAAAATTAAAAAAAAAAATATTTTCAGCACAGAGTCTGTATCAGTATCTTGAGCATATTAGAAAAAGTTTTCAAGAATAACCTAGACGATATGATTATTTTCCCTACAGGGATTGTGTGGTGACAGCCTTTTCTGGCCAACAGCTCAAAGCTGCTTGCTTGTGACTCTGTTCCCAGCAAGGTTGTAGGCAGGGGATGTGGCAGAAGATACAGGAGTAGCTCAAGGAGCCTCACAAGTTCCTCTTGGTTCTTCCCCTTCCTCTCCAGCCTCCCAGCGCCCAGGACCCCTGCCTGAGCAGTGAGAGGCCCTGATTGATGCCCAGGACAGCAAGCTTTCCCACCAGCACCAACCTCACCATTTTCTTTCAGTATTTGAGGACTGAAAAGAAGGCTTCATAATGATGGGTACCATTTCTGGAGCAGCTCACTAAGGTCCCTGTTCTAGAATTTTACTCATCCTCTTCCTCATTTGACAGATTTGGAACCTGGGCCTCAGACGGCTATGACCTGCCCAAGACCTCACAAGTAGTGAGGTGGGCAGGGCAGCCGGAACTCAGGTGTCAGTGAGGGAATACTGATGTTCTTTCCATGTGAAATGCTGCCTCCCATCAGGATGACTTACATTTTAGGGGTTTCATGTGGTGGGATCATTTTTGACTTTAGTCTCTTGTATTCCGCTTTTCCCTAGGTCCTACGGCACTGTCTGGTGCATTGGACTGAGAATCAGGAGACAAAGCTTGTGGCCCGGCCGGTCATACTCTGAGTTGCTGCAAGTCATGGTCTCTTTTTGTCCTTCACCTGCTGAGTGACGAGTTGGGCTGGATGGCTTCTGTAGGAAACTCCCCACAGACTGACACATCTGATCCTACAAGTGTCCATCCACATAGCAGGGTCCCTGACACTTACCAAAGAGTGAAGCACAGTGCCAGGGACACGGTGGCCTCACTCATTCTCACAGTAGGTGGGCAGATGGGTTCTTCTCTCCCACCTTGCAGGGAAATAAAATGAAAATGAAAGCTCACAGAGGTCAGGTGATAGTCAACCTGCCCAAGGTCACACAGCTAGAAAATGGCAACTGTGTTGGGTTTCAGGAGGGGTATGAAGGATGGGAGTGTTTGGAGGTTGGGGGCAGCCCAGCTGCTGAGACATCCAGACAGGGCCATGGGAGTGGAGAGCAGGGGTAATATGGTTTGGCTGTGTCTCCACCCAAATCTCAGTTTGAATTGTATCTCCCAGAATTCCCACCTGTTGTGGGAGGGACTCAGGGGGAGGTAATTGAATCATGGGGGCCGGTCTTTCCTGTGCTATTTTCATGACAGTGAATAAGCCTCACGAGATCTGATGAGTTTATCAGGGGGTTTTTGCTTTTACTTCTTCATTTTTCTCTTGCTGCCGCCACGTTAGAAGCGCCTTTTGCCTCCCACCATGATTCTGAGGCCTCCCCAGACATGTGGAACTGTAAGTCCAATTAAACCTCTTCTTGTTCCCAGTTTTGGATATGTCTTTATCAACAGCATGAAAACGGACTAATATAGTAAATTAGTACAAGCAGAATAGGGCATTGCTGAAAAGATACCTGAAAATGTGGAAGCAGCTTTGGAACTATGTAACAGGAAGAGATTGGAACAGTTTGAAGAGCTCAGAAGAAGATAGGAAAATGTGGGAAAGTTTGGAACCTCATGGAGACTTGTTGAATGGCTTTGACAAAAATGCTGATAGTGATATGATCAATAAGGTCCAGGCTGAGGTGGTCTCCAGTGGAGATGAGGAAATATTGGGAACTGGAGCAAAGGTGACTGTTGTTATGTTTTGGCAAAGACACTGGAATCATATTGCCCCTGCCCTAGAGATTTGTGGAAATTTGAACTTGAGAGAGATGATTTAGGGTATCTGGTGGAAGAAATTTCTAAGCAGCAAAGCATTCAAGAGGTGACTTGGGTACTGTTAAAGGCATTCAGTTTTATAAGGGAAACAGAGCATAAAAGTTTGGGAAATCTGCAGCCTATGTGACAGAAAAGAAAATTCCATTTTCTGGGGAGAAATTCAAGCCAGCTGCAGAAACTTGCATAAGTAGAAAGGAGCCTAATATTAATCCCCAAGACCATGGGAAAAATATCTCCAGGCCATGTCAGAGACCTTCACAGCAGCCCCTCCCATCACAGCCCTGGAGGCCCAGGAGGAAAAAGTGGTTTTGTAGGCTGGGCCCAAGGTCCCTGTGCTGTGTGCAGCCTAGGGACTTGGTGCCCTGTGTCCCAGCCACTCCAGCCATGCCTGAAAGGGGCCAACATAGAGTTCAGGCTGTGGCTTCACAGGCTGGAAGCCCCAAGCCTTGGCAGCCTCCACATGGTGTTGAGCCTGTGGGTACACAGAGTCAATAATTGAGGTTTGGGAACCTCTGCCTAGATTTCAGAAGATGTATGGAAATGTCTGGATGCTGAGGCAAAAGTCTGCTGCAGGAGTGGGGCTTTCATGGAGAACCTCTGCTAGGGCAGTATAGAAGGGAAATGTGAGGTCAGAGCCCCCATAGAGAGTCCCTACTGGGGTACTGCCTACTACTGGAGCTGTGAGAAGAGGGACACCATCCTCCAGACACCAGAATGGTAGGTCCATTGACAGCTTGCACCGTGCACCTGCAAAAGCCGCAGAAATTCAACAACAGCCCGTGAAAGCAGCCAGGAGGAAGGCTGTACCCTGCAAAGCCAAAGAGGTGGAGTTGCCCAAGACCATGGGAACCCAGCTCTTGCATCAGTGTGACCTAGATGTGAGATCTGGAGTCAAAGGAGATCATTTTGGAGCTTCAAAATTTGACTGCCGCTGGATTTTGGACTTTCATGGGCCCTGTAACCCCTTTGTTTTGGCCAATTTCTCCCACTTGGAATGGCTGTATTTACCAAATATCTGTACTCTCATTGTATCTAGGAAGTAACTAGCTTGCTTTTGATTTTACAGGCTCATAGGTGGAAGGGACTTGCCTTGTCTCAGATGAGACTTTGGACTGTGGACTTTTAGGTTGATGCTAAAATGAATTAAGACTTTGGGGGACTGTTGGGAAGGCATGATTGGTTTTGAAATGTGAGGACATGAGATTTGGAGGGGCCAGGAGTGGAATTTTATGGTTTGGCTGCATCCCCACACAAATCTCAACTTGAATTGTATCTTCCAGAATTCCCATGTGTTGTGGGAGAGACCAGCGGGAGGTAACTGAATCATGGGGGCTGGTCTTTCCCATGTTATTCTCATGATAGTGAATAAGCCTCACGAGATCTGATGGGTTTATCAGGGGTTTCCATTTTTGCTTCTTCCTCATTTTTGTCTTGCTGCCGCCATGTTAGAAGTGCCTTTCGCCTCCCACCATGATTCTGAGGCATCCCCAGACATGTGGAACTATAAGTCCTGTTAAACTTCTTTTTGTTCCCAGTTTCGGGTATGTCTTTATCGGCAGCGTGAAAACAGACTAATGCAAGAGGGCATCTCGCAAGCCTGGACTGAGGGGAGATAGCACCAACCTGAGCCCAACAGGCCTGGCTCTGAGTCCAGGCCCTGCTGCTCCTTAGCTGTGTGACACTGGAGAAGTCACCGTGTGTCTCTGAGCCTGTTTCTTCACCTTGGCTCATCTCGTAGGCTTGTTGAGAAGATCAAATGGGAAAACAGGTCTGAAAGCTACTATGGAAGTCCACAGCCTCAGCCTCAGCACTGACTGGTTCTATGTCCCCTTAAGCCTCAGTGTCTCTGTCTGTGAAACTGGGGTCCTAACCCGACCTATCGGGGTGTTGTGGAGAGTAGTGCCTGTGTCTGAGGAGTCAGCCCCCGGCTGGTGCTGTTGATGGTAGCCGTTTGCCATTCCTATCATGGACAAGGTCTGTACAGGTGTGTGTTCAGATCAGACACTGTTCCCCATGTTTCCTGAGGACATTTCCAGGGGGTGCATTCTCTTCTTAACAGGGCCTCAGTCACACTTGTTCTCAGGCTTCTGGCCCCATTGTGCTGCTCATCAAACAGAACATTCTAGAGGCTGGAAGCCTCATTTTCTCTCCTCTTCCAGGCCTGGAGACTTGTCTCTCAGCTGTGACAGGCCTGAGAGCCCACCTGACCCACATTTCTAGAACTTTCCAACCAGCCTCACTGACAGAGCCTTGTAGCAGTAGCCTCAGCATGAGGAGGAAACAAGCTGCCTCCCTCAGCAAGGCTTATGGATGCGTGTTCAGCAGATGGCGCCTGGTCATGCCCAGGGTTAAGAGGTTTTCAGCAAAAAGCAAAAAGGCTCTGAGTCCTCAATATTCCATGCCAGACTGGGGCCCTTTTCCCCCATGCTTTCATTTTACCTGAGCCAACTAGAATGTAGGGCTGGCACTGGTTTCTCTTGGAGGCAAAGGTGTGACTGGAAACAGGCTGGGATGTTCCCACTGACTCACCACAGGTTACTGAGAGCAGTTCGTCTTGCTGGAAGGGACTGGGGATTGTTTCTTCAAGTGGTATCATGCCCATTTGAGCGGGGAGAAAACTCAGAATGAGAGGGGAGACAATGAAGGGAAAGGAGGAATTAAGCTGAGCTTCCCAACCCTGGCTGCTCATTAGAATCACCTGGAAGTTTTTTTTTTTAAAAAGCCCCTGCTTGGGCCCAACCCCAGCTCAGTGGAACCAGAACCAAAAGCTGCTCAGGACCTTTTGCCGGAGAGGTACCTTGTTTGCAGTTAATCCTAAAGCCATGTCAGCATGGGAGCATTAGTCCCAGGCTGGATTGAACCAGGTCCATCTGACCCCCAAGTTCACAAGTACCCAGAATTCCAGTTTAACACTCTCCCCACACATCAACAGCAAACTTCCCACCTAATCCTTTCCACTTCCATCCTCCTGTGATTTCATGTTCCCATTTGGCATTTTATTTTGATGTTCAGGGCATAAAGGGCCAATAGCTTTCCCCAAGTTATTTCTCCTCTGAAGCAGTGAAATAAGTTAGCAATTTTGGAGCCATTTAAAATGCATTGTTTTGCTGGGGGACGTGGTGGGGGGAAACCTGGCTTTCTCTCCTCCTGAACCCTAGCACAGAATGTAGCAGGCTTCCAATCAAGAATTTTTTTTTCAGAGTCTTGTTAGTCATGAAGGTAGAAGCCTTTCTGCACACACTGTGCTCCCGGTGGAAGGAAAGGAGACTCAAACACCTGCAGGCCGTGCAGGCCACTGCTGGAACACAGGCTCAGGGCATAGAGGCCCAAGTTCATACCTGGCCTCTCCCACTCCTCCATGTGTGACCTTAACCTGGGCATCCTCTTTTGTATGATGGCAACACCATCAACCACCTAACAGGCATTCATCAGGATTAGGTAAGAGGCCTAGCACATTGTTTACTCAACAAATAAATAGTAACTATTATTATTAAATGATGAGGATGATAATTATTGTTCAACCACTGCCCTAATCTTTAGTTTCTGTGAGGACAGCCTCCTTGATTAGGCCGCCACTGTGTGAAGAACCACTGAGTGGGGAGGACTGGTCTGGGTTTCCTAACAAAGGCTCTTGTCTTCTCTCTGATGGCCTGGTCTCCCAAATACAATCTATGAGGACCAGGCCACATAAACTAAACAAGTGTCCAAGCTCAGGCACCACCCACAGAAGTTCAGATTCCACTGGCCTGGGGAGGCGCCAGGCCTGGGCTTTCAACACTCGCCAGGTGATTCTAATGAGCAGTCAGCCAGGTTGGGGAGCTCTGCCTGATTCCTCCTTCCCCCTCCTTCCACCACTCTCTCCTTCACAGTCTTTATTTCCTCCCCTCTAAAATGAGAGAGAAGAAGTTATGTGAAGAAACAATTCCCAGCACCACACATGTGCTCTCAGGAAACTGGTGAGTTGGTGGGAATAGACCCAGCCTGCTTCTAGAGACACCGTGGCCTTCAAGAAAAACAGGTGCCAACCCTGCTTTCTAGCCCTGCTTCCATGCACTTAATTGACAAATATGTATTGGGGACCTACTCTGTGTCAGGCACTGAGCAGGATGCTGGGGACGCAGAGGGAGGACAGTGGCATTGTCCTGCCCTTGCGGAGCTTTCCTTCTGAGTGTGTTGAGCAGGGAGATGATGGCACTTGAAGAAGGAGCACGGGGACTAGGAGAAAGATTAAAAGAGGGGGCTGACCTGATCTGCCTGGTCTGGGGAAATCAGAGCAGCCCTCTCTGAGGAAGCAACATGAATTGAAACCTAAGGGATGACCAGGAGGTGGCCAGGAGAAGAAGGGATGGAGTCTGGAGGAGTCCCTGATGTTAGACGCTGCAAGTTAGCAGAACTGGAAGATGGCCAGTGTGGGTGGAGCAAAGAGAGGGGGAAGAATGAGTCAAGATGTGAGTAGAGAGGTCAGATGTTCATTATACAAATACTCGTGGAGAGGTAGAATAATATGGCCAGGGCAGTTAGGAGCAAGCCCACTGTACCCGGTGTGTCTGGATTCAAATCTTGCCTCTCTGTCCTCCTCTCCAAATTGGAGATGATGATAATACTACCTACTTCAAAGGGTTTTTGTGAAGATTAAATTTGCTAATTCATGTAAACCATGTAAAAGAGTGGCTGGAATACAGTAAGCTGTATAAACATTTGCTGTCGTTACTATTATGTGCTAGGCATTCATTGTTTCAGCCGCCTCATCTGCAAGATAAGAATAATAATGTCCCTGACTCGGAATGTGAAGATTGAATGAGAAGGCACAGGTGGAATACTTCCATTACCTGATACGTGGTGAGCCTGCAATACAAGTTCATTGTCATTATTTATCCATAATCGTTATGTGTGCTGAGTAGAGGATATGGGACTTTTTGGAACAAACTTGCAAGCAATCAAATACCCAGAAATGGGTGGAGCTCTCTCAGGGAATGCCCTTCCATTACAGATATGCAGTCCTGGGGCTGGACAGCTCACTTAAGCAGGGTGGCTGGATGTGGTGCCCTTGTAGTCTAAGAATCCACAATTCTACTCATCTGTAATCTCTATTGATTTCCACCCATCTCTAAAATTTTTCAGGAACATGTCCCGGAGGGTTTAGTCCCAGACAGTAATCCTCTGCTGCCTGTTTTCCTGCTGTGGTTGGGAGACATTCAATCCAGACAACTCCTCCTCCACAGCAGCTGACAATGGCTGTAAGAAGTGTGCCACACAAGGGTGAAAAGTGGTTCCCTGGGGTTGGCACCCAGCATTCTCTGCCCTTGCAGCATACAGGACAGCAGTGGCCTCACCATACCAACCAAGGTCACGGTGAGGCTGATAAGCAACTTCCCAGGCAGACACCTTGGAAAAAACTGACTGAGATCCAGCTCAGGACCTGCAGCATCTCTAGAAGCATCCAGTCACTCTTCTCGCCTTCTCTCCTGGGGTGCCGTTCATTTCTGCCCTCTAAAAATAGCAGTGGTTATTCAGGGAAATGCACCGTGCTCTGTCTCTAGGGATGCCAACGCAGGCCTCTTTCAAAAATAGAACCCCAATCAGTTGTGCTTCCTAGCTGTCTCTTCCTCCAGTCTCAGAATCCTTCAGAAGGACCCAGAGGCAGGGCAGCAGTCCGATGCTGGGCATCACATAGTGGGGAGAGCTAGAGCTGGGGCTTCTCACCCAGGTTTATCTCCTTCTAAATATCTCCACTTTTAAAAGTCCACTTCACCTTACTCCGCATTGAATCTAGTGTCCCCCAGGACATGCCATAGGTTCCTTCATCAGTGCTGGAAGGGACCTCAGAGATTTACTCCCAGAGCAAACTTGGCCCAGGAAGGGCAAGGGTCATCCAAAGTCACACATCAGAGCAATGCAGGCTGGGCCTTCCAGGCTTACTCCTCATCACTGTGTGGCCAGGCCTGGTGCCCTTAAGGGACACGGGCATCCATTAAAACACTAGAGGCAGCTGCTATTTTCATCCCATCTCTCTTTGGCTCAGCTGACACATGGATGCCTTTCAATTCTAGGCTGATCGTTCTTGACAGAACATTTCAAAGTCAAGGCAGGGGCAGGAGAGGAGGACAAAGCTGTTGCTCCAGGCACAAGCACAGCCTCTGAACGTTTTGCCTGTCACTAGTAGTTTCTGTCCATACTAGGGGATTATTATGCCCTGGAAAAACTTCTAGCTGGGGCATTACAAGTGACTCATACTCTGGTTGCCTTAATACCCAGAGTCATCCAGGAGAGATGCTTGTCAGACCTTGTTTAATCAGTCCCAGCAGAAAGTATGCTTGAAGGATGAACACTATTATAATTATGCCCCACACAGCTTTCTGACATTATTGAAAAAGTTCGTGCTGCAGAGGGTCTGCAGGAAGAATCTTTTGTTCCAACTGGTACAGCGGGGCCCATCATTAGGACTCATGGACATTAGTAATTCCAGAAGTAGGACATCACACAACACAGAGAATATGATCTTGGCTGGAAGAAGGCAGTTGGGAAGTTTGGGCTTGGCCTCATGCTATTCCATCATCTTGTGAGTAGGGCCTGAAAACTGCGTTTCTAACAGTAGTGTTTCTAACAGTAGTGTTGACACTGGTGGTCCAGGGACTGCACTTTGAGAACCACAGAAATAGCCACCTGCCTTGCTTTCCTCATGGGATTCTAGTGATGCCTCCTTTGGAAGAGCTGTGGCTAGTCCAGCTCTGCCATATGCCTGCTGTGTAGGACCCTCAGACCATCACTTATCATCTCTGAGTCTTGGGTTTCCTACTTTTAAATGGAAATAACTCCTACCATGTGTACTTCAGAGTGGCGAAGGTCAAAAGAGAAATAACCAGGCAAAAAAAAAAAAAATTCTGAAAATCATAAAGATTACTCAAATAACACACATTTATTGGGTACCTACCATAAGTCAGAAGCTCTGTTAGATGCAGGGGATACTGGCATGAATCAACCAGAATTCCTGCCCTTAGGGAGCCCAGGGGAGAATGGGGAAGAAGATAAATGAACCACTGATATAGTCCCGTGCAGTAACAGAGACTCACAGAAGCATGAAGGAGGGGTGGGGCAAGTGGCTGAAAGCCCTCTGATTTCATCTTTAGGGTGAAGGGAAACCACTGTAGGGTTTTCAGGTAAAGTGACCCAATCTCATTTGTTTTATGGGAAGATCAGTGTGGGCTGGGGAATGAGTCATCAAGAGGTGCTAGGCTAGAGGCAGAGAGGCAGGGAGACACTGGGGAGGCTGCTGCAGTGATCCAAGAGTGAATGAATGGAGGGAACTTGATGCATTTGAGAGATATGCAGGATAGGATTCACACGGCTTTGTGACTGGTCAGGTGTGTGAGACAAAGAAGGAGGCAGAACCAGGGTGGCACCCAAGTTTCTGGTCCACTGACTAAGATGGGAAGGACTGGGGAAGTGGGTGGGGGAGGAGATGATGTGAGTCTGTTTGGGGCATGATGAGCCTGAGGTGTCTTTGCTGCCTCCTGTAGACACTGGTCACAGCACTGCCAGGAACAGGACCTCGTCCCATAAACCACTGCCACTCTGACTGCCAGGTCTTCCCTGCTGTGAGGGACTTTTCCCCTTCCACCCTACCCATGCTCTGGCTTTACAGAGCTGCTGTTCTCTGCCTCTTCCACATGCAGCTGTGCCTTTCTCATCCAGAGGCAGCTCCAAAATGAACAACAGTAGCAATCAGCGAGTAATCATCTTTTTTTTCCCTCCTATACAATGTCTGGGTGTGCAGATGATGTTTGTGATTGTTGCAAAAATGGTGGCATGAAAAATTTGGCTCCTGCCAAAGAAAGGAAGGAAAAGAAAACCAATTTAAATAAACTCACATAGTTCAGACCCGATTTGAAGCTTCTTAACCTGGAGCCTGCAAAGGTTCTCTGTCCCTCTGTTCCCTGTGGTGTTTGTTTGGCGGTGGCTTGTTGTTTGGGGGTGGCTTGTAAGAACCTGCCAGGTTGGGACAGTCCAGTGGTGGCCCCTGGGGACTCTGAGAGTCAAGGTGATGGTGGATCTGCTCTAACTTCCACTGTGAGTGCTGGACATTCATGAAGAGCAGTGCTCTGGGCTTTTCACTCACACACAGCTTAGCTCCCAGACAACTGAGAGGAGGTGCTCATGGCAGTTCTAGGTGGCTTTATGAGCACCCTAGACAGAAAGACCATGGACTAGAGGAGGCCCATAATGACAAACTGTCACTGTTACTCTGTTCCCAGGACATGCAAATGGCATCCCACACTGTGCTAAAGGCTTTACCATTGTCTTGGTTTAATTTGTCCTCACAATTGTCCTACAAAGTGGGTATTAATAATCTCATTTTACACAGGAAGAAAATGGAGGGAAAAGTTAATTATGATACTGCAGCTAGTAAACAGCAAAACTGGGATTCTAACCCAGGTTGCCTGATTCAAAAGCCCATGATTGAGCTATAATACAAAAAGACATATAATAACAAATATTGATGAAGATGTGGAGAAACTGGAACCCTTATACACTGCTGGTGGAAATGTGAAATGCCACAGCCTCTAGAAAACATTCTGGAAGTTCTTCAAACAGTTAAACACACCATATGATCCAGCAATTCAACACCTGGGTATTTATTTGCTCAAGAGAAATGAAAACATATCCACAAGGACAAGTGTTTATAGCAACATTATTCATAATAGCATAAAGGTGAAAACAACCCAAATGTCCATCAGCTAAGAAATGGGTAAGTAGAATATGATATGTGCACACAATGGAATATTGTAGTTTTCTCCCTTTATCCACAGAGGATACATTCCAAGGTCCCCAGTGGATGCCTGAAATTAAGGATAGTACCAAACCCTGTATATACTATGCTTTTTTCTATACATACATATCTATAATAAAGTTTAATTTATAAATTAGGCACAATCAGAGATTAGCAATAATAAATAGAGAAATTATAACAATATACAGTCAGACATCTGTATCATGGGGGATTGATTCCAGGACCCCCTGCAGGTATCCAAATCCAAGAATCTTCAACTCCCTCATATAAAGTGGCATAGTACAGTCTCTAATTGTGGATTTCTATCTGCAGTTGGTTGAATTCATAGATGCAAAACCTGTATGTCCAAAGGGCTGACTGTACTGTAATAAAAGTTATGTGACTATCATCTCTCTCCCAAAATATCTTATTGTGCTGTATTCACATGAAAATGAAATTGTGGAAAGTGAAAGTGCTATATTTGGCAAGAAAAAGGAATGAAGTACTAACACATACTACAACCTAGATAAACCTTGAAAACACGCTAAGTGAAAGAAGCCAGCCACAAAAAAACACATGTTGTATGATTTCATTTATACAATAACATTTCCAGAATAGACAAATCCACAGGTGCAGAAAAGAGATTTGTGGTTGCCTAGACCTGGCCAAAGCAGGGATGGGAATAAGGTGGTGCAGGGGGTGGAGGCATTAGGTTAGGAAGAAATCTGGGGTGACTGTTAATGGGTATGGGTTCTTTTGGGGTGAATAATGAAAATTTTCTAAAACGGATTCTGGTGATGGTTTCTCGACTCTGCAAATAGTAAAAAGCACTGAATTGTACACTTTAAATGACTGTATGTATATGTCAATTATGTCTAAATAAAGCTGCTATTTTTAGAAAGTGATGGTTACATATTTAAAAAGAAAAAATGAAGAAAAAGCAACTATAATCCTTCCAAGTAAAAGCATCTGGAATTATTATTTTTTATTCATTCAACAAATCTTGAGCCCCTACTATGGCCTGGGCACCTATCTCTGGGAGCTGTGACTAGAAGTTTCCAGTCTGGTTGGGGAGATACAATGTGGGCACAGAACCATGCTTCATGGTAGAAGAAGCCAAGGGAATTGAAACAGTAGGATACCATTTCATACCCACTAGACTGGCAAAAACTAACTTCTGATATTACCACAATGGCAAAAATGCAGAGCCATAGATAGGCTGATATACTGCTTGAGGGAGAATAAATAGGTATAGTTTGGAAGGAAATTTGGCAGTGTTTAGTAGAGCTGCAGATGTGCCTGCCCTGTGTCCTAGCCATCCTATGCGCTCCTAGGGTATAGTGGGGAGAGTCTTACACATGTGCACAAGAGGATATCAGCAAAAACCTTCACGGCAACACGGCTCGTGCTGGATGACTGGAAACAAACAACCAAGTCCAGCAACAAGTGAAAGGATAAATGAGCTCTATTACAGTCACACAACGGGTTATACACAGTGGTAAGTTCCAACAAAACCCAATATATATCAAGTTTGAAGATATACCAAACGATAGCATCTATTGTTTGTGGATACTGTACATACATATGTAGTAAAAGTACAGAATTGTGTGGGAATGAGCAATACTAAATTCCAGATACTTGTTGCCTCTTAGGAAGGAGAGGAATGAGATTGGGGGGCACACCGTTATCTTCAGTTGTACCTATTATGTTTCTTTTAAAGTTACTTGCAATATCTTTCTTTTTTTAAATTGATATTTGTATTGAGATAATTAAGGGTTCACATGCAGTTTTAAGAAACAAGAGAGAGGTCCCTTTTACACTCTGCCCAGCTTCCCCAATGGTAACATTTTGCAAAAGTATAAAATACTGTCATAGCCAAGATATGGATATAGATACAGTCTACCAATCATATTCAAATGTCCCATTTTACTGGTACTCATGTGTGTATGGGTTAAGTTCTATACAATTTTACCACTCGCATAGGTTTGTGTGTCCATCACCACAGTCGAGATACAGAACGTCTCCACAGGCAAGGATCCTCATGTGTCCTTTTATCTCCATACCCGCATCCCTTCCACCCCCAGCCCAGGTCCTCAACTCCATCAGCCACTCACCTCATTTCTAAAATTTTGTCATTTCAAAAATCAATGAAATCAGACAGTAGTTAAGTTTCTGAGATAGTTTTATTCTCACTCAGTGTAATTCCCTGGAGATTCATCCAAATTGTTATACATAAGACAGTTCATTCCTTGTTAGTGCTGAGTAGCATTCCATAGCATGAATGGACCACAGTTCACTGTTCACCTGTTGAAGGACATCTAGGCTAATTCCAGTTTTGGCTATTATAATAACTAGAATGTTTTAATTCTTGGACTGGGTGGTAGGTATACAGATTTTCACTGTATTCTTTATTCTACTTTTTGATACAAGGAACACTTTATAATTGAAATGAAGGAAGAGAGAAAGGAGGCACTACTAATGTTGAACCAACTCCATGCAGCCACCGTGCTGAGAAGAGGGTAGCTCAGAGTACAGAACTCAGAGTGAATGCTAAGGCCAAGGCCATGGGCCACTGGCAGGTCTGGTGTTCAGGAACAAGGCCAGGGTGCCCACTTGCTTCAAGTTTCTAGGCCTTATAGGGAGCAATGAAGCCTGTCCAAGTCCTTTAGCCTCTGGGCAAGTGCTTAGGGAACCTCCCCTATGGTAGAGCTCTTTCCCATGCCTGGGTATCTGGGTGTGCTGCCCTGAAGTGGGAAAATCAAAAAGAAGGCAGAAGAAAAGAGCTCCCAGTCAGGACATCTAGAAATGCCCCTATGTTCCCAGAGAAGGCAGAAGAAAAAGCCAAGGGGACAGAATGAAATCTGGCATCTCCTGAAGGCCTTGAGAGAGATCTAGAATTGCAGGAAAGTGGCTGCCTGAACAGTGCTGGAACAGAGACTGCCTATTGGAAGGAACTGAGAGCTTTCTTCTAATTTGAGGTCAAAGCTATGTGGGGCTTTTGTTGCCAGTGGTAGATAATGAGGCCCTCCCTGATTCTCTGTGACACTCAGGTGCAGGGGACACAGGTGTAGCCCTGGCTTCCCATGTACTTCTTACACTCTGATATGGTTTGGCTGTGTCCCCACCCAAATGTCAACTTGAATTGTATCTCCCAGAATTCCCACATGTTGTGGGAGGGACCCAGGGGGAAGTAAATGAATCCTGGGGGCTGGTCTTTCCCATGCTATTCTCATGAATAAGTCTCATGAGATCTGATGGGTTTATCAGGGATTTCCACTTTTGCTTCTTCCTCATTTTCTCTTGCCACTGCCATGTTAGAAGTACCTTCCACCTCCGGCCATGATTCTGAGGCCTCCCCAGCTATGTGGAACAATTAAATCTCTTCTTGTTTCCAGTTTCAGGTGTCTTTATCAGCAGCGTGAAAATGGACTAATACACGCTCCTCACCATGTAGCTTTAACCTTCTTTGCCTAAATCCCTGCAAACACCAATTATGAATTTCTTAGTCCTGGGCAGGACTAAGAATGGGACAGTGACAAATTCATGATATAAACATTTACTGGGGGCCTTCGTGGTGCTCAGACATCTCCCTGACCTCAAGAGCTCCCAGTCAGGACATCTAGAAATGCCCCCATGTGCCCAGAGAATGGTGACATATGCTGGGAAGGCCACAGAGACTATCGGCTGTGGGACAGGGGCAGAAGCAAGGCAATGAGCCTGTGGGGTCGGGGCAGGCTGCCTGCAAGTTCACCTCCAGGGGGACCTGGGAGAATGAGCAGGAGTTTGCCAGGCTCAAGGTATCCAAAGGGCTGCACATACTGAGAGAAGAGCTTTGTAAAGGTGCAAAGGCCAGGAAGCACTGCTATGAAAGCTACAACTACTGCTGCTGTTGCCAAGAATAATAATATCCCAACTAACACGGAGTGAGAGTGTTAACCATGTGCCAGGTGGTGTCCCAAGTGCTTTATGTGTATTATCTTATTTGACCCTAACAACAACATTATTTTGTTATTACTACTATATCAATTATACACATAAAGTTCCAGAAGCACAGTGTGGCTAGGTAACTTGCTTTAGGAGATGGACACACTTTGGAAGTAGAAAAGCCCAGATTTGAAACCAGAGCCTGAGCTCCCTGCCATCTGTGATAAACTCTTGGGAAAAGGGATAATACAGGTGGCGGGGTGTGGTGGCTCACACCTGTAATCCCAGCACTTTGGGAGGCCGAGGCAGGTGGATTGCTTGAGCTCAGGAGGTTGAGACCAGCCTGAGTAACATGGTGAAACCCCGTCTCTACAGAAAAATACAAAAATTAGCCAGGTATGGTGGCATGCACCTGTAGTCCCAGCTACTCAGGAGGCTGAGGTAGGAGGATCGCTTGAGCCCAGGAAGCAGAGGTTGCAGTGAACAGAGATTGTGTCACTGTACTCCAGCCTGGATGACAGAGCCAGACTCTGTCTCAAAAAAAAAAAAAAAAAAAAAAAAAGTGGGGGATAATTTAGGGCCTCCTATGATACAGTGTAAAGTCTGGGCTTCCTCTGGAGAGCAACGGGAAGCCACTGAAAATCACTAACTAGAGAGAGTCACAAGCCCACCTCTGACAGGAATGCTATTCCAGAGCCTGCTCTCTGTCACTGTACCATATGGCCTTCTAACATGCTTGCCTCTTAACATCCTGGAATTCTTGCTCTAGAATTCCTAGAGCAGGAGTCTCTATCAGGAGTCTCTCAGAGCACGGGTCATCGGCATCTCAATGGCCAGCAGAGGCTAACAGCAACCAGAATACCCATTCCAGTGGGGCAGACAGAACACCATGAAATTAATGATCAATTGCTACATAGTATTAAGCACATCTATGAGTAAGGCCTTTGCCTATTTTAGAAAAGTGCTATTTATGACAGAGCAACAAACAGTGACAGATTGCTGAGGCTTGCCTTCTGAAGACCCAATTTTGGAGAATTATTCATCTTGAAAGTACTTCTCTCCACCCTGGTTTCCTCATGTGTAAAATGGGGGTGATAAGAATACCTACTATCACTGGGTTGTTGTAAAGATTAAATGAGCTAATACTACTCAGGCAGATACTGACCATGCTACAGATGGTAGTTCTTGATGTTGTTCTTGTGATTATTTTCAACCCAGTGGGAAGAAGCTCGGCTTCATAGCAGATGACCTTGATCCAATTCCAGACTCCCTTACTTCCTAGCTGTGTGACTTAAAGTCATTGACCCTCTCTGAGGCTCTGTGGCCCCATCTGTGTATCAGAAATAACAACGCTTACCTCACTGGGTAGTTGAGAGTGTTAAATGGACTGTGAAATGCCTAGCACGGTGGCTGACATCTAATAGGCGCTCAACAAATGTCTGTTCTCACCCCTGGAGTGTTTTCTGCATACTTGGCTTTTCCACTATGGCCAGAATCCAAAGAGGCAAAGGTTTATGTGCTTCTCATTGCTCCTTTCTACCAGGGGAATTTTCACAAAGGCAATGGGAGGTGGAAGACCCATTTCTCAGCGGGTAAGTCAAGGCAGTACAGCGACAGAGGTCCACAGCCTTGCAAACAACCCTCGGGCCACTACCTCAGTGGCTTTGGATAAACTGACCACCGAGGTGTGCAGCCGCAGGTGCAATTAGCAACAGGAAGCGAGCCCAATGTTTGGGAGGATTTGGTAATTGAATCCACCAAGGATAATGACACTGACCTTCCCATTTGGAAATAAACTAGCATTTGGCTTGTAAATGGCTCTGCAATCATTCTGACTGCACACCCAGCACTGTGCAGCTTCCCTACTCCGAGGATGCAGGATAGGTAAAGAAGGATTGCATCAAAGGGGTTTTGGAAGAGCAGCAACATCCACAGCAGTGGCTGAGTTCACTCTGCTAACCCCAACCCGGCCGGCCTTGGGAAAGGGCAGAATTCCACACTTAGCTTCTGTGGCTGTCTGCTGCTCCTTCCCAAAGCATGGGAGCCCTGGGCCAGAAGGCGTTCCCTCACAGTATTCCTTTTTTAAGCAAATCGGGAACTCCTGGGTTCCCAGCACAATCTGTGGCACCTTTTAAATTTCATCTTAGGTTCACTGCTCCTTCTTCTTCCCTAAGCCTATTCATGTGTTCAGTTAGTCCACCAGGAATAGTAATGAAGCTAACACTGGGTGCTGGAAGACAATGGTGGTATGGGGAGGCCGCGGGCATCCTGAGTGCTCTGAGTAGAGACTGGAGGTGCAATCACAGGGAAGCAGAAGAAGCCTAGGAAGATAGACATGGTCTGGAAAGAAAGAGCTGAAACCGGCATGAGGTTACCAGTGGCCACTGCAGCACTGCTAAGGACCGCTCCAACCTCACCAGTCAGTGCATGGCACCCTGCTAGAACCAGCCTTAGCATTTCTCCCTGTGTGGGGAAAGTATGGTATTTCCAAAGGACAAGACAGGCAGGCCTGGCTTCAAACTCCAGCTTTACCAGGTATCAGCTATATGTCCTTCTCTGCATTGCAGTTTGATTACTGGAAATGGGGACATTTCTATCTCTTAGAGCCAAAAATATATAGGTTTTTATAGTGAAGATAAAACATACAATATGCCTAGCATAGATACCAAGCCATAGTAAGAGTTCAGTAAATGTTTATTTATCCTTACTTAACAGACATAATTGGCACCATATGGGACAATATACTCTTAGCCTCATAAGGTTTGTCTGCTTTACTCAATATTTACATAGGAAGTACGGTGTCCTCTTTAGGATTATTTCTTCAGTCTGACCCTGAGAAAAAATGCACTGTCCTAACTCCTTTGACTTCCCAGTTCTCATCGCCAGCCAGGATGAACAGGGCCTGACCATGTAATAATCTCTGTCACCAGTACCTGTATTTAATAGCAACATGGGGTTCACATCTTAATCGTCATGTCTTCCATGAAAAGCAAGCAACACGAAAGCAGGGATTATGGATTGTCTGCTGTGTGCATGGGAACTGTCATGATAGACTCCAATTGGGTGGACCAAAGGAGCATATTGGTGTCCCTGTTCAATTTTCCAAGAACTGAAAAATATGTCTGGAAAGATACAACAGAAACACATCTTTAAAAGAGCAGCAGTACATAGCAGTAAACACTGAAGGCCAAGCAAACAGTGCCAAGCAAGCGTGGAGTCGTGGGAAAAGCGGTCATGGGCCTTGAAAGAGGCTGATGGGAGTCTGCAGTTTGAATCCCAGCTCTGGCTTTTACTAGCAAGGTAACCTGGGGAGCCCGGAGGGGAGGAAAATCTGCTTATCCATCTGAAAATGGGGAAAACACCGCCAACTGCTGCGATGATGACAGGAAGAATGCCTGGCACATAGTGAGTGCTCATTTTGCTGCTGGTTTCTTTCCTCCTCCTTTTTCTCATTTCCCCCTCTCTTCTAGATAACGGGCATTACTTTATTTGCTAATGAATTAGAATTAGTAGTGGATGACTTTTATCTGCCTATTGGTGACCATAGCCCTCTGTATACATACATTTGTACACCATCAAGAAGTTGCTTATAAAAATACTTTCAATGGCTTCTTACTTTTTAAACAACAATCACAAAAAGCCCCACCTCCTTGGCCTGGCATCCAAACCTTTCCCCGGTAGGCACCGACCCCAACCTGGAACCACACCTGCAACCACTCTTCTGCTTAAATGCTCACCCACCAGGGTTCTGGGTGAGGTGGGGAGTGCAGTTCAGCCTTGGGTTTGGAAAGATGGTAAGAAAGGCAATCTGAAGGCAGTTACACCAACTTGACCTTAAAGCACCAAGAAGATTCTGCTAAACAGACTAAGTTGGGAAAAGCATTCTAGGCCAAGAGAATACCATGTGCAAAGGCCTAAGGTCTCCCTACAGCAGTGAGGCGTCATTCCAGGAGAACTCCTGTCCCCTCTGTACTGAGACTGTTCCCACTTCCCGTCTTCTCTTTACTAGATTCACGGTTGACTTCCTCCTCACTCCCCGCTGGACTCGGGAGTATCTCACCTTTTATACCCACAGTTTTCAAAGTGTGCGCCAGGGATCCCTGAGGGTCCCTAAAACCTTTCAGGAAGTCTGTGAGGTCAAAACTATTTATAACAATGCTACAACATCATTTTCCCTTTTCATTCTGGCTTTCTTATGAACTCACGGTGGAGTTTTCGAGGTTGAATGCAGAAGCAGATACCTCTATATAGCCAAACGTTGAAGGGATTTGCCAAAATGTAAAACAATGCCACTCCATTCATTTCTGTTTCTTTTGGAAAAGTCATTATTCATAAAAATATGTTATTTATGTTAAAGTAAGGGTTTATTATTGTTAATTTAAATAAGTGATAAATGACAATTTTAACATCTTTCAGTATTAATTAATAATATGTCAAATTTTGACAGATATAATCCACATAAATGAAAACCCTTTGGGGTCTTCAATAACGTTGAAGAGTAAAACAGAATGCTGAAATGAGAGAGTTTGAGCACAGGTGCTTTAGGGCATGCTGTGAAGAAGGCAGGAAGGCAGGGGAGGACAAGGTATATTAGTGTTCTTGGGCAGCCTCCTCAGGCAGCAATTTCTGCCCATGACTGGGATCCATTTTGAGTTAATTTTTGTATATGGTGTGAGGAAAGAGTCCAACTTTATGTTTTTGCATGTGGACATTTAGTGCCCCAGCACCGTTTCCTAAACAGACGACTCAGTCTCTCTGTGCCTTGGTAGCCATAACTCTAATGTGAACTTTAAAAGACCACCTTGCAAGGTCTTGTGACATTTAATGAGACAGAGAGAGAAAAACATGATGTGGGTTCCCTGGCATGTAGCAGATGGTCAATGCTTATAACTGAAAAAATGGACCATGGATCTGAAAGTGCTCTGAGGCACGGGCCATCATGATTACCACATGACCAGAGCTGTTCCATCCTTAAAGGTCTTTAGCACCCATTTTCTTGTCACCAAGGCCTGTGCCATCCTCAAGACACTGATTTGCAACCCCTTTCCAGGAACCCCTGTTTCTGAGTGGTCCTGAGAATCTCTTTTTCTTCTCCTCTTCCCTTTTTTGTCCCCTACTTTCTACCCTAAGCTTTTTATTAAATGTTCTTGGACTTAATTGCTTAATTTTAAATTGTTAACCTACTCAAATCCTTTTTGGAAAGGGGGTGGGAAGGCATGACTGAATGAATGAGTCAGTCAGCTAAAAGACCCCTAATTTGAAGACTGAAAAGTGAAGGGCCTGCAGCTACGGTGACTCACAGGGGTCATCCCACTGCAGGTGTGAGAGGTGAGGCCGTGTGAAGCTAACTCCAGGGCTCTCCACAGTCCCCATTTCCTCCTCCTACCCTGGAAACATCCTTTTAAATCACGTCTCCCTCCTCCACAGTGTTTGCAACACCTCCCGATTTAGTTTTCTCTCTGAATTTCATTAGTGTCCCATTTACCTCCTCCCCCTGATCTCCCAGCCGTTAAGCAGGAGGAGGCTAAGTTGGCAACAAGTCTCCGCCTCCTGACCGAGGGAGACGGGAACTCACAGAGGAGGAAAGGGGCCTCTGGGCTGCAATGCCAGATGCTGTTCTGGTCCACTGGGCTCGAGACAACAGACAGTAACTGGGTCCTATCTGTGTGTCAGGCACTGAGGGCTCAATGAGGAGCTATTCTTGCCTCCAGGAAATCCCCAGGCTCATGGGGATGAATGGATAATGTCTGTGCCATGTGGTGAAGGGACCTCACCCTCCTGGGCAGGCAGAGTGAGTGCATGAAAAGTGAGCTAGTGGTGGGAGGAGAAAGGCAGTGGGGACATTCCAGGAGGAAGGAACAGTGTATGTGGAGGCTGGATGGCTTGAATAGTAGCATGTAAGCAAGTCACAATATGGAACCTGTTCAATGATTTGTTCTTATGCTCCCATTTTGAATCTTTACAAAGTGCCTGCCATGTGCCAGGCATCTTTCCTGGCAGAAGAACACTGCAGGGGCCAACAAAGTAGGTCCCTGCCCTTGTGGAGCTTGTGTTCTAATAGAAGAAGACAGAAAATAGGCAATTAAACTTGTCTAGTAATATACACACCAGGTAGAGACAGATGCTATGGAGAAAGGTTTAAGCAGAAGAGGGGCCCAGAAAGAACTGGCCTGGGAGGACTGCTCCATCCTGCTAGACTCAGATTCTTGCAGCCTAGTATTTTTGCAAAACGTCTTTCCTCCTCCAATTTAGATGAGTTTGATGGGACCAACTACGTGGAAGGCCCCCATGTGGGGATGAGCAGCCAAGTCTCTTGGGCTGGGCGTTGGGGAACCAGGGAGAGAAAGCCCCCGGTGAGAGAGGGGTTGAAGAGGAGGAAGAGGAGACCACACTTCAGATTTAGATGGGGTGGAGGTCTAGATTCAATGACTTTTAAATTTTAACTTTCATGTCACTATTACAAGTGAGTATGGTGAGGTTGAAGAGTTCAGCTTTTATCTTACTATGCTGAGTGAGCATTGGTTTTCTTACCTTAAAAAATGGGGTCATAAGAATACCTTATGGGGTTGTGGGAGTCAAATGAGATGCATCATTCAACTACTTGGCACAGTGCCTCAGTAAATGTGACCCCACTTTACCTGTCCTTCTAAAGAAAGCAAAAAATAAATTTTTTTTTTTTTTGAGGTGGAGTCTCTGTCTGTCACCCAGGCTGGAGTGCAGTGGCACAATTTTGGCTCACTGCAACTTCTGCCTCCAGAGTTCAAGTGATTTTCCTGCCTCAGCCTCCCGAGTAGCTGGGACTACAGGTACCTGCCACCACGCCTGGCTAATATTTTTTTTACTTTTAGTAGAGATGGGGTTTTACCATGTTGGTCAGGCTGGTCTCGAACTCCTGACCTCAAGTGATCTACCCGCCTTGGCCTCCCAAAGTGCTGGGATTACAGGCTTGAGCCATCAAGCCTGGCCAAAAAGCAAAAAATATTAATGGAGCTCCTCAGAGAACCTATGTCTCTACTGCACAGCATTGATCTCAGTTTGTAGTTATATACTTGTCAGGGTGAGGGAAAAGCCTACCTTTGTTTTTATTCCTTGTGATATCCCCAGAGCTTAACATAGTGCTGCACTCATGGTAAATCTTCCATATGTCTTTGTCGAATAACTAAATAAATGATTAATCAGAAGTTATGTAAGGTCCAGACTCCAGCACTTTTTATTTGGAAGACCTTTGACAAGACAATTTCTCTAAGCCTCAATTCCTTTCCTATAAAATAGAAATCATATCTACTGTGGCAGGGGAAGTTACTGCTCCTAAAATATCCATGTCTTCCCACACCTCCTGGAATCCCAGAAATCAGGCAGGACCACAGGGCTAGTTCTGGCCAATGGGTGGTGTGTCACTTCAGGACCAACACATTTAAGAGTCAATGTTCAACCTTCCAGTGATTTCCTCCTCTGCTACAGAGACCAAAGGGGCCAATCATCCAGGTCGTACCCCTAAAATATGGGAGAGATTTCATCAGCCTGGTCGCTAAGTCACTAGGTAGAGCAAAGCTTTCTACCAACCTTTGATGGATGCGTAGCATGAGAAAGAAATAAACTTCCGCTATGTTAAGCCACTAGGATTCTGGAGTTAATTTATTACTGCAGCATAACTAAGCCTAAAAAGACTCATATTTCTATCTTGAAAGATTGCTGGAAGGATAAGAAAAAGTGCTTGGTACCTAGTAGGTTCACAGTGGGCTTTCAATAAAGGCCATACTCCCTCTTCCCTGGATCCTTCCTGTGTCCTCAGCCTCCCTCAATGTAACCAGTTTTCACTTACAATTTCACTCCTCTCTGTACCATGTTCCTCCTCTAGCTTGAAACATCTTCCACTTTTCCCATAGAATCCAGGAGTTTCCTGCTGTTTTTTTCATTGCTTTTCTGCACAGCAATATGAGGAAACGCTTCTAGAGAGCCATCTTAGGCACTAGACCTGGCCTCCAGACCACCTGCCTTCTGGACAGCCTTCCACTCACCTCCCCGTATCCTATTCCCCACTGTGCCTCTGATCTCACTCCAGTTCAGCTCAACACATAGCCACCAGACTCTGGGCCCTGCACCCTGGTCTCCTGTACCCAAGAATGACCTTGATTGGCATTGCTGCCTCTCTGGTCCTAGACCGACATGTGACCTCCTTGCTGCCAGCACCCCCATCACATACCTGCTAGATGCCCCATCCTTGCCCACCTTGCCCTCCCACCATGCTGGCTGCCAGCTTGGTTTCCAGCAACCGTTGCCACCTACCAGTCCTACTGCATCTGTTCCCGGAGAAGGCTACCTTTACTCTGGCCAGAACTCCTCTACTTTCTATGCTGCCAAGTCGTAAAAGCCTCCAACCAAAAAACATGCAAATGTTCAGAGTCTGAGATTGCATTTCTCATCAAGGCCACAAATTTGCAGCTAATGACAGAAAATCAGAGCAGACAAGGGGACTGACCTGGCTCCATGTCAGCACGTTCTGAAGAGTCAGCAATGTCCGTGGGCCCTGCAGCCCTCTCTCCAAGGCCATTGGATCCTGGAGGATGGTGCGGGATCTTTTCTGTTGAAGCAGAGAACACAGATCCAACTGAGTGAGGTGGCAAGATGCCCCAATCCTTTCTCACAGACCCTCCGCTCCAGCAGTCATTGCAAACACACACTATGGGAAAATGAGGCTTGTTCCTGGTCCCACAGCAATGAAGAGAAGAAAGTGGGGTCCTGGCACCCTGCAAATCCCACACAGATGGTTCCTCTATGCAGCCTTCCTGAGAGGCTCAAATGTACCTTCTTCTGTTCTCCCATCTCATCTTGTGCTATGGGAGTAATGGTCTTGCCTTAAAATAATTGTTTACACACCTTTCCTTGAGTGAACTGAAGCTTGCAGGACAGGGACTGAAGATCTGCCCTTTATACAACCCAAGCACCCAGCACAGGGCTTGGAGCAAAGTAGGAACTGCGTGTTATTTGCACAAAGGATTGACTGCATACTGTGATGGGAGTAGACAAGGAATGCAACATGGGGCTAAGGTCTAGGGTTAGTGGCCAGTGGCCCCCGTTAACAGTTCTGTCACAGATTCACCAGACAAATAAGTCACTGGCCTTCTCTAAATCTTACTCTCTTGCTGCTATGGTCTGAGTGTGTTCCTCAAAAGTGTTGGAACCTAAATTCCTCAATGTGGTAGTGTTGGGAGGTAGGGATTAATGGAGGTGCCTGGATTGTGATGGCTCTGCCTTGATGAATGGATTAATGCATTCTCATAGCAGTGAGTGAGTTATCTCAATCATGGGTTGTTATAAAGCAAGGCTGGCCCCTCATGCTTGTCTCTTTCACATGTGTTCACTTGCCCTTCCGCCTTTTCCCCTGGGATGAAGCAGCAGGAGGCCTTTACCAGATGCCAGCACCATGCTCTTGGATTTCTCAGCCTCCAGAACTGTGAGCTAAATAAATTTCTTTTCTTTATAAACTACCCAGTCTGAGGCATTCTGTTACAGTAGCAGAAAATGGACTAAGGCACTTGATCTGTGGAATGGGTCGATCTTCCTGTAATATACCACATGGGAGGGTTGGAGTCACCTGGGCAGAGGTCCTTACGCAGAAGAGTCCTGGTTCTGGCCCAGCTGCTGATTGCAACCTCTGGCTAATGACTTCCCCCCTCTAAGCCTCAGTTCCCTCATCTGAAAGAAGGAAATTCTGAACTGGGGGACACGTGAGGTCCTTTCTGGCCCTAGAATCCTATGACTATAAATTTGATTTTCAGGACTCTGGGACAAAGGAGATACCCGTACAAAATAAAGGTTTTTCCAAATGAAGAAAAGAAATTCTACCCTACTCAAAAGAAGGGTAAGGGGGAGGTGCTAAGGTTTTAGGTCATTTGCCTCAGGTCATTCCAAGAGAAGGAATAGGAATTTGAATATAGGCCCTCAAAGACTCAAGGTCCCTGTACTTTTCCTGCCCCATACTGCCACACTCACCCATAAAAAATACTACAAAATGCCTTATTATACAAGAGACCTACTAGGCTAAAGAATAAGGCATGAAGGATACACTTAGGCATAGGAGGTTAACCCCCAAAAAGCCATTATTTGAGAAGTTCCCTGAATTCATTTTTCCCAAATAGATCTAGGATCCTAGCTTAAAAAACATTGCTGTTTATTATAAGGTGAGGAATTGCTGGGAATTCCCATGAAAAACAAAATCCACTTAATAGTAAAATTTTGTTGTCTTCATCTACATTTACTATGTTTCTTTATGGCAAATTATTTTAAATAAAGAGTAACTCTATTAGGCAGGAACATTCAGCAGCCTCTGGCCAAGTACAGAGTATCCTGTTGGTACTCTCCAGAGACTGGCTCTTGAACTACCTTCAGGGTAGAATTTTTTTTTTTTTTGAGATGAGGATTTTGCTCTTGTGGCCCAGGCTGGAGTGCAGTGGCATGATCTCAGCTCACTGCAACCTCCGCCTCCCAGGTTCAAGTGATTCTCCAGCCACAGCCTCCTGAGTAGCTGGGATTACAGGTGCCCACCACCACGGCTGGCTAATTTTTGTATTTAGATGGGGTTTCGCCATGTTGGCCAGGCTGGTCTTGGACTCCTGACTTCAGGTGATCCACCTGCCTCAGCCTCCCAAAGTGCTGGGATTACAGGTGTGAGCCACCATGCCTGGCCAGGGTAGGAAAATTAATGGGCACAAGTAAAGTTAACAAGAGTTTGGGAGTAAACCTAGAAAAATCCTTATAAATCATTATATTCATTAAGATTAAAAATAGGCAGTACACTAATTAGGATATGACTATCATTTTATGCATTTCAAATAGGCAATAATGGCTATTACATCTTTAATTTTTATTACCCTGCCTTGTTCATTAGAAGTTTACCCCCTGCCCACCCACCCCCGACACACACAACCCCACCCCAAGTTCCAAAGACAGCAGGAAATTGGCTGCCTTGGCTACAAAAATGGGCAAGGGAAAAGGTACTTTCTCTGGTGTTGGGGCTCTCCCCAAATGCCAAATGTCTGGTGGCTTTTAGGACACAGAGCTGTTAGCTTTGTCCCCAAGGGTCCTGCTGGGGTCCTAGTCATGTAAGTGATATGTACGTTTTATGCTTGGATGAAACACTCAAATTTCTTTCTCAGGCTCCCTTTTTTGTGTCTGGGTTATAAAACTCCATCATCTCTCCCTTCCCCTCACAGCTTCAGGCCAAAGCTTGTGACTTGGCTTCTCACCTGTGCCTTATGGTCCCTCCCCTCTTGAAGAAGCTGCAGAGCTACAGTTTTTACTCCTCTTCTGCCCTCATCCTTGCCAAGGCTTCAGGGAAAACCTCAACTGTTTGTCTTCAATCTTTCAATCTGTTTATTTCCTTTTCAAATCCCATCCCTAAATTCCCTTTTTTTCCCAGAGTACCTCCAGTAGACAAAACAAAGACAGTTAATGAAACTAAAATGCTCATTTGTTGCTGGAAAGTTTTTAAAAGTATTTATATGCTAGCATTCCGTTGAGGGGAAATTGAGTTAGGAAGGGATTATGGCATTATTCATTCATTCACATATTCACTCATTCATTCATATACTGAGGATTGTTGCTGGATAGAATACAATAATGATTCAGAAGCAAATCCTGCTTTTGGGAAGCTCATAGGCTGGCAAGAAAAACAAGACATAGCCACGGAGAACTATAATGTTTGGCAGTTTTGTAAGAGAGATGCAGACAGAACCTAATGTGTGGACAGAGGATGGAGAGATCGCCATGGCTGACAAATCATGGAAGACTGCCTTGCAGCAGACTTTGTATAAGGTAGGGGACATGGAGACAGGGCAGGTACTCCACATAAGGGAGGAGAGGCATGGGAGGTAAAAGCATGACAAAGAGCAAGTGTCGAGCTCAGCTTTCCAGCATGTGTAAGCTGTGCAGAGGGAAGTGGAGGACATCACACCCAACAAGAGATGTGGGCCTCAACAGGCTGGGGAATGTGGTCATTGTTCAGTGAGTAATAGGGAGCCTCTGAGTGCTGTTGAGCAGAGCAGAGATGTGACATAATTGGAGATCTGCTCTAGGAAGATGAATGTGGCAAGCCTTGCACAATATGAATTGGAAGTGGAGTTGCCTGGGGGCAGGGAGCTCCTAATTGTGTGCCAGGCATTGGGCAGGCTATTAGGTGCTTTGATGTTATTTAGCCTTCTAAATAACTGCAGGAGGCAAGCATTATCCTTCCAGACTTGCAGGTGAAGAAAGGAGACTCTGGGGAATCTAAGCTGCTTGCTCCAAATCCCCTAGTGAGGAAGCAAGGGAGACAAGATCCAAACCCTGTTCTTTTCCTCTCTAGGCAAGTCATAAAGCAAGCTGTAACCCTGTGCATGACACCATGTACCTGACACAACCGTCTTTCTTCTCCCAGTGCATCTCCTGGCTGTCCACCGGTATGTGGAGCTTGATCATTTCCTGGGCTGCCTTTCAGGAAGGCCCAGGTGGAATTAAATGCAGAGTGCCTCTGCTTCTGTTGGATTTCCCCCAAACTGACCACAGATCAAGGAGATAAGATGATGCCTTGAGTTAAGTCAGGTTCCAAAACAACAACACTGACTGCAGAGAACTGCAAAGGTAGCAGGAAACCACCCTCCTCTCTGGCAAGGAGTGTTAGTTTTTGTCTTTCCCTTCTCGGCTAAGCCGTGGTACCCGGAGCAGTGGATACAGAAACCCGGGAGAAAATCTTCTGGATACCCAGGAACCTGCTGGGTCCCTGAAGAATGTCAGTGAGAAACTCAGCGTTCCTGTGCCCTGGGCTGACCCCCTGTTTAGGGAAGGCAGCCCAGAGGGCTCCTAATGCACTCAGAACTGTATCATCGCACCTGCAGCCTGGAGGAGATGACCTTCCATCAAGACGCCTGCTATTAAAACTTTGTTTAAGGAAAATAAAAAGATATCCTCATTCTAAACATGGGACACAGTGATAGGTGTGTTCTGTACTTGACAATCAAGGGTTCCAGTTTGCTGAGGGGAAGCCTGGCACAGTGGCAAGAGGTGGAGCTTTGGAAGCAGAGTGGGGCTGAATCACAACTCACCCAGTCACCAGCTGTGCAGCGTTGGCCAAACCACTTAGCTTTTTACATTTCTTTATTATTAAATAGGAATAAAAATAATGGACTAGAGAGAATAAGTACCTGACCCTTAGTATATACATAATAATGTAGAATAATTTCTTCTAGTCTTAAATGTTCAACATCATGGGCATTGCTTTCTCAGGGAGGTAGCTTTCCTCCTCACAAATTTACCAATTGAAGGAATGAATCTTTAGAGAAAAAATGCTGAAACTACAGCAAGCTATTCCTGTCCTTCAGCTAGCTCTTATGTCCAGTGTCTTATAATTATTCATCTTTACAACTTTCTTTTCCACCAGACTGGGAGCTCCTTGAAGACAGTGACCACTATGTCTTCAATTCTCAGCACATAGTTCTTTCTACCTCAGCTACCTTATTTTGAGATCTGTACAAACTACAGAGTCTGTAGTTCTTCTGGGATTTTTATGCTCCCAGCCTGGTTTGAAGAGTGACTTTAAGCAACACCTTTAGGAGCACATCCAATCTTCTGAAAACCATCTCATTATCACGTAAATTATTAGCACAAAATACTTCACCTTGTTACTCTGCGAAGAGCTTTGGTTTCTAATCCAAGCCGATTATATGTGCCAGCATTTTCAATAACATCTTAATAATGCCAATCCTCCCAGGCCTCTGGACAGAATCAGACCAGGTGGAGAGATCCAGAGTTCAAAGGCATCCTGAAGGGGCATGGCAGCGGGGGAAGAAACGAAGCATCAAAATTGGATTCAAATCCTGGCTGTGCAGTTGGGACAAGCCAGCATAGTGCCTGGGATCAGGATAAATGCTCAGTAAAGGTTAATACCCTTCTCCTGACTCCTGAGAAAAGTAAAGAAATAAAACTTGTTGCAAATAAACAGGGAGAGAAGATCCACCACATTCCTGAGTCCATTTAGAATATGGATTTTTTTTAAGCCTTTCTAAGGACTGGATGAAGCAGGTTATTTCACTTTAATTATGGCAGCTGCAGCTGCTGCTTGTGGACTCAAAGACCAATTTTCACATTAAAAAGGGGGAAAAAAAAACATCCACACCCACACACAAACTCACCGAGAAACTTCACTGCATACACAGAAGAGCATCTCCTTCAGAGAGCACGTCAGTGAGGTGGAAAAATCTGGAATGCCCTGTTCTAGACACTCAGAGCCCAGTGGAAATCCCTGTGCGTGCTCACCCCTGCCTCTCCTCCCACCTTGCCTCCTCTCTGTCCTGAACGTCAAAGAGCAGCTCGTGAGCCACACAGCGTAATGGAATGTTTCTCGGTGAGCAGCTGCATATTTTTAATGCACACAAGGGGAAATAAAGGCAGCAGATGGTTTTATGTAATCTTCCTATGAATTTTGAACTGAGAGTCCTCATTCATGAAGACTTGAAAAGGTTTTGTTGTTTTTTTTCTTTTTTTACACGTCCTCTGTGGGTCAAGCCAACCAGCTCTGGACATGCCCTGGTGAGGCTGTGTGTGTTTGCCTCTGCCAGGGCAGGGAAGCTGAGAGGAGCCTGCTTGCCTTCTTCTGGCCTGGTTTCCACTCCGTGTTCTTTCTTGTGGTTCTTTGTCTGTGAACACACGAGTGGTCCTCAACATTCTCAGTGTTCACAATGGAAAACTCAAGGCAAACTCATGAATCCTTCATAGGCATAGGTGTGCTGTGAAAATCTGAACCTTATGTTCAGTCTTATGTTTGAAATGACTGAGGATCTGTGCTATGGCAGGGACATCTGTCAGCGAGAGGGTCAAGGGGAACAGGTGGGGCAGATGCACCAGTGTAAGAGAAAAGATAACAGTTCCCACTTTTAAGTGAGAGCATGCAGCGTTTGGTTTTCTGTTCCTGTGTTAGTTTGCTGAGGATAATGGCTTCCAGCTCCATCCGTGTTCCTGAAAAGGACATTATCTCGTTCCTTTTTTATGGCTGCATAGTATTCCATGGTGTATATGTACAACATTTTTTTTCATCCAGTCTATCATTGATGGGCATTTGGGTTGGTTCCGTGTCTTTGCTATTGTGAATAGTGCTGCAATAAACATATGTGTGCATGTATCTTTATAATAGAATGATTTATATTCCTTTGGGTATATACTCAGTAATGGGTTTGTTGGGTCAAATGGTGTTTCTTGTTCTAGATCCTTGAAGAATTGCCACACTGTCTTCCACAATGGTTGAACCAAGTTACATTCCCACCAACAATGTAAAAGCATTCCTATTTCTCCACAGCCTTGCCAGAATCTGTTGTTCTTGACATTTTAATAACTGCCGTCTGACTGGTGTGAGATGGTATCTCATTGGGATTTTGATTTGCATTTCTCTAATGATCAGTGATGTTGAGCTTTTTTTATACATTTGCTGGCTGCATAAATGTCTTCTTCTAGAAGTGTCTGTTCATGTCCTTTGCACACTTTTTGATAGGGTTGTTTTTTTCTTGTAAATTTGTTGAAGTTCCTTGTAGGTTCTGGATATTAGGCCTTTGTCAGATGGGTAGATTGGGAGCTGAACAATGAGAACACATGAACGCAGGGAGGGAAACAACATACATTGGGGCCTGTCAGGGGGTTTGGGGAGGGAGAGCATCAGGATAAATAGCTAATGCATGTGGGGATTAATAACTAGGTGATGGGTTGACAGGTGCAGCACACCGCCATGGCACACGTCTACCTGTGTAACAAACCTGCACATCCTGCACATGTATCCCAGAACTTAAATAAAATTAAATATAGAAAAAAAAAATAACAGGCTCTCATCTGAGAAAGATCGTGTGTTTAGAGGATATGCAAGAACTGCCTGTAAAAATGGCCTAACAAGAAGCACTGGCAGGGGAGAAAACTGTTCTCAAATAGCCACAAGTGCTAAAAAGCAGCCTGATGAAGTTTATGCTATCTGTGGAGAATTTTATCAATTTTCTGAAACTTGCTTTTATTTAAGCAATGTCCACCTTTAACCCCTTCAAGCACATCATCAAAAATTCTGGGATTTAAAAGTGCAGGACTAACACTAAGTCTAGTTCTCAACCACTGGAGTTGTCCCAGACCTCTGGGCCTCTGCTCAGAGGTCAGTGCTATTTCTAAAATGCAAACCTGACCCTCCTGTTCCCGGCTCAAAGCCCTTATTGCTCCCCTATTGTCACTGGGGGAGAAGAAATCCAAACTCTCCCCTATAGCAAGCAGTTCTTTTCACTGTCCAGCCTGGCCACCTTTCCAGCCCAGTCCCTGGCCATTCTCACCCCAGACCTTGTATGCTCCAGCTAAACCACAGTGTTTTTAACACCCCACTGTCTTCCATGGCTCTTCCTTTGGCCTCAGATGCCCCTGTAGTGCTTATCCACTAGTTTCCCTGGGCAGCACCCCATCATATTCTGGTGAAGCATCTCCCCTCTCCTGGGAACCCTTTTTCCCACTGCTCCCACCACGTGGGTTGTGACAGTCATAGGTGCTGTGCGTCAATTATTTCTGGCTCTCTACTTTCCAGGTACACTGTGAGAATGTCCACCCTGATAGGGCCATGTCACTAACTGTGGTGTGAGTTGTGAGCAGAAGTGTACCACTTTCAGGTGTTAGATTTAACTGCCAATACAAGACCCTCCAGAGCTCTCTTTCAGCACAGTTGGGATGGCTTGTCAGTCTGGGTCCCTGGGGACTACAATAAGCAGAAACCCCTCTCCTCTCACCATCTCTATTGCCCATAGAAGATGTGGAGTGTAAGACAGGATGAACTCCTTGTTGCTATCAATTCTCTATGATTTAGAGGATGATTTGTACCCAGCATGGACTGACTGATCTGACAGATTCATGGGTCCCATGACGATTGTCATGGTCTTAAACAATCCTGCCTCACTGGCTGTCATTGATTGGTTCAGGGCTGGGCACCTTAACAACGCCGAGTTAGTCATCGTTCCAGACCCGGTTTCTTCCCTTGAGGAGACCAGAACCTGATCAAAGATGAACCAATTAGAATTCTTCCCTGGGATTTCTGAAATCAGTAAGTGAAGGAAGAATGTAGTATCTAGTAGTGCAAATGGTAAGATGCAAAAACTGAGAGCAGTTGGTGGCCATGTGGGTGTTATGGGTTGAATTGTATCCTCAAAAAAGAAAATATGCTGGAGTCCAAACCCCCAGTACTGCAGAGTGGGGCCTTATTTGGAGATAAGGTCTTTATAGAGGCAATCAAGTTAAAATGAGGTCATTAGGGCAGGCCCTAATCTAATATGACTAGTGTCCTTATAAAAAGGGGAAACTTGGCCAGGTGGATGGCTCACGCCTGTAATCCCAACACTTTGGGAGGCCGAGGCAGGTGGATCATCTGAGGTCTGAAGTTGGAGACCAGCCTGGCCAACATGGCAAAACCCTGCCTCTACTGAAAATATAAAAATTAGTCCGGCATGGTGGCGCATGCCTGTAATCTCAGCTACTCGGGAGGCTGAGACAGGAGAATCACTTGAACCTAGAAGGCAGAGGATGCAGTGAGCAAAGATTGTGCCATTGCACTCCAGCCTGGGCAACAAGAGCCAGACTCTGTCTAAAAAAAAAAGGGGGAGGGGGGAAATTAGGACACAGAGACAGATATACACACAGGGAAGATGCCAGGTGAAGATGGGATTCACGCTGTCCCAAGCCAAAGAAACAGCAGAAAGAAAAGTCCAGGACAGATTCTTCCCTGGCACCTTCAGAGGAGCACGGTCCTGCTGACACCTTGATCTCACACTTTAAGCTTCCAGAACTATGAGACAATACGTTTCCAGTGTTTAAGCCACTCAGTTTGTAGCACTTTGTTCCGTCAGCCCTAGGAAATCCACAGAGTGAGGAAAGCACGTCTGCAGTGAGAGAAGGAAGCTTACACGCCTAAGAAAAGCAGACTGGAGCAGCAGAAAGGGTCAGAAAAAATCTAAACAGAATTAGAGTTCCAATTACAATTCTCCTGCATCTCTGCCTTTTCTCTGGCTGGAGGGTTCATCTGCTTCTTGGATTCTTGAGATGGTATTATGTCCTCCTGCTTTTTTTTGAGACTGGGTCTCCCATGACTCCCAGACTAGAGTGTGGTGCCATGATCTTAGCTCACTGCATGCAGCCTCTGCCTCCTGAGGCTCAAGCAAGTCTCCCACCTCAGCCTCCTGAGTAGCTGATGTGTACCACCATGCTGGCTACTTTTTTTGTAATTTTAGTAGACATGAGGTCTCTACTAAAGACCAGAGGCATACACCACCATGCTGGCTATTTTTTTGTAGTTTTAGTAGAGATGAGGTCTTGCCACATTGCCCAGACTGGTCTCGAACTCCTGAGCTCAAGCAATCCACCTGTCTCGGCCTCCCTCCCAAAGTGCTAGGATTACAGGCGTGAGCCACCGTGCTCAGTCCTTTCTGTTTTGAGTATGATGGTTTGGAGGGATGATGGTTCTGTGACTTCAAGCCAAGAATCCTAATGAACATTTTTATAATATTTAATAATGATCACGATCATCACCTTAAAGTTACGAAAATGAGTAATATGAATGGATCCATGTACTGGTGAATGGACTAGACCGGTAGCTGATGGACAAACAGGCCCACTGCTTCTAAATGCTGTCCAAACATGTCCCCAGAAGACAGAGACAAGATCCCTCCTGTCTGGCTGCAATAGCCTTCATACATTCACACAGTTTGATCCTCCTGGTGTTTTCTTTAATCTAGTAACAGTCAGAATAAAACCTGAAAAGGATTTTCTTCTGCACAGTTATGCCTTTCTTCCCAATCCAAACACAACTGCATGCCTGGCCCCTTGAAATGCTCCAAAACAAAACAAGAAAGCCCAGCCAAATCCCTCATCGTGTTTTATGTTATTTTCTTGGCTGTACAAACTTAGGAACCCTTTGTTTCTTCTGCTCCGTCCTTGGACTTTTCCTTCCCACATTCACCTCTGTCCAGAGCTGCTATATCAGCAGCAAGGGCTCCCAGCTAGCAGAGGGGGAGAGGGGTACTCTGAGGGAACGCAAGCTGGAACTGATTAACCATCTCAGACTTCAGCTGAAGGCCCCCTGAAGCAATTTACCAGCCTCCTGGAATAACCATTGAACACAGGCCCTCACGGGAAGAATGTGGCTGGATAACAGGGTATGGCTTATAGGTTTGGTCTTGCAGAGCAGAAGATCATTGTTCAAGGTACATTTGAGCCTCTGGGACAGCCACCATAGTATGAATGAACAGAATCATTATACCTTGATGATCTGTAAAAGGCAAGATCCTAGCTCTTCTCTGAAGGACTAGGGACAGCAATGATACTCCTGAGCAAGATTTGATGACTACAGTGTTGTAGACTTTACCGCCCCCTCCCCAAAGTAAAACAGGCTCTTGATTTTTCCTCATTTATTCTATTCAGGAGACCTTATAAAACATGATGGTTTTTATCAAGCTGCCAGCTGGCTGATCAGAGAAATTAGAAAAGAGCAAGAGTTTTCTAGAACAGGTGGGGGCCAACTCAGCTTTGAACAAAAGCGGGTGGGTGGGAGTGCGCAGGCTGAATGGACGCTTTGCCAGACACTTGTCTATTTGCTCCCAGATCCACTCCCCACACTGGCCTGCTCTGCTGTGCTCTGCAGGGAGCTACATTTCTCAGGTTCCCTTGCTGACTGGCTTCCGGGTAGGTTGGGCTAAAGAAAGTCCCTGACAGAAGATTGGAGATGAGCAGACAGCAGCCAGGGTATCTTCACCTCTTACTTTGTCTTCGACAACATCCCTGGCAGTGGCCACATAACCCCCGTGGCTTCAGGTCCTGACAGTCACCCTACAAAATGATTCTAGCTCCTGCTGGATTATCCCAGCTTCTGGGATCTGGAACTATCACCTCCTCTTATTGTCCCTCCAGCCTTGGTTGCTGTCATTGGTTGCTGTCATTGGTGATTTCTGGGCTGAAATACGTACTGTTTAGCTTCTTAGCTGTTTTGTCAACTGTTTGACCAGTTCTTTACATTAAATTCTCTCAATGGAAAGGTCGAGAGGGGTTTCTTTTTTCCTGCCTAAACTCTGACTGATAAACGTGCTGAGAAAGACTCTGCAGGCAGGAGCGTCACTCTGTAGCCTCCAGGACAGTGAATATGCAAAGACTCTCAGTGCTTGGGCTGGGATAAAGAGCCCCTTACAGCACTGACTGCTGCACTGAAGCCCAAGAGGGAAGAGTGATAGGTGGGGCCACTGTGAGACTGGGGAGGCAGCCCTAGAAGGAGAAATGGGGGACACAAAAGCAGGTTTTTGCTTCTTTCCCCCGTAGGTCCAGTCAGCTTGCATGGGACTTTTTTTGCTGTTGGTTGATAAACTAATGTGGGAGAGGCCATCAGTAAGTCAGTGAATGCCAAGGATCCTGGCTGTGACACTTCAGAAAGCTTGGTCAGGTTAGGGTGTTTGAGGCACTGCAGGAAAGCTGGAGTCTAATGAAACTGAGGCAGACCAAGAAAGACACCTGTCAGTAGATTGGTGAAACACTGACATCTTAATGGGATGTGACTTTCTTTAGTCATGTCTGTGTAGCTACCTGCAACTGTAGAGGGTAGCATTGTCCTTCTAAACCCAGTGGGTGGGGAAAGTCATTCTTTATTGAGAGAAGAAGGGGTCAGGAATACAATGAGAAGACATTTTAGTGACTGCTGAGAGACAGGGCATCCTTTGTCAGTGAGAAAGAATTTGGATGTGAAAAAAAGTATCTATAAACAGACCGACACAGGCCGGGACTGAGAAAGAGACAAGGGCAAAATAAAGCCCACTAGAAATGAAGGGACAAAGACTTGCAAGCTCTCCATGGAGCAGGCCCCTCGGGTGGTGGGCCAGCTTCCCAGCAGAGGTCAGCTTCCCACTGTCAGAACAGGGGACTCTGGAATCCCAGAGCCAGGACACATTTGCTTTTTGCTTCTGCTCAGGCCCTTGTCACAGGTGGCCTTTTATTGACTGACCCAAGTGTCCCAGACCAATGTCGCCCACAGGAACTGAAAGGACCACCAGGTGCAGAACAGCAGGGCTGTTAATGAACTGCCGCATGCCTCACCTCCCGGGAAACCTCTCTTGGTTCCAGGGAGGAAACCAATGCCGAGACTCCAGTGCAGACTTGCTTGCCACCTCGCCATCCCCACCCACCTTCTCAGACCTCACGTGCCCACCCACGCAGACACACGTGCTTATTTCTACCTTGGTGAAGCTGAACGCATTTGTCAGGGGAGAAGCCAAGTTGGAAAACAAAGAGTCCTTTCTGGAGACGAAAAAAAAAACAAGAAAATTTGGAGGTTACATATGTTCCCCCACTTCATTTTTTTCTAATTTTAAAAAAGTCTCCTGTTTTTTAATAAAAATTTTAAACCAGTTAGAGATTATAGAAAAATTGCCACGATAGCACAGACCTGCTATACCTAACACCTAGTTTTCCCCATATTAACACCTTTCATCAGTATGGTTCATTTGTTATAATGAATGAACCAATATTGAAACATTATTATTAAATGAAGTCCATGATTTATTCAGATTTCTTTCGTTTTTCCCTAATGTCTTCTGCTCTGGAATCCCATGCAGGACACATTACATTTAGTCATCATGTGTCCTCAGGCTCCTCTTGGCTATGACAATTTTTTAGATGTTCTTTGTTTTTGATGGCCTTGACTGTTAGTGTGAGTATTGGAAAGGTTTTTGTAGGATGCCCCACTATTGGAATTTGTCTAATGTTCTTCTCATGATAAGACTGGGGTTGTGAACTATTGGGATGAACTGTCCCTTATGTTTTTAACCATTTTTTGGTTGCAAAAGCCATGACTGTACTCCTACTGGGCCCCTGGCCAAAAGCTCAGGGAGCAGCCTTGGTAGACAGGTTCTGCCATCCTGGCAGCATCTACGCAGTCTCTGCTAGCTTCCACCTTCAGAAGACCAAAAAGCCCTCATAGTCTATCCACAACCTACTTCTCCAGCATCAAGTCCTGAATTTTCTTTCTATCTTCCACACCAGATTTGCTTGCAGTTTTCCAAACATGCCCATATCCTTTCATAGTTTCATGTCTATACTTTTGCTGTTTCTTCTGCCAAAAATGCCATTCTTCCCCTTGGCTAACTTAAAACTCCCCTCAGAAGTCAGAGCCTAGCACAAAATCCTCCTCTTGGGAGCCTTCTTTGATCCACCACTCCAAATGTAATTGAACCCTGTCTTCTCTGTGCCAACACTGCACATTCCTGTCCATTCTTAACCACCCTGCTTACCACCCTAGCACCCTTCAGCATTGGACATTGTATGTTCATTAACTTGTTTATTGTTTGTCTCCTCTGCCAGAATAGAAGCCTCATGACATTGGTCTGTTTTGTTTATTGCTACATTGAAAGGACAGTGCTTGACACACAGCAGGCACTCAATTATTAATATTTGCTGAATGAATGAGTGATACTGCTGGAGCATTTCCTACACTTTTTTTTTTAACAGACAAAGTACTTGCTCTTTAATCCAGGCTGGAGTGTAGTGGTGTGATCACAGCTCACTGCAGCCTGGAACTCCTGGGCTCAAGTGATCCTCCTGCCTTAGCCTCCCAAGTTGCTGCAACTACAGCTGCATATCACCATGTTTGGCTAACTTTTTTTTTTTTTTTTTTTGTAGTAGAGACTGCGTCTTGCTATGTTTCCCAGGCTGGTTCTACATCCTTTACAGTTATTTGGGCATGTATCTGTTTCTTCAGGTAGACTATGAACTTCTCGAGGAAGGACCAGATATAGATCCTGTTTAATGAAGGAAGGCTTGACAAAGAAGCTGGCATTTTAGCCACACCTTGAAGACCATTTCAGGACACGCTGGTCATCCTTAGCCACTGTTCCTTCTTTCAGGACATCACCCCACACTCTCTGGAGGAGTATCTCCATGTGGCTGGAAGAGACATACGGTGTATTATGCAAGGTCTTCTCCAGAAGTTTAGAATCTAAGAGCTTCGAAGCAGTGGCAAGGCCCCTGTCTTTCTAGACTAGACTTCCGATCTTGAACACTGCCCCTGCTCTATTATTGGGTGGTCAGGGCCATCTCCAAGAACCGTCCCCAATAACTAATTTGATAAGGCAGAAACAGCAGCAGCTCTGAAACCCAAGGAGTGGGGTCCAGCCTCTGCCTGTGGCTAGCTTGGGAACCATGGACAACCTCTCTGAGCCTTAGTTCCTTCACCCGATAATGGAAATAACATTAATACTTACAATGCTATTAGAGGCTTACTGTGAGGACCTACTGAAAAACAAATAGCAAATCACTTTATAAAAGTCAAGTGTGATCTAAGGCATTTTTTACTGTCATCAGCAGCAAGTATCCCAGGCCTCATGTTTTCTGAGCCCTGTGACATTTGGCCAATGACAATGGAGACAGGCAGTGGGCAGGGAGATGAGAGCTACCAGGTAGAGTTTTAAAGGCAAGTTACTGGGCCTTTGGACTAAGATCAAAATCAAGTGTGTAATACACACATATAAGCCAACCACATGTTTATGGTACAATAGCTTTGTCTTCTGGCTGCCTAACAAGAGCCCTTAGGCTGAGGGCTGCACATCCACCTTGGATGTTTCTGTCAGCCCACCGGACTCACTGGGGTTGGGGAAAAGGTATGTGTTACCTGGGGAAACCCACTTCCAACCTTGGCTGGGGATTCTGCATGCTGATTCTATAACTTAACAAAAATGAAAGTTAATTTTATTTTATAATTCTGCATAACATAAAAGAAAGAAAATAAAGTAAAAGGGACATGGAACTGGCAAAATATTTGTAGCATGGAAGATAGAAGAGGGTTAATATTCATTTGATAAATATTTGGTGCAAATTGATGAGGGAAAAAAATTCAGGACCACAGCAAATAAATTGCAAACAGACATGGCTGGGTTATTCAAGAAATATGTTAAGTGAATGCACACATGGAAATAATGTTCAGTTTCTCTAGTAATCAAAGAAATACAAATTAGAGCAAAAATAAAATACCATTACACCTAAATTAGTAATTTTTTTTTTTTTAATTTAAAGGGCTGAGATGATGGGGAAAGGTCAGTGTGCATTGAAGGCAGTCATTGAAGAGTATTTACTTATCACCTATCATGTACCAGCCATGACTTCAGGCATTCTGGATAAAATAATCAGACATGATCCTTAGCATCAGGGGGCTTACATCCAGGGCATCTACTTTCTGGCTGCGTGACCTCAGCCAAGTTATTCAACATCTCTGCGCTTCTGATGTCCTTATCTGTCAAATACAGATCATGATACCCACCCTCAGAGCAGTTGTGGCAATTTGTGACAATTATAAATCTTCTTCACCTGCTTACTCATTTGATTCACCCAGCTCTGAAGCCTAAGTTAGGCAGGGAACATTAGTCCTGAGTGCAACTGAATGTGAAAATGAATACTCCAAGAGGGGGCCAGGCGTGATGGCTCATGCCTCATAATCCCAGCACTTTGGGAGGCTGAGGCAGGGAGATCACTTGAGGTCAGGAGTTCAAGACCAGCCTGGCCAACATGGTGAAACCCCGTCTCTACTAAAAATAGAAAAATTAGCCAGGCGTGGTAGCACATGCTTTTAATTCCAGCTACTTGGGAAGCTGAGGCAGGAGAATTGCTTGAACCCAGGAGGTGGAGATTGCAGTGAGACAAGATCATACCACTGCACTCCAGTCTGAGGGACAGGGTGAGACTGTCTGGAAAAGAAAAAAGAAAAAGCAAACAAAACAAAACAAAACAAACAAAAAAATAAATAAAACCCCACTACTCCAAGAGGGGAAGTTACTGGTCCAAGGTCATAGAGCCAAGGGTTCCAACCCAGTTCTTCAGGGTTCTGGGTCATGCTTTCTGTGGAGTCAGTAATGTGTAAGGGGCCCTGAAGTGAAGCTGGTGAGGACTGTTTCAGATAGTACAGAGGCTAGCAGGACGCATGAAGAAAGGGCAGGTTAAGGCCAAGAGAGCATGCTGGGGCAGAGTCTTCAGGCGCAGAAACCCTGCACGGGCAGCCCCAGCCTGTGCCCCTCCTTTTCCTTACTTCTGAACCCAACATGCACTGACCCCATCTGCATTCAGCAGTGACTGCGAGTGAGTTTTCCATTTCTTTGACAGATGATTAGAAAAGCAGGAGGTGGCAGCTGGCCCATTTATTATCTGCTCCTACCAGGCACTCCAGGATGATGGGCAGATGTGGTGAGGCAGGAGCTGCTGAGTGCATCCCAAAACAATTCGCCATCCACACACTCAACAGGCACCAGTCCAGTGAATTGTGCTAATATTCAAGACACATTGTGTCCAGAACACAGGGAGAATATAAAGGAATTTCTCCAAGGGTGATTCCGAACTCTTGTGGGTGAGCAGTGTCTGGGAGAATAAAATTGCTGTTTGGATAGATCCTCAGTCAGCCAGAAAAGGAGGTGAATCAGTGATCTGGTTGGAGGTTGGAACCTGGGCAAAAGCTCACCAGGACACCCAAGTGAGGTCAGGAGAGTGGAGTGGTTTAGAGCTCCCTGCCCATGGCACTCCCTTGGTTAAAACTGTCCGGGGTGTACCATTGCCAACAGGTGAAATTCCAGATTCACAGCACAAAGCACTTCATGGTTTGGTCTCTGCCTTGCCAGGAACCACCCTTCCCTCTAGGCTTGTTGGGCATTTTTAGCTCCCCACATGGGCAATGCAGGGTCAAGCCTTTGTATATGCACAGTTGCCCTGACCCCATGCCAGCCCCTCTAGAAGCCTCCGCTGAGGCTGCCAGACTGAGTCAGACGCCATGCCTTGGGTTTCCCTTCCCAAACAATGTTATTTACTAACATATCTCTCTCCACCACTACAGACTGGTCTATTTCTTATCTAGCTCTGCATCCCAAGTCTAGCATGAACTCTGACACATAGCAAATATGCATATATTCAGTAAACATGTATTGGACAGATGGAAGGTTGGGTGGCTGGTTGGATGGTTAAAGTACATGTTTGACAAAGCTCATCTATAATTATACAGAAGATGGGGGCAGAAAGGGAGCTATGAAGACCAGGGAGGAGGCTGCTGCAAAGGTCTAGATTGTGGAAGAGGCAGGGGGACGGGAAGGAGGAGGGGACTTGAGTGAGGATGGTAGATGAACTTAATAAAACCTGGTAAGTGATGGCACAGAAAGGGTGAGAGAGCTGTGCCTGAGGCTGACCCCTGGTTTCCAGATGGAGCAGAATGTGAGGCACTTAGGCAAGACAGGGAGACACGGACCCAGGTGTTAGTACTTCATATTGGTGGGGCAAGGCGGGGGGCTGTGAATGGGGAGAGGAGATCGCCAGTTGGGGTAGAAGCAGGCCTGTGGGCCAGTAGAGCCCTGGTATGTATTCCTACCCCACCTCCAGGTGGCCCTTTGTGAACTTTCAGTGGGCAAACCTTGGTTAAGATGGCTCAGAAATAGAGTTTACATGATTCCAGCAAATAGAAGGCTCTTCTGGCTTAGCCATGGTCTGGATCCTTCCAATGAGCGAAAAGGAAGAGGCCCTTTCAATAGGTTGTACTGAAGGGTGACATCCCTGAACTCACCTCCCACATGGCTGTGTGAGGGGAAGCATGCAGTTACCTCTGCAGTGTGATGGATCCCAACGGAGGTTGTTCAATGTAGTGCAAAGAGCACAGAGTTTGGACTCAGGCAGACCTGGGTTCAAATATGGCGTTTGCTACTCAACAGCCAAGTAGACTTGGGCAAGTCCCTTCATTTCTCTGAGACTTGTTTCCCTATCTGTAAAAGCAATAAAACCCACTTTGTACTGTAAATGTTAATTGAAATAAGCTTGCATATGCCTGGCACTTTCTTCCCTTTGACCTTCTTTTCCTCTGAATGCTTCATTCATCATTTGAACAATGGGGAGAAAATTGCTATAAAGAAGCCTGTCAAGTACTTATTGGGTATTTGATATGTGCTGGGCACCCTGAAAGCTATAGAAAAAGCGAAGGGAAGGTTTGGCCCTCTATGGACCTGAAATGATGAATGATATTGGCATGCATTCCCTGTATAGGCATGTGCATCTTATGTCAGTTCTTACTGGCTAAGAGGCCTCGGGCAATTCACTGCATGGGGCTGAGCTCAATTTCTCCATTAGCTCACAAAGGCCTGTTAACCTCTGTACCAAGGGCTGCCCTCAGGCTGGGATGAGATCACTTATGGGAAAGCATGGTGGGTGGAGGGTGAGGGCAAGGAAATGCTCAGGGAAGGTCCCATGTGCTCCCTTCTTCCACCTCTGCAGAGTGGCTTTCCTGGGAGTTCTCAGAGGCTCCTTTCTGCTTTCTCATTTAAACACTTAATGGGTCTCATCCTTTTAAGTGACACCTGCTGGAACTGTAATTGTGCACATAATTGCTACGTGGGAATGGAGGTGGGTTTATTTCCCAGCGCTAGTGCTTCCCTTAGGAAAAGAAACAGTGTACCCATGAATACGTTGCCTGTGTCCTTGGAGTGGGGCCCGCAGTGAGCCTTTTCCCTGGATGCGGGGCACCTGGCTTGCGGGGTCTGGCAAGGTAAGAAGAAAATATCTACTGAAGCATTGAACTTTCCAGAAACCAAATATCTGGCATTGGGCTCAGTGAAGCCACAGGGCCTTGTTAAAATACCAAGAGGGAAGACTAAAAATCCCATCAGAAGTCTCCCTGACTGGCCAGGCGCGGTGACTCATGCCTGCAATCCCAGCACTTTGGGAGGCTGAGGCGGGTGGATCATGAGGTCAGGAGATAGAGACCATCCTGGCTAACACGGTGAAACCCCGTCTCTACTAAAAATACAAAAAATTAGCCAGGCGTGGTGGTGTGTGCCTGTAATCCCAGCTACTCGGGAGGCTGAGGCAGGAGAATCGCTTGAACCTGGGAGGCAGAGGTTGCAGTGAGCCAAGATATCGCGCCACTGCACTCCAGCCTGGGTGACAAGGTGAGACTCCGTCTCCAAAAAAAAATGAAGTCTCCCTGACAAGCATTCCAGTCAAATTCTGAGAGACAGGGTGGCCCCCCTGTAGAGTACAAAGTGAGAGATGCAGGGTTGAGACCTGGGACGGATGAAGCTCCTGCTGCTCTCTTCCCTAGTCATGCGGCCTGACACAGGGGAGGTGCTCAAGATAGGGACCCTAGGACCTCTGTAATAACACTAATGATAATCGTTAGCATTGTTGGCAAGACTGTTGTTAATGATTGATCAAATGGAACTCAAGACAGGAAGGTTTGGGAAGGCAGAGAAATGGGAACTAAAAGCTGGACCAGGGGACAAGAAAACAGGCCTTAGTGTCAGCCTCCACATAGCTATAAATACATCAACGTATGACTATAAATAGTTATACAAGTGCATAAATGTATTTTGAGCTCTTCAGGTTCAAAAACTGATCACTGGTCTGTGGCTCTATGGAAACGACTCTTTTCCTCATAATGAACACTCCCTTCTCCAGGCCCCCTTGCCCTCCTTTCTTTGAGCTTTCCTAGATTTATCTGAACTCTGGTAAGAATGAGGACTTTTTTTTTTAGCTGAACTTGTTTTGCTTGTTTAGATGGATTCTTTCGTGCCCTGATGCCTGAGGTTCAAGCTCTTCCTTCTGTGCATTCATACAATGCATAGGAGAAAGCCGCTGCTGCCCTGTAAACAATGCGCTCCTCTTCCAAAAGTGTCTGCATTTCTGTTTTCGGGAGACTTGATTCCTGTAGGAAGGATACTCAGGGTTCACGGTCCCTGGCCTATATGGTACTCATTTGGGGAGTGAGAGGCCTCTGATGCTGCCATGAAACCTCCATTACCTGATACCGTATGGAAAAAAGGTATATAATCAATAATAACACAGAGTACATGAGTCCCCAGATTTCCACGTCTCAGTCCTGTAGCACAAATTGTAAAGGGAAAATGCACCTCGTTATTTGTGGAAATCCTTCGGATGCCTGTTTGAGACATTCCTGCCTTCTAGTCGAAGTCTCCTGAATGCAATCTAAACTTTCCTTGATGGCTAAGGATCACGCACAGCTATTCTTTTTACTCTGCTCTATTACGCTGATGCCCTTTGTGACTACCTTCTGCAGGGTTATTTGCTCCTAAATGAAATGGCCCCAGCATCATTTCATGCTTTTGAAGTTTCTGCGCTCTCTCTTTCTCGCGCTGTGATCTTCTCCCTGACTGTCAGCACTCCAGTATCACTTTGTGCTCGCTTTGTTGTGCTTGTGTCGGATGGTGAGCGAACCCTCAGAACACAACTGTACAGCAGGACTTGGCTCACTGGACTCTCATTATCTGGCCACATCTGCAGCAGATACCAAATACAGGCTTTCTCAACACCCACTTCAACCTCCTTCCAGTGTGCTTTCTTTTCCACGAGCCTAGACAGCTGGAAACAATATACTGACTCCCTTGCGGCGAGACCCAAGTTCTATGGAGCAAATGCACCCACAGGATTGTAGAGGGCGGATGTTGTTACAGGAGGTGGTGACTATGCTCGGGTGCACTGGATCTTCCCACCCACACAGTGGTGGAGGTGTTTGTTTATCTGGACAGCTGTGGCGTAGGCTCTGCTGTCTGGTTCCCGGAATGTTGAGTCCCAAGGAGTGAGACAAAGGGGATTCCGTTAAAGGAGCCCTATGCCATGCCAGGTACTTCTCTGGTTCTCTGGCAGCCAAGCTTGAGTCCCTGGCATTCCTGAAAGGTTTGCAGGCCATCTAATATCCTGTATTAAATCCTTTTCTGTTTAAACTAGACAGAATAGATTCTGTTGTCTGAAACTAAGAACATTGACTGAGCCAACACCCGTCTGTCCCAAAACTGTAAGCTCCTTAAAGAGAAGAGATTTTTTTATGTCTTTATCTCCCCTATGCCCCAAACATACATTGCGCCTTAAAGACCTGTATTAACTGGATGACTGGACTAAGACAGGGTGGAGAGACAAGCTCCTCCGGAGGCCCCACCCACCACTGCCCTGATGCCCTGCTACAGTTCTGCTAATGCCTGGGAAATCAGATCACCTGGCTTATTAAACTCTGGTATAAAGTAAACATAGGGCCTGGCATGGTGGCTCATGCCTATAATCCCAGCACATTGGGAGGCCGAGGCAGGCGGATCACCTGAGTTCAGGAGTTTGACACCAGCCTGGCCAACATGGTAAAACCCTGTCTATACT